>NW_025791800.1:0-334997 GCF_000001405.40 Homo sapiens | reverse complement strand
GAATTCTTTTAAAAATTAAAATCTTTTAAAATTTATTATTATTTTTTAATATAGAGACAGGGTCTTGCTATTGTTGACCAAGCTGGTCTCGAACTCCTGGTCTCAAGCAATCCTCAGCCTCCCAAAGTGCTAGGATTACAGGCGTGAGCCACCACACCCTGCCTAAAAATATCGAACATATCTTGTATTTGAAATTGCACTGCAATTTTATATGAGTTAAATAAATGAATATATTCAATGCAAACATTTAAAGTACAATACAACCCCTTTGTTGCTTTAAGGGTGCAATTCCCTGAATCTCTCTTAATCTCCCAATAGGCCTATTTCCCTCTGGGGTTTGGGATTAGTGGAGAGTGGCTTGGGGTATGGAGGGGTGGAGGCTTAATTTTTGGCTGTGTACATTCCTGCTCTGTTTGCATTTTAAAAAAAAGATTTTCCATTTTATTATGAAAAATGAAGACATTAAAAAGAAGTGACACCTGCACAGCACTTAGCACAGTGCCCAGAACACAGTAAGTGTTTGACAAATGGTAGCTTAAGAAGCAAAATGGGCCAGGCATGGTGGCTCGAGGCTGTAATCCAGCACTTTTGGTGGCTGAGGCAGGAGGATCCCCTGAACCTAGGAATTCAAGACAGGCATGGACAACACAATGAGACTCTGTCTCTTTCTGTATTTTTTTTTTAAATAAAAAGGAAAAAACAAAACAAAACAAAAAAAGAAGCAAAATAAATCCTCTAAGTTTCAGCTACACCCTCTCTGCTGGAGAGGGTGAGTTCCTTAGGTCAGGGATTGGGAATCTCCCTGCTGACTTCCTTACCCTCAGTGCCTACCACATTGTAGCCCATAATTGGTGCTCATTAAATATGTATTGAATAAAGAAATCAGTGAATAAACTCCAGCCACAACCTCTTACCTGAACCTTAGCCCATTAGGTACCACTCCCTCTCCCAGCTGAACATCCTTACTTCAAATTTATTTTATCCTAGGCTTACTCCTTCTGACCTCCTCTTTTCTAATCAACGTCTCAGAACCTTAGAATTCAGCTTTGCATATAGACACAATCACTGTAGGAAAGGCTTGTGAATACACAGAGACCAGTACCTTGGTTGGGATTGGACTCCACTGAACTCCTGTAGCAAAGACATATCGGTATTGCTTTCCATTGTGAGCATAATTGACCCGTGGAAGCTCTAAGCCTACAAGGAAATGAGGAGGTGGATGAAGCCCCTATCATTGGGGGCTGGGAGCATCCACCCTTCCTGTCAGATTGGGTAGCCTTTCCTCAGAATCCGTTTCCACACCAAGATCCTTGAGCTTGATTTAGAGCCTGCATTGGATCAAAGGTGGTCAAAGGCAGGGGAGGGAGCCTCTGGTAATTTAATTACCCCAGCTCTATTAGAGAGTCCAGGAGCAAGGTACTCCAGACCTAGGTTTTAAGTGTATAAACATCTTTAATTATCCAACATAGAAATCAAAGAGAATTGCATGATTAAAATCAGAGGCTACTGCAATTTCTTAAAGCTTTTTTTCAAAAAAGTGCTGATGTGTATATATGTGTGCGTGCATGTGCACATATGTGATGAGAAATGGGAAGCTGGCTGGGCGCAGTGGCTCATGCCTGTAATCTCAGCACTTTGGGAGGCCGAGGCGGGCAGATCACTTGAGTTCGGGAGTTTGAGACCAGCCTGGCCAACATGGCAAAACCCTCCCTCTACTAAAAATACAAAGAAAATTAGCCAGGCATGGTGCCGCATGCCTGTAATTCCAGCTACTCAGGAGGCTGAGGCAGGAGAATCACTTGAACCCAGGAGGCAGAGGTTGCAGTGAGCCGAGATCGTGCCACTTCACTCCAGCCTGGGCCACAGAGTGAGACTCTGTCTCGAAAAAAAAAAAAAAGAAAAGAAAAGAAAAGAAAACAAAACAAAACAAAAAGAAAAGAAATAGGAAGCTGTGCTAGGCATGGTGGCTCATGCCTGTAATCCCAGCACTTTGGGAAGCTGAGATGGGAGGATCGCTTGAGGCCAGGAGTTTGAGACCAACCTGCTCAACATGGCAAGAACCCCATCTCTAAAATAAAAACTAAAAAATAAAACAGAATGGGAAGCTGTGGAAAAGGGTGTCAATGGAGAACAGTTAATTAAATCTGGTGAATTCTATAATAACATTATGGAAAAACAACATTTACAAATGATTTTAATAACATGGGCAAGTGTCCATACCATAAGGTTAAGTGTAAAATGCTGGTTATAGAATTATTGTATCTCCGCTAGGTTACAAATGAAGAGAAAAAATTTGGAAGCATTGCTGGGGTTCTAACTGCCTTACAGTTTACATTTTCTATGATAGAATCTAAGTTTCTCATTATGTGAAATTTTCATCATGCTTATTATTTTTACATAATCAAAAATATTATTTTTTCTCTGTAAATGTGTGTGTATATATAAATATATATTTATATATAAATATATAAATATATATTTATATATAAATATATAAATATATAAAAATATATATATATATAGTTTGTTTGTTGTTGTTGTTTTGAGATGGAGTCTAGCTCTGTCGCCTGGGCTGGAGTGCAGTGGCTCAATCTCAACTCACTGCAACCACCGCCTCCCAGGTTCAAGCAATTCTCCTGCTTCAGCCTCCCAAGTAGCTAGGACTACAGGTGCGTGCCACCACATCCGGCTACTTTTTTTTTTTTTTGTATTTTCAGTAGAGACAGGGTTTCACCATGTTAGCCAGGATGGTCTCGATCTCCTGACCTCATGATCCGCCCGTCTCAGCTTCCCAAAGTGCTGGGATTACAGGTGTGAGCCACCGTGCTTGGCCGTAAATGTGTATATATGTATATATGCCTATTGCATCAAATTGAATTTCTAAGTCTGAATACTGAAATGGATGTTCAACTCTTAGGAAATATTCTAGGTGGTTGCCGCCAACTGCTGGTGAAGATATAATGTCCAAGAAAAGAGGAAGCAGAGATACATCCATGGATAAATGCTGATTAGGCTCAGTGGGGCGGGAAGGGGAATGAAGTATTGAGATGGGAAGCAGATGTCCAATCCCACAAATGAGAAAGCATGAAACTTCCAAGGGACAGGCCCAGATGAAGGTGAGGCAGAGGGAACACTCCCATACTTAGATAAGAAGAAGGTGCCTGCCCTTGACCTCAAAGTAGGCCTGAGACTTCCAAGATGTTCCTGGGCCCCTCTCAGACCAGCGATTCTCCTGCCTAAGCCTCCCAAGTAGCTGGGACTACAGGTGTGCACCACTACCCCCGGCTAATTTTTGTATTTTTTTTTTTAAATAGAGATGGGGTTTTGCCATGTTGTCCAGGCTGGTCTCAAACTCTTGACCTCAGATGCCCCACCTGTCTCAGCTTCCCAAAGTGCTGGGATTACAGGCATGAGTAATGCCTGTAATTGCCATTGCGCCTGGCCAGTAGTTACATGAAATTAAGGCTTGGCCTCCCAAAGTGCTGGGATTATAGGTGTGAATCACCATGCCCGGTCCTTAACAGCCATGTTCTTGAAGAATCTTCAGGATGTGGGAAAATACTCAGGTTACATACATTAAGTGCAAGAGGCAGCTTCGGAACATTCTAGATGATATGGAATGCATTTTGCAAAAGTACAAATGCAGAGGCAATGGGCTCTGGGATAAGAGACTGCTGGGGTCAGAACCTGGCTCTGCTGCCTGCCTTTTGGCAAGTTTTGAGATTGTCTGAGCCTGCTTCTTAGGACTGTTCTAATATTGCTGCCAATGGCTGGACTCTCCCTATAGGCCAGACCCCACACTAAGCCCTTGATGTACGTGAACAAATCTAATGTCAACAATAAAAGAATGACACTGCCGGGATGAAATGAGAGAGTCTGAGAACTCGCCAGAAGGGACCCGGCCTATGTCACACAATCCATGCATGATGGGAGGATTGGATGGGTAGCCCAAAGCGCTGTCACGGGGGCAGGGATTACGGGTGGTTTCTTTATTGTTACACTTTTTAGTGTGGACAATATTGCAACAATAAACAAGCGTGGTCTTCTCAGGAAAAAAAAAAAAGGGATGTGGTGGGTGAGCAGGGATGGGGGTTGGGGGTTGATGCCTTCAGACCTGGCATCATCTATTGATTCATTTCTAAAGACTCCAGGGGAATGAGTTGCATCACAGAACCGGTTATGGGATGCATGGGATGCCTTTTACAGAAGTGGATTCTTAGGTCAAATCCAAGGGTCATCCTAAAAGAGTCCCCAAGTCTATGTGCTCTTCCAGATGCCCAAACCTCCTGGCATGGGGCAGCTGATGGAACAAGGCTCTCAGGGTTTTTTGTTTTTGTTTTTGTTTTTTGTTTTTTGTTTTGAGGCAAAGTCTCTGTTGCCCAGGCTGGAGTGCAGTGGCGCAATCTCAGCTCTCTGCTCTGCCTTCGGGGTTCAAGCAATTCTCCTGCCACAACCTCCTGAGTAGCTGGGATTATGGATTACAAGCGTGCACCACCATGCCGGCTAATTTTTGTATTTTCGGTAGAGATGTGTTTTCGCCATGTTGGCCAGGCTGGTCTCAAACTCCTGGCCTCAAGTGATCTGCCCACCTCAGCATCCCAAAGTGCTGGGATTACAGGCGTGAGCCACCGTGCCCAGCCAATGCGCTCAGTTGAAATGCACTCTGTCCCACTCTCTAGCTGAGTCTCCTTGGACAAGTCCATTCATTCTGCACTTTGGCGTATGGAACACAGACCTCTCTATGCCAGCCTTTGTGTCATGTGCTGCTGATACGCTGTGAGCACAGCAACACAATTCTCGCCTCACGGGCTTATATTCTGGGGCAGAAGTTCTCCATCATGGCAATGGTGCTCCCATGAGATGCTGGCAATGTCTGGAGACATATTTGGCTGCTCCAATTCAGGATGGGGGTCTTCCTGGCTTCCAGTGGGTAGAGGCCAGGGATGTGGCTAAACATCTTACAATTCCCTGGACAGCACCCACTGCAAAGAATGACCCAGCCCCAGATGGCGATGGTGCCCAGATTGAGGAGCCCTGCTCCACGGGTGTGACTCCTGTTCTAGAGGGTCTGCTTTCTGTGTGTACCTCAAGGACTCCCAGGCCTAGTTTTCTTCGCTATATTACGGGGCCGATAACACCTATTTTTGCAGGATATTGTGGATGTTGAGAGGAAGAAATGGAAATGTATTGTGCCTGTTCAGTAAGCCCATGTTCAGTAAGGGACAGCATTTGCAGAAGTCATCTGGCCCAACAACCACCCACTGCCTTCCTATTTTTATTTTTATTTTTGTGAGACAGTGTCTTGCTCTGTTGCCCAGGCTGGAGTACAATAGCACAATCTCAACTCACTGCAATCTCCACCTCCTGGGCTCAAGTGATTCTCATGCCTCAGCCTCCTGAGTAGCTGGGACCACAGGCATGCGCCACCACACCCGGCTAATTTTTGTATTTTTAGTAGAGATGGGGTTTCGCCATGTTGCTCAGGCTGGTCTTGAACTCCTGGCCTCAAGTGATCTGCCTCCCTCAGCTTCCCAAAGTGCTGAGACTACAGGTGGGAGCCACCGTGCCTGGCCTCACCCATTGCCTTCCTAGGAAGCATTTGAAGATAGAGAAAAGAGAAATGTCCCCAGATGCTTTTCACCAGGGCATCCCAAGACCCTTTCCTTTTTGGCCCTTGTCCATGCACAGGAGGGAATTATTATGTAAAGAGGCCTCTGGGCTCCCTGTGAAAATCTGCCCCTTTCCTAAACTCAGGACAAGAGGATGCATTTTACCTTCATAAAGAAATTCCGGCTGGCAGTAGACTTGGCCATCTTCTTCCTTCAGGGCCGTGGCTGTTGTAGATGCCACTTTGATTAAATTTGTGCCCACTTCTGCATTCTGAAAAAATTCAGTTTTCAAAAAGTAAAATAAAAACGTGTAATCCAGAGCAAACATTTGCTTTAGTGTATATATTTTTTAAAATGCTTGAATACATGTCATCTTGGCTTAGCCTCACATTAATCATAGGAAGCAGCTCGTTTCCTGTTGTTATCCTTAGTCTCAGTTTAAAAAATGAGGATTGGCCATTTAAGGTGACTCCTCCAAGGTCACATACCTGGTAGGTGATAGGACTCTTTTCTCTTACTCTGAGCCTGCCTTATCCCTCACAGGGAAAATTAATGTGCTTCTGAGAGTAAGTTCTCACTTTTAAAGTACTAGATGATTCACCTATAAAAAGCTGCATCAGTCGTTAAAAGGATGCTTCTAAAGAGTTTACAACAACATGGGAAATGCTTATCACATAACACTGAGTAAAAGCAGCAACAGGACAAATTGCGTATGCAGTCTGAGCTCAACCACATTAAAAAAGTTACACGGAGAAGAGACAGAGAAATATACTAAATGTGTGTGTGTGTGTGTGTGTGTGTGTCTGTGTGTGTGTGTAATTTTTTTTTTTTTTTTTTTTTTTTTTTTTTTTTTTTTTTGAGATGGAGTCTCACTCTGTTGCCCAGACTGGAGTCCGGAGTGCAGTGGTGTGATCTTGGCTTACCGCAACCTCTGCCTCCCAGGTTCAATCGATTCTCCTGCCTCAGCCTCCAGAGTAGCTGGGATTACAGGTTCATTCCACCATGCCTGGCTAATTTTTATATTTTTAGTGGAGATGGGGTTTCATCATGTTGGCCAGGGTGGTCTTGAACTCCTGACCTCAAGTGATCCACCCGCCTCGGCCTCCCAAAGTGCTGGGATTACAGGCGTGAGCCACCACGCCCAGCCAGAAATATACTAAATATTAAAAATACAACAGATGATGGGATTGGGGGGACTTTAATTTCTTTTTTGTATGCCTCTCTGTATTTTCAGTATTTTCTTCTAGGAAAAGTTATCACTGCAGAAATGAAAACAAACATGCAATAAAAATTATTTGGTGGCAAAACAGCCTTCAAGGACATTTCTTGGTCTCAATTTACAGTCAGATTTTGCTGTGTTCAGTATCTTACTGTCATCAGTATAAGCAAGGGGAGGGATTTAGCATGATTAAATATTTATTGAGCATCTACTACTCCCTGTTTCCCTCATGTACTAACCGTGGGGCCTTGAGCAAGTCAGTTGGCCTCTCTATAGTTCCGTTTCCTTATGTGTATATTAATAGCATATGCATCTTTGAGTTATTGTGCAGACTGAATGACATCATCTGCACAAATGATTCACAAGAATGCCTGCTTCACAATAAGTGCTAGATGAATGTCAGCTGCTTCTATTGATGACGTTGTTATATTATTATTACTATTATTACCATACTACTACTACTATCACTTATTATTATTATATTGCTGCCACCACTACTGGAGGTGACTACGGGTTAGGCTCTGGAAGATATTGAGGAACAAGAGGATGGAACATTATTGTTATGGCTGACTTCTCATTTAAACTTTTCTCTACTTTCTACATTTTCTAAGATAGCTTCTATTTTATTTTGGGACAGGGTCTTGCTCTGTCGCCCAGGCTGGAGTACAGTAGTGTGATGACAGCTCACTGTAGCCTTAAACTCCCAGGCTCAAGTGATCCTTCCACCTCAGCCTCCTGAGTAGCTGGGGGACTACGGGCATGCGTCACCATCCTTGGTTAATTTTTGTATTTTTTGTAGAGACAGGGTCTCACTATGTTGCCCAGCTTGGTCTCGAACTCCTGGGCTCAAGTGATCCTCCTCTCTTGACCTCCCAAAGTGCTGGGATTACAAGCATGAGCCAGTACACCTGGCTCAAAATGGCTTTTATAATTAAAACCAACCTATTTTAGGGATAGCAGCATTTTTGTTGGAGAGCATGAAAAGTTTACTGCAACTTAGCAGCTGAACCGCAAGGGTCCTCGGAAATTTGTTTAATTCAGTCTCGATTTGTAGAAGTAACTGAGGCCTAGAGAAGGAAAGGGACTGGTCCAAAGTCACATGGAGAGAAGCAGACCCTGTGCCTGGGGCCTTTGCATTGATTCTTTGGCCCAGAAGCAAGAGCATTGCTGGTAGAGGGTGAAGGCAGTGCAAAGGCCCTGAGGCTGGTTCTTCCCCAAACCCTGAGGTCTCAGAAGAAACACCCCTTCCCTAACAACTCCATTGGAATCTGCAGTGTCTCCAAGGCACTGGCCCTGAGCTGTAATTATCTCCTTTATGAAGCTCTTTTCCTTATTTTAGCTTGTCTGCCGCATGAAGCCAGGGACCAGATTTTGCTCAGTGCCTGGCACCTAGTGCCCAGGAAGTAATCGCTGAATTAATGAGTGAATGCACAACTCAATAAGCTTTTCTTTGGGCTGTCAAGGGGCAAGACTTGTTTTGCACGGTGGCTGTAAGAATCAAATGAGAGGAAATGCAGAGACAAAGGAGCCCAGCACCTGGCACATCGGTGGCTTCTTAGAAACATTTAGCTGAGTGCGGGGGCTCATGCCTGTAATCCCAGCACTTTGGGAGGCCGAGGTGGGTGGATCATCTGAGGTCAGGAGTTCGAGACCAGCCTGGCTAACATGGTGAAACCCCATCTCTACTCAAAATGTAAAAATTAGCCCTGCGTGGTAGCACATGCCTGTAGTCCCAGCTGCTCAGGAGACTGAGGCAGGAGAATCGCTTGAACCTGGGAGGCGGAGGTTGCAATGAGCCGAGATCGCGTCACTGCACTCCAGCCTGGGCGACAGAGCGAGACTCTGTCTCAAAAAAAAATAAAATAAAATAAACAGAAACTTTCAATGCCTCCACCTCCATGGCTCTGCAAGCTGGTGGGAGGCCCTTCCTGGTACCTTGCTAAGCATGTGACAGCAAGAGACCTCTGGGCACATTCCAGCCTTGATTCTTAGGGAGTTGGTCTGCACAGACATCTTATAACTCCAGCCCCAAACTGGTCGGACTGGTTGAGGAATAAACTGTGAATTTTTCCACACACAGCAATAACAAACATGACTTGGCTGCTTTCAGTGGCCAGCATGCTCAGTTTTAGGAAGACATCACTTTCCAGCCAGAATCCAGCACCATCTTGCAAGCTTACATTGAAATCCCGACACTTAAGGGAACTCTCATAAGAAGCAGTCATCACTGTCATCCCCTAGAATGCTGCCTGCCATATGAAATTCAACGCTGTGGTTTTCCATGCAGATTCGAGCAGACCTCTTTTTCTCAGAGCTAGTTTCCTCCACTGTGTAAAATCGGGGTGGTGATTCATAACTTTTAGTGTGGTGCTGGGTATAAGTGAGGCGGTTTCCACCTGCATCTGAGCATTATGTTAGGATTAAATTAAATAATGGTTGAGAAAAATAGGCTGGTCCAGGGCCACACACATCGTGCAGGCAGACAGGCGTACATTCCAGTTCCAGCTCAAGTCCTGGGGATGATTCTAAAAAGTTGGGCAAGTTACTTTCTCATCTGTAGACGTGGGGGATCATAAATAACTTAGAACATTGTGATGAAGATTAGCAAAGCACTTCACAGCCCCTAAAATTCACAGGAGCCAGGAGGAGAGTACAAGTGGAGGCCCACCAACCTTCTGTCTAAATACACCAAGCAAATTAAGTCCAACACCATCTCTCTCCCTGCCTTGACACGCAGCCCTTCATGATGGCGTGGAACAGGCTGTCCCAAACGGCAATCGCTAGCCATATGTTGCGATTTAAATTTAATTTTATTTTATTTTACTTTTTTTTTTTTTTTTTTTGAGACCGAGTCTCACTCTGTCATCCAGGCGGAATACGGTGGCACGATCTCAGCTCACTGCAACCTCCGCCTCCCGGGTTCGAGCAGTTCCCCTGCCTCAGCTTCCTGAGTAGCTGAGGTTACAGGCATGAGCCACCATGCCTGGCTAAGTTTTGTATTTTTAGTAGAGATGGGGTTTCATCATGTTGGCCAAGCTGGTCTTGAACTCCTGACCTCAAGTGATCTGCCTGGCTTGGCCTCCCAAAGTGCTGGGTTTACACGCGTGAGCCACCATGCCTGGCCTTAAATTTAATTTTAAAATAAGCTTAAGTAAAATTAAAAATTCAATTCCTTAGCTGCACCAGCCACATTTCAAGTGTACAATAACAACTCGTAGTTAGTAGCTACTGTGTTGGACAGACAGAATGTTCCAGCAATGCACTGTGCTGGTCTGAAAGGATGACTGTGAATTGAGAACCCCAGGACTCCTTAGAGTTCTGAGCTGGAATAAGGCAGTCTCTGGCCCTTGGCTCCTTCCTGCCTCATCCCAGGCTCCATCCCTCACTGCGTGGATGCCCTAGCCAGCACAACCAAGGCAACAGCCAGCCCTGGCCACCTCATGGGCCTGTGGCAGGAACAGCAGAGTGGCAGTCTGCCCTTAGGAAGACGGGTATTGGAAGCAAGGCTGGGCCCTTCAGGAGCTTCTGGGATCCCAGGTGTCCAGCACATGGTTGGGGTGGGGGTGGAAGCACCCCTCTGGGTAGTCAGAATGCCTTGGCCCTGTGAACTCACCCTGTGGAGTACGGGTCCTGCTAGAGAAAGAAAGCCTGGACCACAGTCCTCCAAAGTGCCAAACCCAGAGCAGGGGCCCCTCTTGCCAGGGTCTAAGAGCAGAAAAGGCATTGAACACAGAGCCTGGCACCTAGCGGGTCCTCCATGAATGGTGCTTCTCTTACTGGAGTGTCTGCATTTGTGCATTTGGAGACAGAAACCAAACCCACTGATCCAGTCATCAAAGCCATCCCTTCCAGGTCCACAGTGCTTCCTCCTGTGAATGCCCCTTAGGCGTGGGTGCACACGAACCTCGGGCCTCACACAGCGCCCTGCAGCACCAGGGCAGGGCCAAGGTCCAGATGACCCACCCCTGCCCACACCCCTCCCAGCCACACCCCGCCACTGCTAAGCCCTGCCTCAGGCACCCCCACACCGCCCTGCGTAAACAGGCCCACGGTGCCCAGAGGCCCTGCCAGCCCTGCCTTCCTTTGACCCCAGCTGGTCCCAAAGCAAGAGAATCTGGGACATTCAGGACCTCCTGGCCTTTTAAATAGAATTTGCTATTGCCTGTTCTATGTGGGAAGCACTTTTCACTTGGGACGGGTTCCAAAGGCTGAAGGAAGATGCTGCGCCCTTTTAGAGAACTTGCTTCCCATTTTTCATGTATTCATCATTCATTCATTCATTTCAAATATTTAAGAGCACCCTCTGAGTGCAGCAGATGAACTGCTGATGAGACAGAGTCCCTGTCCTCCCAGAACTTAGGCTTGAACAGGAAGAGGGAAATGAACAAGTTACTTACACTTGAGATAAATGTTGACAAAGAGTTACAAGGCGCCATTAGAGGATACGGACTCAGCTGCGGGGTCATGCTGCTGATCCCTGACCTTGGAGGTTCTCTGCCACGGCTGCACTGCAGAATCACTGGGGGTTTCTGAGACCACACCCGGGCCTGGGCTTCCCCGGTCTGGGCGGAAGCCAAGGCCCGGACATGGGGGTCTCAGGGCTCTCCAGGGGATCCCAATGTGCAGCCAGCCAGGGGGAGCAGGAGTGTCAGCCCAGGAGGACAGGGTTTCAGACAGAGGGGAAAGCAATGTCCTGCAAAGGCCTCAGGCCCAGAGGGCATCTGAGTAAGGGCAGCATCTTCCTGAAGTCGCTTCTCCAGTAAACCTCTGGATGGGGTGGAGCCAAAGCTGCTGGATCAGGGCATGTAAGGCTCTGTCCACCTGCCTGACTTTCTGATTTCACTATGCAGGCGGAGCCATTGAAAGTGCAGTAAGAAGACATATTTAAGGGACAATAAGTAGCAATTAAAAAGCGTGGCTGGAGCTACCCATCCCAGGGCTTGCTTTCCTTTGCTAGTTTCAAAGCAGCAGATGGTTCATATGACAGCTTTCTTTTTTTTTTTTTTTGAGATGGAGTCTCACTCTGTTGCCCATGCTGGAGTGCAGTGGCGGGATCAGGCTGGAGTGCAGTGGTGGGATCTCAGCTCACTGCAGCCTCCACCTCCTGGGTTCAAGCAATTCTCCTGCCTCAGCCTCCTGAGTAGCTAAGATTACAGGCAGGGGCCACCACGCCAAGCTAATTTTTACATTTTTAGCAGAGACAGGGTTTCACCTTGTTGGCCAGGCTGGTGTTGAACTCCTGACCTCAGGTGATCACCTGCCTGGGCCTCCTAAAGTGTTGGGATTACAGGCGTGAGCCACTGTGCCTGAACACCTGATGGCTTTTAAAGATACACAAGCTAGGGGGCTGGGCGCAGTGGCTCACGCCTGTAATCCCAGCACTTTGGAAGGCTGAGGCAGGCGGATCACGAGGTCAGAAGATCGAGACCATCCTGGCTAATACGGTGAAACCCCGTCTCTACCAAAAATACAAAACAATAAGCCAGGTGTAGTGGCGGGCGCCTGTAGTCCCAGCCACTAGGGAGGCTGAGGCAGCAGAATGGCGTGAACCCGGGAGGCGGAGCTTGCAGTGAGCCGAGATCACGCCACTGCACTCCAGCCTGGGCGACAGAGCGAGACTCTGTCTCAAAAAAAAAAAAAAAAAAAAAAAGATACACAAGCTAACATTCTTAGCTTGGTTCCAAGGCAGCAAAGCATTCTCGAGCATGACAAAAGGTTATAAAATCTTGTAAGGTGTGGCAGTGGGAGGGAGTATGTTCCTCTCTGTGTACTATCCCTAGGCTGAGGTCAGCCTTGAGACTTACTACCTTTGTGCCTTGTTACTCCTCAGTACTTCCTGGAACCAGGAGAAAGTCTGAGGGGCTGCACTGCGGTGCTTCTGGAGCAAGGGGTGCAGGCGCCCAGGGCTCATGTGCTGATTTCATGGGACGTGGCTGTTCATCCAATAGCCCTGAGTCACATAGGGGAGAAAATCAATGCCTTTTTCTCTTCCAGTTGTTCTGACTAGGTCAAGGAGAGTCTCAGTGCGGTGCCACGATGTCTTTAATGCCTAATACTTTTAAAACTTGGCTTTTTCACAGAGAGATCAGGTCTTGGTAAGCCACAGCCCTCTGGCTGGAGCTCAAGACCTCTGCTTTATTTCCACTATTTTATTCTCATGCTTGTCTTCTCTGTGCAGCAAGCATTGCCAGCTTTCTACTGGGTAGTGATGTGTTTCCTTTCAAATGAGCTAAGTAGAGAGTGAATTGATTGAAATGAAAAAAAAAAAAGGATTTTTAAATGTTAAGTAGAGGTGATATAAAATATGACAAAAACCATGGCAGAGACACACAAATGGCCATGGGTGGGAAAATGCTGGAGAGATGGGAGAGGACCCCAGCTCTGGAGTCAGACAAACCTCAGTTCAAACGCCAGCTCCCCTGCCCGCTGGCTGGGAGGGTGGCTGAATTCCTGCACTGAGAAACTGGGCGGTAAGGGTGGGAAAAGGCTCCCTGGACACTGTAGGACCGTCTGCCAGGCCTGCAGAGTGCCAAGTGTGGCCCATCTGAGGCTCTTTCCTAGGACTTAGGGCTACTGGGGAGAATAGCAGAGTTCCTCCTCCTTCGTAGTTACAAACAGGGGTTTAGGGCCGGCCACGGTGGCTCATGCCTGTAATCTCAGCACTTTGGAAGGCCGAGGTGGGTGGATAACTTGAGGTCAGGAGTTCAAGACCAGCCTGGCCAACATGGTGAAACCCCATCTCTACTAAAAATACAAACAAACAAACAAAAAATGAGCTGTGTGTGCTGGCACATGCCTGTAATCCCAGCTTCTTGGGAAACTGAGACAGGAGAATCGCTAGAACCCAGGAGGCGGAGATTGCAGTGAGCCGAGATTAAACCACTGCACTCCAGCCTGGGTGACACAACAAGACTCCATCCCCCACAAAAAGAAAAAAAAAATGGGGGTTTAGAGACAGACTGGGGCAGGTTCCAGTCTTGGCTCTGCCACTCTGGGCTGTGACCTTGCCCACATTTCTTAACTTCTCTGAGCCTCAGTTTGTTCATCTGTAAAATGAGGCTTCTACAGGGACGTTTCCCACAGGTTGTTTTGATCATTAAGTGAGGTAAGAAAAACAAAATGCTTAGCAAAGTACCTGGCACATAACTTGCATTTAGTCAATGTAAGCCATCAACATTTAATTGAATTGAATTTGGTTTCACTTAAATTAATTAAGTCATGAAGTCAGTGAGTTCTGGAGCCAGAAGCCTTTGTAAGTCTCTGTAAGTAAAGCCCAGAGCCTGGGCCACATCACCCTAATTGGGGATAATGTCTGGCCTGGTGGTCATTCTTAGTGCAAGAACGGAACTTCCAACATCAGAGAATTGTGTAAGCAAATGGTGATGAATCCCTGCCATGAACGATTAGGCAAATGTTTAAAGTGATGTTTCAAAGAATATTTAATGTCATGGAGAGATGTTTCGATACATAAATAGGTAGAAAAGCAGTCTGGGCCGGGCGCGGTGGCTCACGCCTGTAATCCCAGCACTTTGGGAGGCCAAGGCGGGCGGATCATGAGGTCAGGAGGTTGAGACCATCCTGGCTAACACGGTGAAACCCTGTCTCTACTAAAAAATACAAAAAAAAAATTAGCCAGGCGTGGTGGCAGGTGTCTGTAGTCCCAGCTACTTGGGAGGCTGAGGAAGGAGAATGGCTTGAACCTGGGAGGCGGAGCTTGCAGTGAGCTGAGACTGCGCCACTGCACTCCAGCCTGGGCCACAGAGCGAGACTCCTTCTCAAAAAAAAAAAAAAAAAAGAAAGAAAAGAAAAGCAGTCTGTAAGATAGTATGTACCTATTAATCCATAAAAAGAAATGAAGTACTGGCCGGGCACTGTGGCTCACACCTGAAACCCCAGCACTTTGGGAGACGTAGGGGGGCAGATTGCCTGAGTTCAGGAGTTCAAGACCGGCCTGGGCAACATGGCGAAACTTCACCTCTACTAAAAATACAAAAACTTAGGCATGGTGGTGGGCACCTGTAATCCCAGCTACTCAGGAGGCTGAGGCACAAGAATTGCTTGAACCTCAGAGGCAGAGGTTGCAATGAGCCGAGATTACACCACTGCACTCCAGCCTGGGCGGCAGAGCGAGACTGTCTCAAAACAAACAAACAAGCAAAAACCAACAACAACAACAAAAAGAAATGAAGCACTTATACGGACTACAACACAGATGAGCCTTGACAACACTGTGCTGTGTGAAAGGAGCCGGACACAAAAGATCACGTATTGTAAGACTCCATTTATACGTGATGTCTAGAAAGGGCAAGTCTGCAGAGACAGAGAGCAGATGACAGGTTGCCTGGGGCAGGGAGGGGAAGACTAGGAGGTGATGGCTAAGGGGTGTGGGGTGTGTTTTGGAGGTGATGAAAATGTTCTAAAATTTATCGTGGTGGTGGATGCACAACTGTGAAAACATACCAAAGGCTGTCAAACACTTTAAATGGGCAAATTAGGCCAGGCATGGTGGCTCACGCCTGTAATCTCAGCTCTTTGGGAGGCCAAGGTGGGTGGATCACCTGAGGTCAGGAGTTCGAGAACAGCCTGAGCAACATGGTGAAACCCCGTCTTTTCTAAAAATACAAAAATTAGCTGGGCGTGGTGGCAGGCGCCTGTAATCCCAGGTACTTGAGAGGCCGAGGCAGGAGAACCGCTTGAATCCAGGAGGCAGAGGTTGCAGTGAGCTTAGATCATGGCACTGCACTCCAGCCTGGGTGACAGAGCAAGACTCTGTCTCAAAAAAAATAAAAAAAAAAATAAATAAAAGGGCAAATTGTATGCTGTGTCAATTACATCTCAATAAAGCTGTTAAAAATTATGTAAGACAGCCAGGTGCAGTGGCTCACGCCTGTAATCCCAGCACTTTGGGAGGCCGAGGCGGGTGGATCACGAGGTCGGGAGATCCAGACCATCCTGGCTAACACGGTGAAACCCCGTCTCTACTAAAAATACAAAAAATTCTCTGGGCATGGTGGCGGGCACCTGTAGTCCCAGCTACTCCAGAGGCTGAGGCAGGAGAATGGCGTGAGCCTGGGAGGTGGAGCTTGCAGCGAGCAGAGATCGCAACACTGCACTCCAGCCTGGGTGACAGAGCGAGACTACGTCTCAAAAAAAAAAAAATTATGTACAATATGATTAAAATGAAGATTCACACACACACACACACACACACACACAGACACAGAGAGAGAGACTGGGAGACAAACATATATATCCACAGTGATCATCTTCGGTGGTAGGTTTATAGGGATTTTTTTCTCCTTTTTACTTATCTATATTTTCTAAAGTTTTTATTATGAATCGGTACTACTTTGGGAAAAACAATGAAAACTTTTTTTTTTTTCAAGAACAGTTCATTTGGATTTCAATGTCAATCAAATAAGGGCCAAAGTAACTTCCCACCTGGGCCGATATCTCTCTAGAAAGAAAAGGGACCTCCTTGGAAGCCATTACCTTGTCCACGTGGAGGGGCACGGCAAACCTCCTGAGGGTGGGGACCGAGGTGAGCCTGGAGTTCTCCTTGAAGTCCTGGTTCAGGTTGGCCAGGTAGAAGAGCTGGTAGAGGCTGTTGTCCTCGTAGGCAATGACGTCAAACACGATGCAGCCGTCCTCTTCGTAGGCGTTGACGTGATGGAAGACCACCATGGCGTCTGTGTAAAACTTGGTCTGCACAGGCTGCCTGGTCCTTTGGTCGATGATGTGGATATAAGTCTGAAAAAGGACACATATCAAGGGCTCAGCTCACCCTCTCTCAGCCTGGCACTGTGGCATCTGGGGGCTGAACAAAACCCAGCCCCGCCAGGAGCTAGGCTCAGGACTATGTCCCCATTCTGCATTCTGTGTGTGCTCCACAACACCAGACAGGCAAAAGTGCCCCCCAAAATGAGAGCTGTTTATTGTACTTCCATAAGTATATCTTTCAGATGGAGAGGAGGGATGCTTTGCTGCCAGAGTCTTTGCAGTCACTAGGAGGACAGTGTTTGGAGAGACGCTCCAGTGTGCACGGTCCCCTTGTTCCATTGTCCTGACATCCCAGCTCCCTGGCAATGACCAAGTTGGGGAGAATCTGCCAGGTGCCAGGCTCCATCTAAGACTGGAGCCTTGGCAGGGCACAGTGGCTCATGCTGTAATCCCAGCACTTTGGGAGGCCGGGCAGGTGGATCACTTGAGGTCAGGAGTTCAAGACTAGCCTGGCCAACATGGCAAAACCCCATCTCTACTAAAAATACAAAAAATTAGCCAGGCATGGTGGCACTTGCCTGTAATCCCAACTACTCAGGAGGTGGAGGCAGGAGAATCGCTTGAACCCAGGAGGTGGAGGGTGCAGTGAGCCAAGAATGTGCCATTGCATTCCAGCCTAGGCGACAAGCATGGAACTCCATCTCAAAAAATAAATAAATAAATAAATTCACTAGGCATTGTGGCGTGTGCCTATAATCCCAACTACTCAGGAGGCTGAGAGAGGAGAATAGCTTGATACGTAGGCGGAGGTTACAGTGAACTGATATCGCACCACTGCGCTCCAGCCTGGGTGACAGAGTGAGACTCTATCTGAAAAAAAAAAAAAAGAAAAACTAAAAGTGCACGTGAAGGCAGAGATGGTGGAGTAACACAGTGTCAGTGGGTAGCAGTGGCTCCCTTCAGACGTGGGGGTGGATGGGAGGCAGGAGGGGGGAAGTGAGTTGGGGAGGATTTTATACATGGCTTTCTATACTTGTATATTCTTTGAATAGGTAACACTGAGAACTACTGGATATTTTACAAAAGTGAAGTGACAACGCAAAAAAAAAAAAAAAAAAAAAAAGACCAGGTGCAATGGCTCACACATGTAATCCCAGTACTTTGGGAGGGGAAGGGAGGAGGATCACTTGAGTCCAGAGTTTGAGGCTAGCCTGGGCAACATAGCAAGACCCCAATCTCTACAAAACAACAAAAAATTAGCCAGGCATAGAGACATGTGCCTCTGGTTCCAGCTACTTGGGAGGATCACTTGAGCCTGGGAGGTTGAGGGTGCACTGAGCTGTGATTGTACCAGTGCACTCCAGCCTGGGTGACAGAGCAACACTCTGTCTCAAAAACAACCCCCCCACAATAAAAACCCAACAAGTAAATAAACACTAGTAATACATACATACACCCATGCACACGTACATGTATTCATACACATATGCACATACATGCACATATACATGTACACATATACATGCATATGTGCATATACAAGCATGCAATACGTGCATACATACTTTGAGCACTCAGGTGTACCTGAATGGAAGGAGAGGTTTCTATTGAACTGTCTGGTGGAACATACTGTCATTACAATGTCTAAACCTCTGGCCGCTACCGCCCCAACGCTACACACTGGTAGCAGACATGGTTAAGGGGTCTTGTCAACAGGGCGGAGGTGGGGAGGAGCCCAGCTCTCCATAAGGACTGAGGACTCACTCCTTTTGCTGCTGGGCATATGGGGACTGCCAGGGCTTCCATGTTTGCCCAAGATGGCACCCCCTTGCCTGGACAGCCTCATCCAATAACTCATCACCGTGGGGGTACAAAGGCCTGGGGGCCATTCTGAAGGACCATCCAGCTTCAGAACTTGCTGGAAGGTGGGTAGATGCCTCTGGTAGCCTCCTCCCTCTTCCATGCCACTTCCTTGCCTTAAACTTCACCCTCCTGCACACCAGCCTCCCTCCATGGTCAGCCAGCACCCACTGGGCTAGAGTCCAGCCAGACCTCACCTTCTCCTCCCTGTGGAAAGCCAGGCAGGAGGCCCAGCTCATTCTCCGGATGTATGCGGTTGCCATCTTGAGAATATCCAACCTGAAAGGCTGCTCAAGGAAGATGACATAGTTCTCGGTGACTCCAAAGCTGTGGTAGTAGCTTGGGGAGAGCAGGGAGCGGGATGGGATGGAGCAGAACACCTCTGTGTGCTTCCAGGGGCTCTTCCCCTGCTTCTTGCCCTCTAGCAAGACAAAAAGCAAGCCTCAGGAATTGTGCAGGATCTGGCTGCCCCCCCAAGACCACACCACCATCACCTACAAACTGACTTGATTGCTGAAAAAAACCTTTACATTAAACAGCAACGTGTAGACAGACAACAAGGTTGCTGCAGCTGCTGCAGGGGGCCAGGCTGAGACCTTCCACTCAGCACCCACCCCATATACAATCTGAAAACCACTGAACCAAGAGGGAGCCCTCCAGGTAAGGGGTCTTCACCTATAGCCTGGGGGCTAAATCCTGCCTCCACCGGTTTGTCTGAGATAGAGTCTCCCTCTGCTGCCCAGACTGGAATGTAGGGGCACGATCTCAGCCCACTTCAATCTCCGCCTCCCAGGTTCAAGCAATTCTCCTGCCTCAGCCTCCCGAGTAGCTGGTACAATAGGCTCACGCCACCATGCTTGGCTAATTTTTGCATTTTTAGTAGAGATGGGGTTTTGCCATGTTGGCCAGGCTGTTCTCGAACTCCTGACCTCAGGTGATCTGCCCGCCTCGGCCTCCCAAAGTGCTGGGATTACAGGTGTGAGCCACTGCGCCCGGCCATAATTAGGGGTTTTATATAAATGCAGATAGTCAAGCGGGGCTGTAGAATGGCCATTTTATAGATGGGAAACTGAGGCTTAGTGGAATGGGCTATCATTATGGTCAGAGTCATAGGGTTAAGCCAAGAAAACACAGCCCCCTTCGCCTTCCTCCTCTTTTATCAGGGATTACGACTCTCATACAGTGAAGGTAGAGAACAGAATGAAATAAAGCAGTCATCCATGTGCCTCGCCCTGCACCCAAACATGGAAGGTGCTCAATACGTGTTCAGTTTTCTTATTCCTCTGCAAGCATGAGTCACTCGCTGGTCAAAAGGCCTCCCCACCCAGGCCTACGGCTGGCTTATAATGAGTTATCTGCAAACTTCCCCACCTCTCTTGTGGCCACCTGTGCACCCTGTAAACAGCTGGCTGGTGGGAGGGATGCTGTGGGGTTGTGGGATAGTTATCGTCTTTATAAAACAAATGGAACACAATGCAAACTGAAACGAAAAGCACTGTGGCCTGGGAGGAGCAGGATGGGGCATGAGTCGCAGTGCCACCGCCAGCATGGAGCAGGTGCTCAGAGGATCTCTGCTTGCAGGATGTCAGTGGCTCCTGGGAGCTGTGTGACTGGGGTGTGTCATCTGATCCCCTGAGCCTCACAGTCCTCCTCTGTAATACAAGGTGGCAAACTCAAATGCCTAGACAATCCCCAGGTATGGCATTCTAGGATTCTGAGCTTGACCCCTATATCCCTTTACTGGCTTAATTAATGAGAGTTCTATTTAGCAAGTACACTCCGTGTACCTTCTGACCTCGAAGGCTCATATCTCCAGGCAGTGCCTGGTAGTTTGCTCAGGGGGCTCTACAAGACAGTGGGGGATGGGGGAGCAGCAAGGATCACAGGCAGAAACTAGTTTTTTTTAAACTAGAAGGTCAGAGGAAGCACCGTTGTAGTTCTGCACTGTCTCCTGAGTCCTGTCAGCTGTCCTCACAGGCCTAGGTCTCCTGGGTGTGGTTCCCAGGAGGGTCCTGGACAAACATGGGCTAAGAGCCTCCGCCTCCTCCCCCTCAGGATCATGCAATCACAGTCAGCCTGGGCTTTGCTCCAAGATCCCAGCCCCACATGGAGAAGGTCCAGAAGGCCTGGAGAACAGGGCAGGGATCTGGAGTGGATCCCAGCAGGACTGAGCTCCCTAAACAGCCCTGGAAACTTGGCTGCAGGGGCTAGGAATGAAAGTAGGTGGCATAACCTTGTCATAGAAAGTTTTGTCAGGAGACTGAAAAACTGAATGGATGGAAGGATGAATCGATAGGTGGGTGGGTGGGTGCATGCATGAATCGGTGGATAGTAGACAGATGGATGGTGGGTGGATGGATAGATGGTGGATGGAAGGATGGTGAGTGAATAGATGGGTGGTAGATGCACATGGTAGATGGATGTTGGGTGGGTGGATGGATGGATGGTAGATGGATAGATGGATGAATGGTGGGTGTATAGATGGTGGGTAGATGGATGAATGATGGATGGATGGGCAGGTGGGTGGCTCAATGGATGGATGGTGGATAAGTGGATGAGTGGATGGATGGCAGAACATGTAGATGGATGAATGGATTCATGGTGGGTGGGTGGATGGGTAGGTAGATGGATGGTGGATGGATGGTGGGTGGACGGATGGATGGGTAGATGGTGTGTGGGTGGATGGATGAATGGATGGATGGTGGATGGGTGGGTGGATGGATGGATGAATGATGGATGGATGGGTGGGTGGGAAGCTCAATGGATGGATGGATGGTGGGTAAGTGAATGGGTTGATGGATGGGAGAATGGGTAGATGGATAAATGGATTCATGATGGGTGGGCGGGTGGGTGGGTAGATAGATGGTGGATGGGTGGTGGGTGGATGGATGAATGGATGGATGGTGGATGGGTGGATGGATGGGAGAATGGGTAGATGGTTGAATGGATTCATGGTGGGTGGATGGGTGGATGGGTGGGTAGATGGATAGTGGGTAGATGGATGGATGGAGGGATGGTGTGTGGGTGGATGGGTAGGTGGGTGAATGGATGAATGGATGGATGGTGAGTGGCTGGCTAGATAAGGGGTGGATAGGTGGATGGGTGGACGGATGGTGGATGGGTGATGGATAGGTGGATGAATGGTGGGTAGGTGGGTGGATGGATAGTGAGTAGCTGAATGAATGGTGGATAGATGGACGGTGAGTAGATGCATGAATGGATGGATGGTAGATGAAGGAATGGTTGGATGGTAAATAGATGATGGATGGATGGATGGTAGATGGGTAGATAAATTAATAAAATAATAAACTGGAGCCTAAATAAAAGGAAATTAGAATAGTAAAGGGATTTCTTTCTTCCAAGAGGAATCCCAGCATCTCCTCTTCTCTTCTAAAGGAAAGTACTGACTTCATGGTCCACCTCAATAATCTACGGGAGAAAGTACCACACTGGATCTTGTGTCATCAACGAAAAACAGAACTCTTCAGAAGAAGCCACACTTGGTTGTTTGTGTTTTATTCAATTCCCCAGAGTGGCCTACCTGGTACTGTGGCAGGGATCTTAAAAATCACATACTTTGTCTTCCCCTTTTCCACAATGGATGTGCCCATGTTTAGAACATTTCCAGCCTCATCATAATGGGGATGTGACGTTGCCAGATTTACCGCCACGTATTTACGATAATCAACCTGCAAGATATGACACCTCCTGTTTTTTAAAGTATTTACGATAATCAACCTGCAAGATATGACATCATCTGGTTTTTCAAAGGAGAAAGGTTGAAGTCCTATGAAAACGTGACTGATTCTAGGTTCAGAGAGATGAGGGATATTTTTGCACTCTGTTGATCTGAAAACGATACAGAATTTGCTTTTAAAGAAGACTTTCACTCTTGTGACCTTATACAACCTCACATGGGGATTTGAGGGACTCAGACAGCTAATAGGTTGCAGGGGAGTTAGGGAGCTGGTGTGCTTCTGTGGCTATCGTTCCAATCCTGTTGCCTGACCTTGCTGGAATCCTCAACATGGAAACAAGATTCCTCACTGCAGAAAGCTCTGAGCAATGACCTGGGCAGAGAGGTAGCCTTCGAGCTAATCTTGGCCACAGTTCTGTCATTCTGGCTTAAATTCTGCCCTTTTGCATTGCACAGAAGCATAAATCTCTAGGCCTCTCTTAGACGATTATTCTGGGAATGGAGAGGTTACAAAAACATTTGGTCAAAGTGAAGTTTGATCAACGAGCTGAATAATGACCCTCACTCTGCAGTCCACAGCTGCAGAATGATGGAGTGGCCGCAGACCAACCGTCTGCGCTTCCTCCCCTAGAAAAACACAACCTCCAGCCCAGAGTCAGATAACTCCTTTCTCTTCCAGCATTTCCTCTCTGTAGCCCTGTGGAAAGCATCATCAGTTGGACCGATGCCGTCTAGCTTAAAAGGAGCTGGACATAATTTCACAGCTAAGAAAAGCCTCATCTCTTTAACAGATCGTTAAAACGTATTGCAGAGACATCGGAATTTTGAACAGCCAGCTGGAGAAAATTGAAAGTGGGTCTATTGATTCCCACCAAAATGTTGACTTGATTCTTCCCAGGAAAGGTATGTGCTTGGGCACTGATTTTTGTGCCCTAGCTTTTTGCCTAATGCCTCCCTCTTCAGGTCAATAGAAGGTAGGATTGCTGAGAATCGCAGGCATTTCAACAGTCATTCATTCAAATTCTCAGTGAACTCCCTCAGTGCCAAGAATTATGAACAGAGTTATGGGTTGAATTGTGTCTTGCAAAAAAGATAGGTTGAAGTCCTCACCTTGGGTACCTGTGAATGTGACCTTACTTGGAAATAAGGTCTTTATAGATGTCATTAAGTTAAGATGAGGTCATACTGCACTGGGGTGGGCCCTAATGCAATGACTTGTGTCTCTATAAAAGGCAGAACATGGTTGGGTGCAATGGCTCACGCCTGTAATCATGAGGGCCAATCATGAGGTCAGGAGATCAAGACCAGCCTGGCTAACACGGTGAAACCCCATCTGTACCAAAAATACAAAAAATTAGTGAAGTGTGGTGGCACGTGCCTGTAGTCCCAGCTACTCAGGAGGCTGAGGCAGAAGAATCGCTTGAACCCAGGAGGCGGAGGTTGCAGTGAGCTGAGATCGCACCACTGCACTCCAGTCTGGGCGACAGAGCAAGACACTTTTTCAAAAAAAAAAAAAAAAAAAAGGCAGAACATTTGGACACATAGCCCCATAAGGAGAGGCAGTGTGAAGACTGAGGCAGAGGCTGGAGGGATGCATCTACAAGCTGAGGAACACCAGGGGTTGCCGGCAACCGCTAGAAGCCAGGAAGGGGCCAGGGAGGACCCTCCTCTAGAGTCTTCAGAGAGAGCATGGCCGGGCTGACACCTTGGTTTCAGACTTTTAACCTCCAGAACTGTGAGAGAGTAAATTTCTGTTTTTTTATTTGTTTGTCTTGTTTTTTTTTTTTTTTTTTTTGTTTTTGTTTGAGACAGAGTCTCACTCTGTCATGCAGGCTGGAGTGCAGTGGTGCAATCTGGGCTCACTGCAACCTCCCCCTCCTGAGTTCAAGCGATTCTCCTGCCTCAGCCTCAGAGTAGCTGGGATTACAGGCACATGCCACCACGCCTGGCTAATTTTTGTATTTTTGGTAGAGATGGGGTTTCACCATGTTGGCCAGGCTGGTCTCAAACTCCTGACCTCAGGTGATCTGCCCACCTTGACCTCCCAAAGTGCTGGAATTACAGGTGTAGGTCACCACACCCAGCCAATTTCTGTTGTTTAAAGCAATCTTTTTTGTAGGACTTGGTTACATCAGCCCCAGGAAACTGATACAGACACGAAGATAAAAACAACACAGTCCCTGCCTAGCATCTAGCAGTAAGTGTGGCGCTAGGGCACGGGATCCAACGGTGTTAGAGGAGGGGCTCCCCTGGTAAGCTGCTTGCAGGCTGAGCAACCTCACCCCGGCCGTCGCCGACTCTCCCTTTCTTGAGTCAGGAAGTGATGCTGGTTACATATGTGTTGATACCTTCTCCAGGGTTTCCAGAGTCTGTGGGTTGATTTTCCTGATGTAATTGGTCTCTGAGGTCGCGTAGAAGTCTTCTCCGCACTTCATGATGTTGATCAGGCAGTTGTCGGTGAAATCGGGGATGGTGTGAGACAAGTAGGAGAAAGCTCTGGGGAGAAAAGCAAATCAACAGAGTCAGTGGCTATGTCCACCCAGCCAGAGAAGTCTATCCTTGATGGCTTTAGTTTTCCTACCACTTAAAAATGCTTTACTTCGGCCGGGTGCCTGTAATCCCAGCACTGTGGGAGGCCGAGGCAGGTGGATCACGAGGTCAGGAGATTGAGACCATCCTGGCCAACACGGTGAAACCCCGTCTGTACTAAAAAATACAAAAAATCAGCCGGGCGTGGTGGCAGGCGCCTGTAGTCCCAGCTACTCGGGAGGCTGAGGCAGGAGAATGGCGTGAACCCGGGAGGCGGAGCTTGCAGTGAACCGAGATGGCGCCACTACACTCCAGCCTGGGCGAAAGAGCGAGACTCTGTCTCAAAGAAAAAAAAAAAATGCTTTACTTCAACTAAGGAAGAAAAAGCAACTGGGTCCCAATGGGTCACCTGAGGAATCCTAAGAACTCAGACACCCCAAAGACACCTCCACGTTGAGTTAGCTAAGAAATGAGTCGGCCGGAATGCCATGGTCACCAGCTGATCCTCCTGGGCTCCCCAAAACCCAAAGGTCTCTAACATCAGAGCCAGCAAGACATACTGTTCCAAAGTATGTCAAGAAGCTCTACGGAAATCGTATATGAACCCGTAACGGCTCCCAAAGCCTAACAACGTAGCTGATATCTGCTTTGCCAGGAATGTGAGTCCACACTGGTTATCTCGAATTTATCCAGGAAATTAGTTTTTAATTTAAAAAGGAAAACAAACTAATTATGAGTTAAGAACACATAGCTCATTTGATCAGAAGGTATACTCAAAGCAAGAAGAAAGAAAAACCAGAGGGGTTTATGGGTGATGAAATTGGCAAATCCTGTATCGGTGTATTGGGGAGTGCTCCTCCTACTGGCAAACACTGGAACAAAAAGGAGGCTTGGTTCCAGGACCTCCAGGTCGTGGTTTCAAATTCGTGATCCTGCTATCTCCCCTACCAGGTAAGTATGGTGGTTTTAAATTCCTTTGCTCTTTCCTCCTCCTTTCTCACTGGCTCCTACTCCACACCTCCTATTTGCAAATGTGAATTCAGTGCTTGCTCTGAGCTAGCCCTAGAGCTGGATACTGGAATGGGAGAGATGACTTCAGTTCTCAAAAAAGCAGAAGCAATCTTCCATCTCTGGGCCAGTCCACCCTTCAACTCTTTCATAACTCTTCTACATCTAGAGAGTTTCAGAAAGAAGATACTGATGGCAGGCCTGATTCCCTGGCCAAGAATTTAACTGTCAGATATGTAACACATTCATATGGATACTAATCCAGATGATTTAAAATGTATACAGTGGCCAGGCGCAGTGGCTCATGCCTGTAATCCTAGCACTTTGGGATGCCAAGGTGGGTGGATCACCTAAGATCAGGAGTTCAAGACCAGCCTGATCAACATGGTGAAACCCCGTCTCTACTGAAAATATAAAAATTAGCCGGGCGTGGTGGTGGGTGCCTGTAATCCCAGCTACTTGGGAGGCTGAGGCAGGAGAATCACTTGAACCTGGGGGGCAGAGGTTGCGGTGAACTGAGATTGCGCCATTGCACTCCAGCTTGGACAAGAAGAGTGAAACTCCATCTTAAATAAATAAATAAATGAATAAAATGAAATGAAATGAAATAAAATATATACAGCAAAAAATCTCTCCCTCTCCTCAACATCCATCTGCCCCTGTGCATCCTTTCCTAGTTTCTTTATGCATGTACAAGCAAAATTTAATTTAGATTTCTTACTGCTTTTTCACACAAAGTACAGCTTATAACATGCTCTTTCTACACCTTCCTTTTTTTTTTTTTTTCCACTTAGTCTATCTTGGAAAAGCTTCTGTAGAGTGCAAAGAGAACATCCTCATTCCTTTTTACTTCTACATGGCATTTTCTCGTACAGTTTTACTGTTACGGATTTAACCAGTCCTCTTTTAATGAACATTTGGGTTGTTTTCAGCTACTTGTTATAACAAATGATGCAGCCATAAATGACAAATACCTGGTGCATGTGTCATTTTCTATGCAAGTAAGCAGATCTCTAGGCTGAAGGGAATACGCATTTATAATTTTGACAGATGATTCCAAATCGCTTTCCCACCAGCCATGTGGGAGGGCTTCTAATAATTTGTCAAATGCTCTTAGTCTCTCTGGCAATCAGTGATCAAGAACTGTGTAGCACCTCTGGTTAAAGGGCAGTCATGTGGAGTTTTCATCTACCCTAAAGAGAATTGTCAGAGGAGCAAATGCTGGTTATTTCAGCCATCAAGGATAGCAAAAAGCATGAAATTTGCTCAGATTTAAAATAGGCAGTTACTTGGAAAATATGTTTTTGCAGGGGTCCGGATAGGCCATTGTTCCAAACTCAGACACCACAATCCTGTTTGCCTCAATATTGGTGTTGTAGGTATCGCTTCTCAGGTATTTGCTCCTGTAATAGACTTCACCTGCAAGAGAAGAACCAGCATAATCTCAGGCTGACGCCTTCACAGGGCTTTAAAATCAATGTCAGTCCTTGTATGGGTTTTACTGGGAGAAGAAGGTGGTTATTTCACTAGGACAAGCTCCTTTAGTACACAGGGCCGATACAATTCGCATTTTAAATATAATTTTATTTATTATTATTATTTTTTTGAGTTTTGCTCTTGTTGCCCAGGCTGGAATATAATGGTGCGATCTCGGCTCACTGCAACCTCCGCCTCCTGGGTTCAAGTGATTCTCCTGACTCAGCCTCCTGAGTGGCTAGGATTATAGGCATGCGCCACCACGACCAGCAAATTTTTGTATTTTTAGTAGAGATGGGGTTTCACCACGTTGGCCAGGCTAGTCTTGAACTCCTGACCTCAGGTGATCCACCCGCCTCAGCCTCCCAAAGTGCTGAAATTACAAGCGTGAGCCACCATGCCCGGCCTGGAATATAATTTTAGACACACATTTTCTCACTCCTGACTCACAACAGTATGGCTGGATAAGTATGTGTTACGGTTTGAATGTTTTGTTCCTTGCAAATCTCATGTTGAAGCCTGTGATGTTGCAGGTGGGCCTAGGAGGAGGTGTCTGGGTGATGGGGGTGGGTCCCTCATGAATGGCTTAGTGTTGTTCTGGTGATGAGTGAGTTCTCACTCTATTAGTTCATGCAACATCTGGTTGTTTAAAAGATCCCTCCCTCCTCTCTCTCTCTCTCTTTCACCATGTGACATGCCTGCTCCCCCTTTGCCTTCTGCCATGAGCCAAAGCTTTTTGAGGCCCTCGCCAGAAACCAAACAGATGCTGGTGGCTTGCTTCCTGTACAGCCTGCAGAACCGTGAGCCAAATAAACCTCTTTTCTTTATAAATTACCCGGTCTTGGGTATTCCTTTATAGCAATGCAAAATGTGATAATGCAAAATATGTCAATGCAAAATATGTCTGTTCTTAGCTCCATTTTCCATAGGAAGGAACTCAGGCTCAGAAACATTCTTTCACCTTGCCCAGGGTCACCCATCTGAGAGTGCTGACCAGAATCAGTCATCCCTTCCACCCTGTTTGTGTCCCTCCAGGGAAGGAGCAGAGCTGGAGGACTAATCTAGAAGGCTGCATATGTGGGGTGGTTTTCCCCAGGGCCCCGTTCAGTCCTGGGAGCGCTGCCTCCAGAAGCCCAGTTGATCACTTCAGTCTCCCTGGAGTAACGTTTGATATTGAACACAACCAGGAGGTGACCTGATGCCCAATCCTGCATAGCAATAGAGGGTCAGACCTGTGTTCAATGTCTAATTCATCCAAATTCTGCAGAGAGTCTAACTCATGGCATAAATCTCTTGACCAGTCCATTGAGACCAACCTCAAAATATACCAGATGGTTCTAGACCCGTGTTAGTTTTCTACGGCTGCTGTAACGACTTACCCCTCACTTAGTGGCTTCACACAACATACAGTCATTATCTCAGAGTTTGGAAGAAAGTCTGAAATGGGGATTACAGAGCTAAAATCAAGGTGTCCACAGGGCTAGTTCCTTTTGGAGGCTCCAGGGGAGGTCTGTTCCTTGATTTTTCTAGCTTTGAGAAGCTGCTGCCTTCCCTGGTCATGGCTGCGTCACTGTGACCCCTGTCTCCTGTCCCGGTATCACATCTCCTCTGAGGCTGACGCTCCTGCTTCTCTCTTGAGATTACACTGGGCCCATCCCTAATGTCAGATCACCTCCCCCATCTCAAGATCCTTCATCTAATCACATCTACAAAGTCTCTCTCTTTTTTTTTTTTTTTTTGAGATGGAGTCTCACTCTGTCACCCAGGCTGGAGTGCAATGGTGGAATCTTGGCTCACTGCAAGCTCAGCCTCTCTGGTTCAAAAGATTCTCCTGCCTCAGCCTCCCCGAGTAGCTGGTATTACAGGCATGTGCCACCATGCCCAGCTAATTTTTAAAATATTTTTAGTAGAGACAGGGTTTTGCCATGTTGGTCAGACTGGTCTCGAACTCCTGACCACAGGAGACCCACCTGCCTCGGCCTCCCAAAGTGCTGGGATTACAGGCGTTTGCCTAGCCTGCGAAGTTTCTTTTGCTATGTAAAATAACACATCTAGGCCAGGTGCGGTGGCTCACGCCTGTAATCCCAGCACTTTGGGAGGCCAAAGTGGGTGGATCACCTGAGGTCAGGAGTTTGAGACCAGCCTGGCCAACATGGTGAAACCCCATCTCTACTAAAAATGCAAAAATTAGCTGGGTGTGGTGGCACACCCTTGTAATCCCAGCTACTCAGGAGGCTGAGGAGACAGAATTGCCTGAACCCAAGAGGCAGAGGCTGCAGTGAGCCGAGATCGCGCCACTGCCCTATAGCCTGGACGACAGAGCGAGACCCCGTCTCAAAAAACAAATAAACAAAAAAACGCAACAACAACAAAAAACCCACATCCATGGATTCCTCCTGGGGCAGGGGTGAGAGGAGGTCCTTCCCAGCTGGGAATAAGTCAGGAGAAGCTTCAGGGAGGAGGTGGTGCATGAAACAGCTCTTAAAGGATGAGTAGAATTTGACTGCAATATGCTGGGGAGAGAGGGCAGAGCTGTCCTGTTCACCCGCTAAGAGGTCTGTAAGCAAAGGCCTGGAGTTGGGAAAATGCAGAACCCTTCTTGCAGGCGTTGAGTTCGGCTGGGCTGGAACATTAGAGAGGGATTTGGAGGACAGGAGTGAAATGAAATTGGGAAATGGGTTGAGGGGTCCTACTAGGTTTGCAGGCCTGATAACTTTTTTTTTTTCTTTTTTTGAGATGGAGTCACTCTGTCGCCCAGGCTGGAGTCCAGTGGTACGATCTTGGCTCACTGTAACCTCCACGTCTCAGGTTCGAACGATTCTCCTGCCTCAGCTTCCCAAATAGCTGGGACTACAGGCATGTGCCACCATGTCCGACTAATTTTTGTATTTTTAGTAGAGACGAGGTTTTACTCTGTTGGCCGGGCTGGTCTCAAACTCCTAAGCTCGGGTGAACTGCCTGCCTCGGCCTCCCAAAGTGCTGGGATTACAGGCATGAACCACCGCACCAGCCCTGAGAACTTTATTTCCTGGGCAGTTTGAAACCTCGGGGAGGGGCCTGAAAGAGGCAGTGTTTTATTTTATTTTGCTGTTAATTCGCAAATGACATTAAGATTTTTTCCTTTTACAGAACGCATTTCATTTTCGTGGTATAGTATGTGCTTCCAGTGTTGCTACAATTACAACACACGGAAAAGCCAAGCCTGGGACACAGTGACATTGCATTCCAATAAGCAAAAAGTTGACCTCAGAAACGCCCATCATATGTTGACTGCCACAGGATGGGCTTAGAGGAGAAAACATGTTTCCAAGAAATTCTCGCCCAGTGCCTTTTGATATCTTAGGAAAAGGAAACTAGTACTAACAGCCAGCATCGATTGAGCACCAGCATGCTAAACACTGTGCTGGGCACTTGATGTGTGTTATCTGGTTTCATACTCACAACACTGGAAGCAAGTAGAATACTCCAACCAGAAATGCATTCGCTGGAAAAAAAAAAAAATCGGCCATGCGCAGTGCCTCATGCCTGTAATCCTAGCAATTTGGGAGGTAGAGGCAGGTGGATCATTTGAGGTCAGGAGTTCAAGACCAGCCTGGCCAACATGGGGAAACTCCATCTCTACTAAAAATACAAAAAAAATTAGCCGGGGTACTGGGCACCTGTGGTCCCAGCTACTCGGGAGGTTCAATTGCTTGAACCTGGGAGGCGGAGCTTGCAGTGAGCCGAAATCGTGCCACTGAAGTCCAGCCTGGGCAACAGAGCGAGACTCAATGTCAAAGATAAATAAATAAATAAATAAAAAGAAAGAAAGAAAGGCTGGGCATGGTGGCTCACTCCTATAATCCCAGCACTTTGGGAGGCTGAGGCAGGCGGATCACAAGGTCAGGAGTTTGAGACCAGCCTGGCCTATACGGTGAAACCCTGTCTCTACTAAAAATACAAAAATTAGCTGGGTGTGGTGGGAGGCACCTGTAGTCCCAGCTACCAGCTACTTGGGAGGCTGAGGCAGGAGAATCGCTCGAACCCAGGAGGCAGAGGTTGCAGTGAGCTGAGATCACGCCACTGCACTCCAGCCTGGGCAACAGAGCGAGACTCCATCTCAAAAAAATAAAAAATAAAAAAAAATAACATAATGTCATTTGTTAATTAATAGCAAAATAAAGCAAGATCTAAACAGTGCTTAAAGGTTCCAACTTTTTTACCAAATGAAGTACAAAGGGCTTGGGTACTCACAGCCCTGCAGACTTATTTCCCAGCTAATAAAATTGAGGCACAGAGAGGTTAAGCAGCTTGTGTTAAGCCACACAGCTAGCGAGTGGTAATCTGGAGTCGAAGGCCAGCAATGGGCATCTAAAGCTGGCCCTCTTAACCAAGATCCTAACACAGCAAGAACAATCAGTTTGAGTGTTCTGTCTGCACCTTCCAATTAAAATCACTCCTACAGAGATGTGCAGCTTGATGACATCCAGCCTGCTGAGGTTTCACAAAGGGGAGCTACCCACGCAAACTACATCCTGATCAAGAAACAGGACCTGGGGCCAGGTGCAATGGCTCATGCCTGTAATCCCAGCAGTTTGAGAGGCCCAGAGGGGAGGATCGCTTGAGCCCAGGAGTTCAAGACTACTTGGGCAGCATGGCGAGACCCCATCTCTACAAATAATACAAAAATCAGATGGGTATGGTAGTCCCAGCTGTTCAGGAGGCTGAGGCGGGAGGATCACTTGAGCCTGGGAGGTCAAGGCTACAGTGAGCCAAGATCGCACTACTGCACTTCAGCCTGGGCAACAGAGCAAGACCCTGCCTCAAAAAGAGAAACAGGACCAGAGCAGCCCCCTGAACGCTAGCCTCATATATCCACCTTGTCACTAACCTCTTCCCCCTCCAGGGTAACCGCTATCTTGACTTTGAAGAGTTTCAACTTGTTTTGCCCTTGGGGTTGTGTTTCCATGTCCATTGCCAAAGGATTTGAATGTACATTCCAGTGGCAATGACTCCCACCTGTGCACTTGGATGGACATAATGACAATAATAGTAACACTAATTATAAGAAAATTGAGGGGAGGCGTGGTGGCTCAGGCTTGTTGTCCTGGCACATAAAAAGGTGAGGCTAGGTGTTCGAGATCAGCCTGGGCAATGTAGGAAGCCCTTATCTATTAAAAAAAAAAAAATGCTTGGTGTGGTGGCTTATGCCTGTAATCCCAGCACTTTGGGAGGCCAAGATGGGCGGATCGTCTGAGGTCAGGAGTTCGAGACCAGCCTGGTCAACATGGTGAAACCCTGTCTCTACTAAAAATACAAAAAAAAAAAAAAAAAAAAAAAAAAATTAGCCGGGCGTGGTGGCACGCACCCATAGTCCCAGCTACTCAGGAGGCTGAGGCAGGAGAATTGCTTGAACCCAGGAGGCAGAGGTTGCAGTGAGCTGAGACTGTGCCATTGAACTCCTGCCTGGGTGACAGAGGGAGACTCTATCTCAAAGAAAAAAATATACAATAAAATAAAATTGAGGGAGATCATGAAAGACCTGCTAGTTCCTCCTCCAGTCTTCAGGAGGTTATTTGTGTTCCTAAGAGACAATCATCTAGCCTTTATGCAAACATCTTTTCAGGGGTGGTTACTGTGTGAATAAGTGTCACTGAGATATTTCTTTCTCCTTTCTTTGTGAGACAGGGTCTTGCTGTCACCAGGCTAAGGGCAGTGGCGCAATTACAGCTCACTGCAGCCTCAATCTCCCAGGCTCGAGTGATCCTCCCACCTCAGTTTCCCAAGTAACTGGGACTATAGGTGCGTGCTACCATGCCTGGCTAATTTTTTATTTTTTGTAGAGATGGGATCTTGCTATATTGCCTAGGCTGGTCTTGAACTCCTGGACTCAAGCGATCCTCCCGCCTTGGCATCCTGAAGTGCTGGGATTACAAGTGTGAGGCACGGTGCCCAGCCTCACTGAGATATTTCTGTAGGGGGAGATTTATTCCTGGGCAGCAGAAAGAAATATGGAGGAACGGTTAGGAGCCTGAGCTTTGGGGCTGACCAGGCCCTGAGTTCATGCTTTCAACCATTATTTATTAACTGCCCTGATGGGCCAGGAGTGAAAATATAACAATGAGCAGAATGGCCAGGATTCCTGTTGCTAAGGAGGCTCAATCTCCACATGGATATGAATCCTGGCTTCATCATGTACCAACCATGCACTTGACCTTGGTAACAGTCAAGAATCTGTCCCCTCCACTATGACATGAGGATCGTGACACAGTCCTTGCAGAGTCACGTGACATTTGAGGCTTGCAAAGCACTGTGCACATAGTAGGTGCTCAAGAAAAGCTGCGTAGAGTATTGAGATGCAGTAGACAGAGTGATCAAGGCTTCGGCTCTAGGTTTCATCTCATCCAGGTTGGGTGACCTTGGGCAGGTCTCTTAATCTCATCGAGCCTCAGTCTCCTTGACTGGAAGCTGGGAATCACATAGTCCTCCCCTTCTAGGTGGGCAGTTTTATTATCTTTATTTTTTATATTTGAGACAACATCTTGCTCCGTCACCCAGGCTGGAGTGCAGTAGTGCGATCTCGGCTCACTGCAACTTCCACCTCCTGGGTTCAAGCAGTTCTCCTGCCTCAGCATCCTGAGTAGGTGGCATGACAGGTGCCTGCCACCATGCCTGGCTAATATTTGTATTTTTACTAGAGAGGGGGTTTCACCATGTTGGCCAGGATGGTCTTGAACTCCTGACCTCAAGTGGTGAGGTGGGCAGTTTTAAATGAGATGTGGTAATGTAAGGGGTCCTGCGCATTGACTCCCAGCATGCACTTCGTAAACAAAGGCTGTTGAAACTGCATTGTCCAAGAAAATCCGGGTGGCAGGCGGACTCATCTGTGGGTGAGCAAGGCCACACATACTCACTGGTCCTCAGCTACATGCTACATGGAGACAGAGGCCCACTTAAGGCCACCCTGATCTCCCCTTTGAGCCAGCCTGTCTTTCACTGGTTACTGTTGCTGGGAGTCACCACCCACAAGGCATTGGCTAAGGTGCTTGACCTGAAATGTTGAATTATGTTCACTTGAAATATTGGCTGGGTGCTGTGGCTCACGCCTATAATCCCAGCACTTTGGGAGGCCGAGGCAGGTGGATCACCTGAGGTCAGGAGTTCAAGACCAGCCTGACCAACATGGTGAAACCCCGTCTCTACTGAAAATATAAAAATTAGCTGGGCATGGTGCCGGGTGTCTGTAATCCCAGCCACTCGGGAGGCTGAGGCAGGAGAATTGAGCCTGGGAGGTAGAGGTTGCAGTGAGCTGAGATCATGCCACCGCAATCCAGCCTGGGTGACAGAGCAAGTCTCCATCTCAAAAAACAAAACAAAACAAAACAAAACAAAAACACACACCCACACACACAAGAAAAGAAAAAAAAAGAAAGAAAGAAATATAAACACCCAGGCTGGGTAGTGAACAGGCTGCCCATTTCCTATAAACATCCAGCCCCAGAGCATGGAGTGCCTGGTGACCACAGGAAAGTAGGTGTCTGGAATTACTCAAGGCTGACCCTGGACTTTGAGGTTGAGATTACAGAAGGAGCCTCCATGCATTCCCCAGCAGTCTGCTTTCAGGAGAGCCCAATTAGCCACATTCCTTCTGAAGGGACATACGCCAACAGACGTGCTCCTGCCTGGGATCTTCTAGAACTAGGTCAAGTTTGATATTTTGGGGAAGAAGGGAAGATATAGATATATATACACACACACACACACATATATGTGTGTGTGTGTGTGTGCGTGTGTGTGTGTGTGTGGGTATATATAAAAGAAACTTTCCAATGTTCAAATCCTGGTGGGACAATGACTTTGCCTGTTAATTTTATCGGAAAATTAACAGATATCATTAATGAGGGAGACTTGGAATCACTCATTTCTATGCGTGCTTTGTAAAAACTTTTTGCTTTGAAATAATTTTAGATGTACAGAAAGGAGTGTTCTTGTACCCTTCACCCAGCTTCTCCCTCTGTACTCTGCTTTTTTTGTTCATATCTTTGTTATTTTTTACATGTTTTTCTTTTTTAATTTTTTTTAGATGAAGTCTCACTCTGTCACCCAGGATGGAGTGCAGAGGTGTGATCTCGGCTCACTGCAGCCTCTGCCTCCAAGGCTCAAGTGATCCTCCTGCCTCAGTCTCCTAAGATGCTGGGACTATAGGTGCATACCACCACGCCTGGATAACTTTTTGATTTTCTGGTAGGTACCAGGTCTCACTATGTTACCCAGGCTTGTCTTGAACTCCTGGGCTCAAGGGATCCTCCCACCTCAGCCTCTAAAAGTGCTGGGATTATAGGCATGAACCACAACCTCTGGTCCCTCTTTGTTTTTTTTTTAGAGCATTAATTTCTACTGGCCTCTGCTGAAGGCCACAAGCTATTTTCTGCCTTTTTGTTTCTTGCTCCAAAGTCTTTTCTCTAAGTTAGATGTTTGGTCTTAAGCACCTAACCTGCATCTACACTGGAATCACCTGGGTGCTTTAAAAAGGTACAGAAGGCTATTCACTAGCCCATGGTTCTTCTGATTATTAGTATTAATAACATGGTTTTGGTTAGGCCTGGGCAGCCAGGCTAGAGGCCCATTGTGGAGGGATTGTCAAACCTCAGAGGGCTCGGGGTCACCTGGGAAGTGTGTTAGAAACACAAACGCTATCTTTGAGGACTATGATGCACTCAAGCCCTGTGCAGCTTTCAGGATTCAAAGCTTTACTGAATGGCCAGACGCGGTGGCTCACACTTGTCATCCCAGCACTTTGGAAGGCCCAGGCAAGTGGATCACCTGAGGTCAGGAGGTCGAGACCAACCTGGCCAACATGGCGAGACCCTATCTCTACTAAAAATACAAAAATTAGCTGGGCATGGTGGCTCATGCCTGTAATCCTAGCTACTCCAGAGGCCGAGGCACGAGAATCGCTTGAACCTGGGAGGCAGAGCCTGCAGTGAGCTGAGATCGTGCCACTGTACTCCAGCCTGGGCAACACAGTGAGACTCCATCTCAAAAAAAAAAAAAAAAAAAAGCTTTATTGAGAAAGGAGGCACACAAACCACTTTTTGAGAGTTATTGGCTTTGTTTTCAGCTTATCAGGGACCCCAACTTCCCCACGTGTTCTCTTCTGAACCCGCTAGAGTGGAACTGAACATTTCTGGTGTATCTTCCCACCATTAGACAATGGGGTGCCACGGAGAGTCCTAGAGGAGAGGAGAGATGAAGCCAGGCTATGCCACACCAGCATTGGCAAGCTGGCAGCACTGAGAGGATTGGGATGGAGAGATGGGGAGGCAGGAGCTGGTGGGAAGGGGAAACAGGGCTGAATTGCACAATGGTTAGGACTTGGGATTCTGAAGTTAGAGAGTATTGCGTCTATGTCTGAGCTTTACCAACTCTTAGCTGTGTGCTTCTGGGTAAGTGACTTGGCCTCTCTGGGACTTCATTCCTTATCTCTAAAACTGTGGTAGTCCCCAGGCTATCCTCCTCAGGAGTGACGGGGAGGGCTGAGTTGTGGATGGACATGAAACACTTGGGGCAGGGCCCAGCAAACCCTCTTTGTAGTAAATATTGAAGAGTTTGACTGGGAAAGTATTGCCTCTGTCTACCAAAACAATGACTGCCTCACTGTACCATCTCAGCTCCATATACAGTTTCCAAGCGCCCCTCTGGGCCAGGCCCCATGCTAGATGATGAAGACACCACAATTCAGGCAGGCTCCCCGCACTCTGGGCCTTCCCACCCTATGCCACAGATTGGCAAAATGATGCCTGCCAAGCAGAATGGGGCATGAACCCTCAGACGCTGGCCTAGGTCTAAGAGAAAGATGGAGGGAAAACAAATCATTGGGTGTAATTCCTGGGTTTCCTATTTTCCCAGCCAATGCCAGATTGTGAATAAAACTGACTCGGCCGGGCGCGGTGGCTCACGCCTGTAATCCCAGCACTTTGGGAGGCCCATGCTGGTGAATCACCTGAGGTCAGGAGTTCGAGACCGGCCTGGCCAACATGATGAAACCCCCATCTCTACTAAAAATACAAAAAAACCTAGCCGGGGCCGGGCACAGTGGCTCACACCTGTAATCCCAGCATTTTGGGAGGCCGAGGCGGTCAGATCACGAGGTCAGGAGATCAAGACCATCCTGGCTAACACGGTGAAACCCCGTCTCTACTAAAAATACAAAAAATTAGCCAGGCGTGGTGGTGGGAGCCTGTAGTCCCAGCTACTCGGGAGGCTGACACAGGAGAATGGCGTGAACCCGGGAGGTGGAGTTTGCAATGAGCCGAGATCGTGCCACTGCACTCCAGCCTGGGTGACAGAGCCAGACTCTGTCTCAAAAAAAGAAAAAAAAACTAGCCAGATGTGGTGGCATGTGCCTGTAATCCTAGCTACGCCGGAGGCTGAGACATGAGAATCACTTGAACCTGGAAGGCGAAGGTTGCAGTGAGCCGAGATTGCGCCACCACACTCCAACCTGGGTAACGGAGTGAGACTCCATCTCAAAAAAAAAAAAAAAAGAAAGAAAGAGACCATGGAGGAGCTGGCAGCCTGGGGAAGCAAGGCCTCATGGAAGGAAAACCACTGGTGCTTTTTTTCTTGAGACGGAGTCTCACTGTGTCACCCAGGCTGGAGTGCAGTGGCATGATCTCAACTCACCACAGCCTCTGCCTCTTGAGTTCAAGCAATTATCCTATCTCAGCCTCCCAAGTAGCTGGGATTACAGTTGCCTGCCACCACATCCGGCTAATTTTTGTATTTTTAGTAGAGATAGGATTTTCCCATGTTGGCCAGGCTGGTCTTGAACTCCCGACTTCAGGTGATCTGCCCACCTTGGCTCCCCAAAGTGCTGGGATTACAGGCGTGAGCCACCGCGCCCGGCCACCACTGGTGCATTTACCTTCTATGTTCCTCATCCAGAACAGTATTTATTTCCAAGAATCATTGGGAACTTCTGTTTAGAAAAGAAAGGAATCATTAAGATTTAGTGCTGTCAGCAAAATATGGAACCACCCATTCTGTAGCTGAGTCACAGTAAAATCTGCAAGGTATTGCAGACTCAGAGCTCGCGCTTTTCACCCATCGTGTCTCTATTCATGTGTAAATGTTAGAGCAAGGCACTGGCATAGAGTACACATTCAAAAAATAATTGCTGACTAGCTCAAAAGAAATTAATAGTTATATAATTTTTTTTTTTTTTTTTTTTTGTGAGAGGGAGCCTCGCTCTTGTTGCCCAGGCTGGAGTGCAATGGTGCAATCTCAGCTCACTGCAACCGCTGCCTCCCGAGTTCAAGCGATTCTCCTGTCTCAGCCTCCCAAGTAGCTGGGATTACAGGTGCTCACCACAACGCTCAGCTAATTTTTTGTATTTTTAGTAGAGACGGGGTTTCACCATGTTGGCCAGGCTGGTCTCGAACTCCTGATCTCAGGTGATCCACCCGCCTCGGCCTCCCAAAGTGCTGGGAATACAGGTGTGAGCCATCGCGACTGGCCAGTAGTTATATGAAATTAAGAACAAATGCTTATTGAGCAGGTGTTGTGCACGAGACATAATACAGAGCTGTTTACACATTCGTTTAGATCTAATAGCAGCTCCATGAGATACGCTATTGATATGTCCATTTTACAGAAGAGACTGAGACAGACAGGGTCAGTACCTTGGCCAAAGTTACACAGTTTAGGTGCATGTTAGCTAGGATGGTGGAGCTGGGATTCAAAGCCACAGATAGTGGTTTTATTTTTATGTTTAATTATTTTTTTAAAATAAATTAAAATAGAAATGGGATGGGCCGGGCGTGGTGGCTCATGCCTGTAACCCCAGCACTTTGGGAGGCCGAGGTGGGCAGATCACCTGAGGTTGGAAGTTCGAGAACAGCCTGACCAACATGGAGAAACCCCATCTGTACTAAAAATACAAAATTAGCTGAGTATGGTGGCGCATCCCTGTAATCCCAGCTACTCGGGAGGCTGAGGCAGGAGAATTACTTGAACCCAGGAAGTGGAGGCTGTGGTGAGCTGAGATTGCACCATTGCACACCAGCCTGGGCAACAAGAGCGAAACTCTGTCTCAAAAACATAAATAAAAATAAAAATAAAAAATAAAATAAAATAAAATAGAAATGGGGTCTCACTATGTTGCACAGATTGGTCTGGAACTCCTGGGATCAAGCAACACTCCTGCCTCCGCCTCTCAAGGTGTTGGGATTACAGGCATGAGCCACTGTGCCTGGTCAATGGTGATTTTTAATCTCTTAAGCATCTACCAGGTGTCAGGCCCTTGCTAGAACGTCCAATACTTCCAATGATCCCAACAGCTCTCCAGGGGAGGATGAACAAGCTCATTTTACTGATGAGGAAACTGAGGCTGAGAGACTTAACGTAATCCCAGTTTGACCACATTAGAACACAGGAATTAAAGAAAAATTTTGGAAAGCCTGGAGCATTTGGACACAAATCTGTCCACTGTGTGACCCGAAGCCCGCTAAATCCATCCTGGACCTCTTTAAGAACTCGGCTCTTGATTTTGTAGCATAAACTGGCTCAATGGCCAACAGCAAAGAATTTACATCCCACCTCATGAGCCAGACACCTGAACTCAGAATTCGCCTTATTTGTGATGCCCTATATTTATCCATTTCCCTTTCCACTCAGGGAGATCCCTCGGCTTATTGTGTAAGTGGTCTGGCTCTGTCTTGCTTAATGGGCAATATATGCAGCTTTGCTCTTTCCAGCTCTGTACTCTTCTTTTTTTTTTTTTTTTTTGAGACAAAGTCTGGCTCTGTCTCCCAGGCTGGAGTGCAGTGGCACAATTTCAGCTCACTGCAACCTCTGCTTCCTGGGTTCAAGCAATTCTCGTGCCTCAGCCTCCCTAGTAGCTGGGATTACAGGTGTGTGCCACTATGACCAGCTAATTTTTGTATTTTTGGTGGAGATGGGGTTTCGCTATGTTGGCCAGGTTGGTCTCAAACTCCCGACCCTGAATGATCTGCCTGCCTTGGCCTCCCAAAGTGATGGAATTACAGGCATGAGCCACTGCGCCCAGCTACCAGCTCTGTCCATTTCCTGTTTCAACTTTAGGCATGTCTGATTCCTGTACTCTTCCACCTGCTCTTGCCTACCTGATTGAGGATGTATATTATTTTGCAAGATTAACTATTTGAAAAAGAACCTTGGCCTCCTTTTTAGGAAAGTCTGTGCTTGCGGTTGGCTGAATAATGCACCCCTGACAAATATCTCCACATCCAAATCCCTAGAACCTGTTGAATGTGTGACCTGACATATCAAAATGGACTTTGTAGATGTGAATAAGGATTTTGAGATGGGAGATTATCTAGGGATTATCTGAGTGGATTCAATGTAATCACAAGGGTCCTTATAAGAGGGAGGCAGGAAAGTCAGTCAGAGGAGGAGGTGTGAGGATGGAAGGAGAGAGAGAGAGATTGCAAGACAAGATGCTCTGCTGCTGCTTTAAAGATAGAGATGGAGGCCGGGCGCAGTGGCTCATGCCTGTAATCCCAGCACTTTGGGAGCACGAGGTGGGCGGATCATCTGAGGTCAGGAGTTTGAGACCAAAAGTACAAAAATTAGCTGGGCATGGTGTCACATGCCTGTAATCCCAGCTACTCAGGAGGCTGAGGCAGGAGAATCACTGGAACCTGGGAGATGCAGGTTGCCGTGAGTCAAGATTGCACCATTGCACTCCAGCTTGGGCAACAAGAGCAAAACTCCGTCTCAGAGAAAAAAAAAAAAAAAAAAAAAAAAAAGACAGAGATGGAGCCACAAGTCAAGGAAAGCGGCTTCTAGAAGATAGAAAACGGAAGAACGTGGATATTTTTCCTAGAGCCTCCAGAACTGAATGTGGCCCTATGAACACCTTGATTTCAGTTCAGTGAGACCCGATTTAGACTTCTGACCTCCAATCCCTAAAAGAATAAATTTGTGCTGTTTTAAGGCACTGCATTTGGGGTCCTTTGCTGCAGCAGTGGCAGCACACTCGTGGGTGTTCTCACCGTCTCTGATGGTGAAGCTGTGGAGCAGGGCAAGGCCGTCGAACCAATGGTTGTATCTGGACTCCCCAACTGTGTGCATCCCAGGCCCATTGCGGAGCAGGGTTCCCTGCAGCCATGCTGGAATCTTGCCTGAGAAAAGAGAGAATGTTTAGTTTCCCGTTTCCACCTGCAAACCAAAATGCTGGAAGAAATGGTCATGGAAAGGAATTTGAGAGTTGTGGTCCCAGTACCACTCCTTGCATCTGTTCGTTTATTCTACAGTCATTTCCAGAAAGTGTATAATGTGTTGGGCAGTTGGCTAGCACTGAGGATACCAAGATGGAGACACTGTCCCTGTCCTCAAACTGCCTACTGACCATTAAGAGACAGATGAATAAACAGACACCCAAGATCCACTGTGGTCAAGGCAATGCTGGTTGTGTGTTGGCTCACGCCTGTAATCCCAGCACTTTGGGAAGCCTAGGTGGGTGGATCACCTGAGGTCAGGAGTTCAAGACCAGCCTGGCCAACATGATGAAATCCCACCTCTACTAAAAATACAAAACATTAGCTGGGCGTCATAGTGAGCGCCTGTAATCCCAGCTACTCGGGAGGCTGAGGCAGGAGAATCACTTGAACCCAGGAGGCAGAGGTTGCAGCGAGCCGAGATTGTACCACTGCACTAAAGTCTGGGCAACAAGAGCGAAACTCTGTGTCAAAAAAACCCCCCAAAAAAACATAGCTCATTGTGGTGGCATATGCCTGTAGTCCCAGCTGCTTGGGAGGTTGAGGTGGGAGGATCGCTTGAGCCTGGGAGCTCCAGGCTGCAGTGATCACACCACTCCACTCCAGCCTGGGCAACAGAGCAAGACCTTGTCTCAAAAAATTAAAAAAAAAAAAAAAAAAAGATAGGGGCAACGCTACAGACGTAGAAAAAGGTTCTTTGTGAAACAGAACAGCCCTCGGGTGGGCTGAGAGCAGGAGGGTGTGGTCAGCTTCCTAGAGGAGGCAACCTGGCTAAGTCTTGAGGGAGAGTAGGTATTCGCCTCACAAAGGCAAAAGGAAAGAACATTCTAGAGCTGTACTGTCCAATATGGTAGCTATCAGCACTTGAAATGTGGTTGGTCTGAAATGACATGTGCTATAAGAATGAAATATACACCAGATTTCAAAGACTTAGTATGAACAAAAGTGAACCATCTCATTAGCAATTTTTTAAATATTGATTTCATGTTGAACTGATAATATCTTGGATTTGTTGTGTTAAAATATACCACTGAAATAATTTCACCTGCTTCTTTTGACTTTTTTCAATGTTTCTACCAGAAAATTTAAAAGTGCACGTGTGGCATAGGTTCTCTTTCTAGGGGACAGCCCTGCTCTAGAGGCAGGGTGCTGCAGAAAATGCTGTTGGTGCCTCCACCCAAGTCCTCTCAGCGTTCGTCCCTTCCTACAGGCTGCTTTCTGCAAATGCCTGCAGCTCCCTGCCTGAGTGCTTGGTTCTGACTGCGGGTGGGGCAGGCTTTGCCTACATGCAGGAAGAGCAGGAAGCACCTCGGATAGGTAATGCCCCTGGAAGCTGCTCTCACCCAGTGATGGATGCAGAATTGGGGGACAAATCCCGCCGTTGCCTTGCCCTCAGTTGGGATCACGAGAGGCATGTTTTACGTCATACCCAGAGGATTTAGCTCCAATGGCCTCAGCAGCCAATGGCTCGACAATGCCCCATTTATTGGTTTCCTTCTCTCTGTTTCCCTGAGTTCCTCCTGATGTTTCTTGGGATCACGTGCCAAATAAACCACTTAGCCTTGAATTCTTGCCTCTGGAGGAACCCAAAACAAGAAGACCAAAACCAGGAGGCTGGGCATGCCGAGGCATACCTGAATCCCAGCACTTTGGGAGGTGAGGCAGGCAGATCGCTTGAGGTCAGGAGCTGGAGACAAGCCTGGCCAACATGGTGAAACCCCGCCTCCACCAAAAATACAAAAATTAGCCAGGTGTGATGACGGGTGCCTGTAATCCCAACCACTCTGGAGGCTGAGACAGGAGAATTGCTTAAACCCGGAAGGGGGAGGTTGCAGTGAGCTGAGATCACGCCACTGCACTCCAGCCTGGGTGACAGAGCAAGACTCCGTCTCATAAATGAATGAATGAATGAATGAATGAATGATCAAGACCAGGAGACGGGCAAGCTGTTTAGTAAGACTGGACCGTCATTTTCAAGCAAGAAAACTGTAAGCAATGAAACTGCAGAAATAACGGGGGCCAGGGGACAAAGGTCAACAGGATCACACTAAGGGTCCTGATCTAATCCTCAGAAGAATGGGGCACCTTTGATGGTTATAATAGGGAAGGACAGGACCAGATATTTTCTGCAATTTAAAAAAATTTGAGATAAAACTCATCATTTTAAAATGTACAGTTCAGGGGGTTCTAGTGTATTCACAATGTTGCGCAACCATCACCTAATTCCAGAACATTTCATCACTCCAAAAAGCCATCTCCCTTATGCATTAGCTGTCACTCCCCCTTCTCCCCTTACCCCAGCCCCTGGCAGGCACCCATCTTCTTTCCTATGGATTTGCCTGTTCTGGATTCCATATAGATCAGTGGTCCCCAAACTTTTTGGCACCAGGGACTGGTTTTGTGGAAGATAATTTTTCCATGGATGGTGGGGTTGAGGGGTCGATTCTTATAAGGAGCGCACAACCTAGATCCCTCCTATGTGCAGTTCACGACAGGGTTCACGCTCACAGTAGGGTTTGCACTCATATGAGAATCTAATGCCACCGATCTGAGAGGAGGCAGAACTCGGGCCGTAATGCTGTGCGGCCCGGTTCCTAACAGGCTACAGACTGGTACTGGTCCACGGCTCGAGGGTCGGGGACCCCTGTTATAAATGGAATAGGAACTTGGAGCTTCGAAGGTTGTCTCCACCCATGGTGTGGATTGTGGACTGGGAAATTCCCTGAGAGAGGCAGGAAGACCAGAGAGAGGACCCGGGGATTCCACAGGGATGGAGAGAAATGGATGAACAAAGATAGATGGAACACACAGAACTGATGGGCCTCTATTTGACTAAATACAGGGGGATGTGCAGTGGAGCACTGAAAAATGACAGCCGAGGCCAGCGCGGTGGCTCAGGCCTGTTATCCTAGCACTAGGGGAGGCCAAGGCGGATGGATCACTCGAGGTCAGAAGTTTGAGACTAGCCTGGCCAATATGGTGAAACCCCGTCACTACTGAAAATACAAAAATTAGCTGGGTGTGGTGGTGGGTGCCTGTAATCCCAGCTACTGGGGAGGCTGAGGCAGGAGAATCGATTGAACCTAGGAGGAGGAGATTGCAGTGAGCCGAAGATTGCGCCATTGCACTCTTGCCTGGGCGACAGAGTGAAACTCCGCCTCAAAAAAAAAAAAAAAAAAAAAAAAAGACAGCCAAGTCTCTTGCCTTGGGCACCTACATAATCGTGGCGCCAGGCACAGGCACCCAGGGCACAGGAGAGGGGGCAGGCTTGAGAAAGAGCAGGGAGAGAGGCATCTGAGAATATAATTAAAGCCCTAGATAGGACAAGAACACTTACATGCATTCATACACCAGCCACTGTGTTCTAGGTGGATTAAACCACTTAATCGTTGCAGCAACCCTATGTGGGAGGTGCCAGGCTACATTCATCAAACAGAAAAGAACACTGAGGCAGGAAATGCTTAAGTTGCCAAAGAGGTCTCAGAACACACGTGTGTCGGCACAGCCAGTTACAAAGCCAAAACCTTTGCATGTGCTCCCTGCATGGACGTGTCAACCCAGGCACAGTTTTTAGTTAGCTGTTTGCCCATGGATGTCACCAACTGATTAGGCTCAACCCAGGCCTGGACGGAGAGTCAGGAGGCCTGTTCTCTGCAGGCTGCCTGGCCTTGGCAAGTCACTGCCCCTCTGCCTCAGTTTCCCATCTGTCAATAGGGAGGCTTGATGTAGAGGAATGGTTCTTACCTTTGGAATCGCCTGAGGGCTTGTGAACACACAGCTTGCTGAGCTCCACCCCCCAAGTGTCTGACCCCGTGGGTCTGGGTAGGGCCCAAGGATGTTTATTTCTACCCAGCACCCAGGTGATGCTTATGCTGCAGGTCCGGGGCCACCCCTTTGAGAACCGCTGCTGATCTTTGGGGCTCACTCAGCCTCTCGTGTTCTAGAATTCATGTTTTCTAACATTTCCAAGGATTTCATGCAGTCATTAAACATGAGGTGTAAAGGGTACAAAATATTCCAGGGCACGAAAAGGTAGGTATCATAGGTGCCTTTTTGTTTTCTTTTGGAGACAGAGTCTCACTCTGTTGCCCAGGCTGGAGTACAGTGGTGCGATCTTGGCTCACTACAACCTCTGCCTCCTGGGTTCAAGTGATTCTCATGCCCAGTCTCCTGAGGAGCTGGGCTTATAGATATGCACCACCATGCCTGGCTAATTTTTGTATTTTTATTTAAAATAAAATTTCAGGCCGGGCATGGTGGTTCACGCCTATAATCCCAGCACTCTGGGAGGCCAACACGGGCGGATCAACTGAGGTTGGGAGTTTGCGACCAGCCTGACCAACATGGAGATACCCTGTTTCAGCTAAAAATACAAAATTAGCCGGGTGTGGTGGTGCATGCCTGTCATTCCAGCTATTTGGGAGGCTGAGGCAGAAGAATCGCTTGAACCCAGGAGGCAGAGGTTGTGGTGAGCCGAGATCGCGCCATTACACTCCAGCCTGGGCAACAAGAGTGAAACTCCTTCTCAAAAAAAAAAAAAAATTAAAATTAAATGCATTGAAAGTAATGGCAAAAACCGCGATTATTTTTGCACCAACCAAATAATAAAGACAGTGTTTCACCATACCAGGTTGGCCAGGCTGGGGTGCCTGGTTTTTTTTTATTTATTTATTTTTGAGACAGGGTCTCACTCTTGCCAAGGCCAGAGTGCAGTGGCACGATCTCAGCTCACTGCAACCTCTGCCTCCGGGGTTCAAGCAATTCTACTACCTCATCCTCCTGAGTAGCTGGGACTACAGGTGCATGCCACCACCCCTGGCTAATTTGTGTATTTTTAGTAGAGAGGGATTTCGCCATGTTAGCCAGGCTGGTCTCAAACTCCTGGCTTCAAGTGATCCACCCTCTTTGGCCTCCGAAAGTGCTGGGACCACAGGCGTGAGCCACCGCACCTGGCCGTGGGGTGTCTTTTTAAAAAATAAAATATGTACAGATGAACAGTCAAATTGAGAAAAAAAATAAAAATGTAATAGTATACATTTGCTTTTTGAAAAACTGTTTACAAATATAGTAATCTATCAATTGATCTACCTATGTTTTAAAAAGTTAAAGGAAATAGACCCAAATATTAATAGTGGTTAAGAGATTTCAAAATACAGCTGATTTTATTTCCTTCCATGTTCTCATTTGCACTCCTAATTAATTTATATATAATTTAATATACATACAGCTATATATATATACAGATTGATAGCTATAGATTGTGCCTTACCTTTGTAACCAGGAAAATATATACATAAAAGCTATTTTTTTTTTGTTTCAAAAGACTCCCAAGGCAATTGCTCAGTTGAAAAGCTTCAATCTGATGTTCTCACGAAAATCACTCACAGTTGTCCTCTCCTTATGAACAATTCCAGTCCATCTAGCAGATGAAAATGCCTGCAGGCCTGAGCTGACTCAGCTGTTCTTAAAACTGAGCGAGCACCACTCTGGGGACCCGGGAGTCCAGAACCAGGAACTGCCCTTTAGAGTCGAAATGGTACCAGGAAAGTGGCAACTCAAAAGAGGAGGAAAAAGAGATATAAAAGATTAAGCGAAACACAGAGCCTCTAAAGGATAGAAGGTCCTACTCCTATAGGCTCTGCAGGAGCTCACACCTGTGAGTTCCTGAGAGAAAATCACATCAGACTCTGCAATCCCCTGCAAGTGTGCGTGGTGGATGTGCATGCGTGGGAGCTCATGCACGCCCCTCTAAGCATTTTGAAACTAATTTAGAATGCATACATTTGCACAAATACATCATGCATCTGAGACAGGCAGCAGTTTGCAGATTAATCCCATTGTCTATGTACCCACTGGGGCATTCCAATGCTTTTTTCCTGGGAACAGTGAGACTGACTCTCCTCCCTTTGCAAACGGAGTTATAATGTGTAAAAGAATACCTAGATTTTCACAGAAAATGTGTCCCCTCTCTGTACTGTTTTCCAGACTTTCCAAAAGTAATTTACAATTAGTATTACTTATATCATCAGGAAAAAATAGTGTCCATCTAAACACAAGGAAGAAGCCAGGTGCAGTGGCTCACCCCTGTAATCCTAGCACTTTCGGAGGCCGAGGTGGGTGGATCACTTGAGGCTAGGAGTTCGAGACCAGCCTGGCCAACATGCTGAAACCCCGTCTCTACTAAAAACACACAGATTAGCCGGGCTTGGTGGTGGGTGCCTGTAATCTCAGCTACTCGGGAGGCTGTGGTGGGAGGATCGTTTGAACCCAGGAGGCAGAGGTTGCAGTGGGCCGAGATCAAGCCACTGGACTCCAGCCCGGGCGACAGAGCGAGACTCCGCCTCAAAAAAAAAAAAAATAATAAAATAAATAGAAGAAAGAGCCCAGTGTTTATCAGAATGCTCACCTGTCACTTTGGCCCTCACAGGCTCCAGCTGTTCTTTCCTATTCCTGCCAAATATTATATCCATTGCTCAGGGTGCCGAGGGAGATCGATTTTAACAGCAAACAGGTGCTCCTCTGTGTTCACAGGAGATGCTGCTCCCTCCTCCTGCGTTTCCTTCCTGCTCTCCTGCTCCTTCCCTCCTTCACATCTCTGTCTCTCCTGATGCCGTTTCTGCCTTTGCTTTTTCCTTTTTGGCTGGCTCTCACTTGTCCCTCTCCAAGAGCCCTGGATCTCTTTACATTCACAAGGGAAGCTGCGCTGGCGTTACTTATAAGATGTTTGGTTAAAGGTTAATTTCCAAGCCATGTGTCATAGCTAATCTTTAATCCTCTTATTGTTCCCTCAGCTTTCCCTCTCCAGTTTCACTTTTGACTTAACCAAAAAAAAAAAAAAGCTTGCTTCAGACTAGGTTCTAAATAAGCAGAGAGAATTCCGTGCCTGCTGTTATGTTGCCCGACGTAATCCAAGAGCTGGAGTTGTTTATGATCAGAACAAGAAGAGATGCTGGGAATCAGAGGTGCTGGGAATTAGGAGAAACTTGAGCTAAGCTCTGTGATCACTGAATGTCTGCTGCACAGCAGGGAACCCCTTCAGCAGAGACGGGAAAGGTTTTACATTTTGTTTTGTTTTTAGTAAAGGCCCCGATGCTCCCCTCTAATAATCATACATAAAGAGCCACTTAATTCATTATTTTCTTTTTGGAAGAAGGAGACATAAAATGTTTCATGTACCTATTTAAAAAATAACGAACGGGAACCAAAGGCTTTTCTCAGAAACTATAAAGAATAGTAAAAAAGACGGGCCAGGAGTGGTGGCTCATGCCTGTAATCCCAGAACTTTGGGAGGCCATGGTTGGCGGGTCACTTGAGGTCAGGAGTTCGAGACCAGCCTGGCCAACACGGCGAAATCCTGTCTCTACTAAAAATACAAAAATTATCCAGGCGTGGTGGAAGACGCCTGCAATCCCAGATGCTAAGGAGGCTGAGGCAGGAAAATCGCTTGAACCTGTGAGGCAGACATTGCAGTAAGCTGAGATGGCACCACTGCACTCCAGCCTCGGCCACAGAGTGAGACTCTGTCTCAAAAAATAAATAAGTAAACAGAATAGTTAAAAAGAAACTTCAACTTCCTGGCCTATCAAGAGGGCAAAACAATGCCTGAATTTGATCTGAGCTTCCCTATTATTCGTGTATCTTCGTGTGTTGCCATTGCCTGAAATTCGTATTCAACTTGCTATATGCACTGATTGAAGTTAATGAACTCATCTTAACGTATTTTGCTTAAAGAAAGAACCAGTCATTTGCTCTGTGGGTAGAGTAAGAAAAGGCAGTGGCACTGGCCTTTATGCAACCCAGCTGAGAATAATGATGGTCCGGTCTGGGCTGAGAGCACATGCCAGCACCTTGGGCCGTTCATTCCTGACAGCTGTGTGGTCTGGCTGTGCTTCCGCCCTGGCACACATTGGAATCACCTGATTGGCAGTACTAAATGTATCAGTGCTGGGCCTCACTCCAGACCCACTGACGCAGAATCTCTGAAGGTGGATCTCAGCCATCAGTTTTTTTTTTTTATGTTGGCCGGGTGTAGTGGCTCACACCTGTAATCCTAGCACTTTCGGAGGCCAAGGCGGGAGGATCACTTGAGCCCAGGAATTAAGACCAGCCTAGGCAACATATTGAGGCTCCGTCTCTACCAAAAAAAATTAGCTGGGCATGGTGGTGCGTGCCTGTAGTCCCAACTACTTGGGAGGCTGAGGTGGGAGGATCACTTGAGTCTGGGAGGTTGAGGCTGCAGTGAACTGTGATAGCAGCACTGGACTCCAGCCTGGGCAACAAAGCAAGCCCTTATCTCAAAAATAAAACATACGGAGGCAGAGGCGGGCGGATCACGAGGTCAGGAGATCAAGACCATCCTGGCTAACACCGTGAAACCCCGTCTCTACTAAAAATACAAAAAATTAGCCGGGCGTGGTGGCAGGTGCCTGTAGTCCCAGCTACTCGGGAGCCTGAGGCAGGAGAATGGCGTGAACCCAGGAGGCAGAGCTTGCAGTGAGCCGAGATCGCGCCACTGCACTCTAGCCTGGGCGACAGAGCAAGACTCCGTCTCAAAATAATAATAATAATTAAAAAAATAATAAAAAGTACCTACATGTGTGCAGCAGGAGTTGAGAAGACCTGACCCAGAGGAAAGATGCTACATGCCTGAGTTGAAACTAAATTTAAATTATAGCTGATTGGCTAGGCATGGTGGCTCATGCTTATAATCCCATCACTTTGGGAGGCCAAGGCAGGCAGATCACCTGAGGTCAGGAGTTCAAGACCTACCTGGCCAACATGGTGAAACCTCGTTTCTACTAAAAATACAATACAAAAATTAGCTGGGCATGGTGATGGGCACCTGTAATCCCAGCTACTCAAGAGGCTGAGGCAGGAGAATCACTTGAAACCAGGAGGTGGAGGTTGCAGTGAGCCAAGATGGTGCCACTGTACTCCAGCGTGGGTGACAGAGTGAGACTCCAACTCAGAAAAAAAAAAATTGCAGCTCATCCTTTTATATTTTTTGAGATGGAGTCTCGTTCTGTCACCCAGGCTGGAGTGCAGTGGCGTGATCTTGGCTCACTGCAGTCTCTGCCTTCCGGGTTCAAGCGATTCTTCTGCCTTATCCTCCCAAGCAGCTGGGATTACAGGTGCCTGCCACCATCCCCAGCTAATTTTTGTATTTTTAGTAGAGATGGGGTTTCACCATATTGGCCGGGCTGCTCTGAAACCCCTGACCTCAAGTGATCCACCCGCCTTGGCCTCCCAAAGTGCTGGGGTTAGAGGCGTGAGCCATCGCGCCTGGCCAGCTCGTCCATTTTCTGTGTGTCTGGGCCATTCTACCCTCTTTGAGCCTCCTTTTTTTCAACTATAAAGTGAGGCATAACGATATTAGCACCTCAAGCCTATTGTATAGGGTCTAGCAAAAGCACCTGGTCTCAGACAGTTACCAAACAATGCCTTTACCTTTTCCTCCCATTCTCTTAGAGGGCATTTCCCTATGAACCACCTTTCCAGTAAGACCTCCAATAACTTGCCAGTTTATCCCGCTGTGTGGTCTAAACACGTGTATCCATGTCAGAGTTCTTTATTCCTAGCTTGTGGAAGCTGCGTTCTTGTGAGGATTACATGGGAATGTCTGGCATACTCTAAGGGCTCTGGGAAAAAAACGACACCACCACGGTGCAAGAAAGAGCTCAGGGCTTAGAGGTCAGAAGACCTGGGTTTGGACCTCAGCTCTGAGATTCAGCAACCCTGCAGCTTTTGTCACGTGACTTCTCTGAACCTCACTTCACTCGGCAAAATGGGGGTGGCAGTATCTGTGTCACAGGGCTTGTTGGAAGGGTTACAACAAAACCATATGAGTGAAGACATGCCAGGTGCGGTGGCTCAAGCCTGTAATCCCAGCACTTTGGGAGGCCGAGGCGGGCAGATCACTTGAGGTCAGGAGTTCGAGACCAGCCTGGCAAATATGGTAAAACCCCGTCTCTACTAAAAATACAAAAATTAGCCTGGTATAGTGGTGTGCACCTGTAATCCCAGCTTCTTGGGAGGCTGAGGCAGGAGAATTGCTTGAACCTGGCAGGTGAAGGTTGCAGTGAGCTGAGATTCTACCACTGCACTCCAGCCTGGGCAACAGAGCAAGAATCTGTCTCAAAAAAAAAATAATAATTTATATATATATATATATATATATTTATATATATATATATATATATATATATATATATATATATATATGAGTCAAAACATGACTGTGATCTCCCTTCTTGTCAATCTTTGCATATTCAGAAAAGCAACTGAGCAGTTTACCTGCACTGGCTCACCCTGGCCTTACACAGTCCTATGAGATGTGTGTTCCTACCACCATTCTCAAGGTCAGAGAGTACAGGGAAGATAACTTGCTTGCCCTCGGTCTCAAAGTGAGGAGCAGCTCAAATTAGGAGGCACAGCCAGGCAGCCCGACTTCAAAGTACTTACTCTGACAATTCTACACAGCTCCAACGCACGATGGGTGTCTGCTGGATTTTTACTGAATGAAGTAATGGGTGGATGGGCCCTGAGAGGACCAGTCTTGGGTCTTGGGTTGGTGTCACTGCATTCTTATATCAGAGAAAGGGCAAGCTCTCTTATCCAGGTTCCAACTGCACCCAAGGGACAGTTAGATAGTAAGATAAAGGTTTTTGAAAATACAAATGGAGTCCGGGCACGGTGGCTCACACCTGTAATCCCAGCACTTTGGGAGGATGAGGCTGAGGCTGATGGAACACTTGAGGTCAGAAGTCTGAGACCAGCCTGGGCAACACAGCGAGACCTTGCCTCTATGAAAAATAGAAAAATTAGCTGGCAGTGGTGGTGGTGGCAAACACCTGTGGTCCCAGCTACTTGGGAGGCTGAAGTGGGAGGATCGCCTGAGCTCAGGGAGTTTGAGGCTGCAGTGAGCCATGTTTGCACCACTTCACTTCAGCCTGGACGACAGAGACCCTATCTCAAAACAAACAAACACACACCACATACAAAAATACCCCCACAAAAAAAACTAATGGTGGTAATAAATTAAGCCTAACAATAGATATCTGTGTAAGTTTGCTAGGGCTGCCATAGCAAATGCCACAGACTGGGTGGCTTAAACAACAGAATTTTTTTTTCTCACAGTTCTAGGGGCTAGGAGTCTGAGATCAAGGTATCAGGTTTTGGCTGGGCATGGTGGCTCATGCCTGTAATCCCAGCACTTTGGGAGGCCTCGATGAGCGGATTGCCCCAGGTCAGGAGTTCAAGACCAGCCTGGCCAACATCGTGAAACCCCGTCTTTACTAAACATACAAAATTAGCCAGGCATCGTGGCACATGCCAGTAATCTCAGCTACTGGGGAGGCTGAGGCAGGAGAATTGCTTGAAGTGGCAAGGCAGAGGTTGCAGTGAGCTGAGATCCCACCACTCCAGCCAGGTGTGTTTGACACTGCAGTGAGCTATGATTGCACCCCTGCACTCCAGCCTGGGCAACAGAGTAAGACTCCGTCTCAAAAAAGCGAAACCAAACAAACAAAAAACCAAACAAACAAACAAACAAAAAAAACAAGGTATCAGGTTGTTTGGGAGATGAAGGTAGCAGGTGTGATTTCTTGCTGTGTCTTCATATCATCTTTCTCTGTGCGCACATCCTTGGTGTCTCTTGGTGTGTCTGAATTTCCTCTTCTTTCATTTTTAAATTTTATTTATTTATTTAAGAGACATGGTCTCACTCTGTTGCCCAGACTGGAGTGCAGTGGTGCAATCATAGCTCACTACAGTCTCAAACACCTGGGCTCAAGCCATCCTCCTGCCTCAGCCTCCTGAGTAGCTAGGACTGCAGGCACAAGCTGCTGTGCCCAATCAAATTTCCTCTTCTTGTAATGAGACCAATTATATTGGATCAGGGGCCAACCTAATGGACTCATTTTAATTTAATCACCTTTTTAACGACCCTATCTCCAAATACAGTCACATTCTGCCGTATGGGGTGTTAGGGCTTCAACGTATGAATTTTACAGAACACAATTCAGCCCGTAACAATATCATTAAGTCACAATGTGTAAGGGAAGACACTTTTGCTGCAGGTAGCAGAACATCTGCTGAAACTCCAAAGATGTGCATTTATTGCAGACATCAAGCCATCGAGAGGTGGCATGCTGGTTGACGCGGAAGCTCGCCTAGCAAGGGCTTCCACACTTCTAGCCTCAGAAGGTTGTCTTCTCACTGTTGGCTTGTTCAGTTCTGGTTATGAATGATTGCCGTTGCCTGGGAAATCATGGCCTCACATAGAGATGTGGAAAAGCAGGAAGATAAGGCAGGGACAGAAGAGGAGTTTTCTTTGTAGACCTCTCATTTTATGCTGGAGGGAAATCTTTCCCAGAATCCTCTGAGCAGATTTTCTCTTGTGCCTCATTGGCTGAATAGAACTGTGTCACATGACCACCCCTAACCAATCCTCAACAAAGAGGAACAGGAGCGCTTTAATTTCCTCAGACAAACTTTAATTTAATTTCCTCCCAGTCACCCCTGGAGTGGCATCATTGCCACCTGGATCTTGTCAGAATTCCATTATCAAGGAAAAAGGAGGGAATGGCCTAGGATAGGCAACTGACAGTGTCCGCTGCAGGCAGTGCATTCAACACCTTTTTTTTTTTTTTTTGAGACAGGGTCTCACTCTGTCACCCAGGCTGGAGTGCAATGGTGCAGTCTCAGCTCACTGCAGCCTCAACCTCCTATGTTCAAGTGATCCTCCCACCTCAGCCTCTTGAATAGCTGGGACAATAGGCCTGTGCCACCACTCTAGGCTAATTTTTTTGTATTTTGTGGAAATGGTGTTTTGCCATATTGCCCAGGCAATTGGGCAAGTGGTCCCAAACTCCTGAGCTCAAGCGATCCACCTGCCTTGGCCTCCCAAAGTGTTGAGATTACAGGCATGAGCCACCGACCCTGGCCCATTCAACACATATTGATTGAGCACCTACTATGTGCTGGAAATGTAGCAGTGAACAAAACAAATCTGTGCCTTTTTGGACCTGACACCTACTACACGCCAAACTCTGAGGGAATAGAGGTGATTAATGACACCCAGTCTCTGCCTTTTTTGGCCCTCATGATGTTCTTTTTGTTTGGAGGCTGAGGCTGGACATATATTTCCCAAAGGGGAAGGTGTCTCACAGTGGTTTGCAGAACTGCCTTCATGTTGAAAACCCATCGACATGAAGCAGCAGCTGCTCTTCCCCTCAAAAGCTCTGGCATTGCTCTGAACCCATGGAGGCCTGACCCCTGTGTTCTGTTGTTTTCACTAATGTGGGGAGAATGGGATGAGGGGTTGGTTCCAGTAGAAGCTGTCTCCTGGCCTGCTCTCCTCCAGCCTCTGATCTGAATGCTTGCACGTGCTGGTTACTGGGCTAAGTGTTCTAGCAGCAGTCTTTCTTTTAATCCCTCCACATCCTTGCAAGGATGTCAGTAGCAATCTTAATTTTATAGTCTCAGCGATGTGGAGTAACTTGAGGTAGGTCAACAGCCGATCAGTACATGTTCTTCCCCACAAAACTGTAATGCTTCCCACCTTTCAGAGCTGCTGGCTGGGGAAGAGCTAGGAGAGCAAAGGTGAGTGTTTCACAGACAATTTGTATAATGCATTCACTGCCTTAAAACGGGACTGAAAACTGGCCAGTGCATAAGAGAACAGGGGCAATGGCAATGTAGAGAGAAATGGCACATCTTATGTAAGAGTTTTGGTTATTTATTGCTGTGTAACATCCCACTCCAAAATGTAGTGGCTTAAAACAACAATCATCCATACGCTTTCTAAGTTCTGCAGGTTGCGTGGGCTCAGCTGGGCAGTTCTTCTGCTTTCATTGCTCAGCTTTCCTTACATGGTTGCTGGAATTGACTAGGATGACTAGGATGTTAGAGGGGCTGGGCCTTGGCCTCGCTTTCTCTCTGTGAGATCTTACCAGCACAGTAGCCAAACTTCTTATAATACATAGCATCAAATGTCTCCCAAAGGTGAGTGACACGAGAGAGAGGAAGCAGAAGTTGCCAATACCTTTTAAGGCTACACCAGAATTGAGATAGTTTAGCTTCCACTGCCTTCTATTGGTTAGAACCAATCACAGGGCCAGCAAAAATTCCGTGAGGAGGGACCATTCAAGGTTGTGACTATAGGGTCTGGGCTATATGGTCCCTTTGGGGCCATCTTTGGAAACTAGCTACCCCGACAGACTCATTTGCATTTGTGTTTCAGTTCTTCCGCTTACAAACTAAATGTCTGAACCACGTACTTAAGTCTCAGACCCTCAGTTTCCTGATCTCTGAAATGGAAATTATAACATCTGCCTCATTGACTGGCTACAAAGTTTAAATTAAACAGTGTAAAACTGTGTATGTCACAGTGCTTAAAATACAGTAGGCACTCAGAGCATTCTTTCCCCCTTTCTTTTCTTGGGAAAGACAGAAAAACTGAAACGGCCAGCCAATATAATAATCAAACATACTAATTTTGAGTTACTTGCATGCAGTTGAAAAATAGACACCAATACACAGGAACGTTGGGATTTAAGTCTCTTTTAGCCTGGCTGTGAAGCCATATACATACACAGTAAGTAATAATTAGTTGCCTAGAATAGCTGCTCTACAAGAGGCACAGATAGGAACTATCATAGGGGTTCTGAGGAAGGAAAGCTTGGTGATGCTGTGGAGGATTAGGAAAGAAGGCTTCCTGGAGGAGGGGGTGCACAGCTGAGCCCTTGAGAGTGGGAAGTATTTGGATGGGGAAGGAGGAGGGGGTGAACTCTCCAGGCAGGAGGACTATTGGCCATTTATTGAGAGCTTTATATATGCCAGACCCTCTTCTAACCCTTTTACACATACGAGTCCATGTCCTCCTCACAATAATCCTGAGTTTAGGTGGTTTTGCCCCATTTTAAAGATAAGGAAAGTGAGGCACAGAGAAGCTAAGAAACTTGCTCAGTATCCCAGAGCTGGGCTTGGCTCTAGAATCTGTACTTGCAGCCATGTTCATCTCCACTACCTGGGGCTGGTAAGTGGATTAAGGATTGCACTGTGCAGCTTTTATAAGAATATGGCCTTTATACTGCAGGCAATAGCATCCTAGGAGAAGATGTTCAGTGAAGCTATTCATGTGACAGCTTAGCTGTGCTGTTCAACACAGTAGCCGCTAAGCACACTCGGCTATTTACATTTAAATATACGTTAATTGCAACGAAGTTAAATGAAAAAGTGAGCTCCTCATTCACAGTAGCCACATTTCAAGGGCTCTGTGGCCCTGTGTGGTTGGTGGCTGTTATACTGGACAGTACAGTCACAGAACATTTCCATGATCACAGAAAGTTCTATTGACAGTGCTGAGTTAGCAGAACTGCTAAGATGGCATTTATAGGCGACCAAGGGAGGCCAAGGCAGTTATGGCTGGATGGAAAGCCAGTTGAGAGGGTGCAATGTCAGGGAAGTCCGTGGCTGACAATGGTAAAAATGTAAATTAGTCCATGTATCCATTCATTCATCGGTTCCATAAATATAGAACACAGCATGCTTGGCAACAGAGGAAGGTATGGGACATCGTACAAGGCTGGAGGAGCGCAGTGGAGAGCGGACATCACAGAAAGACTAATGTTTGCTCCAAGACCTGAAGGATTGCTAGGCATTGGCCATGTGGAGAAGACAAGAAGAGCGTTCCTACTAGCAGGACCTGCTTGTGCCCAGATTCAATATATTACATGGGGTGGCCGCTACACAAATTGCTCTGGATTGTGGGAGGGAGAGGTGTGCGTTGTGTAGGGCTGTGGCGGGAGAAAAGCAAGAAAGGTGAGCAAAAGAGAGAGGAACGGAGGGAACAGGAAAATTTCCAACAGATTGTGGGAGTGGAGGTGCGAGTTGCTGAGAGGAAACCAGGAAGAAAATTAGAGCATAGAGGGAGAAAGTCTGCATTGCACACAGGCCTTGGGAAGAAACACAGAGCAAGGAGGTCTGCATTGCATGAAGGCCTTTACCAGGCCCCTCCTGGCATTGGTGTCGGGTTGGAGATCTCCTGGATTCCTCACAAGGCACACATGTTTGCACAAGTTGACAGTGCTGCTTCTGTAGCAATCCAGAGATAGCAGAATTGGGTTTGCACTGGGAGGGTGGAAGGCTGGGAGTAGAATCACACACACTCAGCCCTTGGGAGGCTCTAAGATACTCTCAGAGGAAGTAGAATGCCTTCACCTCCTCCTTTTGCGGAGAGCAAAAACGTGAACTTCGGGGCTGGAGAAGGAAGGGAGTTCACATAGAGTGTGCCCCCTTCTCTGCATTTTGCACCCATCGAATCTTCTAATCCTTGCACAGGCACTGTTTGGCAGGAACTATTATTATCCCCATCTTATGGACAAAGCAGCAGAAACTTGGTAAGGTCAGAGATCATACAATATGTGATGGAGGTGGGAGATTTGACCATGGGATCCTTTTCCTTGAATGATTTTGGGAAGGGGCAGGGAAGAGGTGTCGCTCCTTCCCTGAGGCCACTTGTCCCACAGGACGGGTGGAGCCTATAGAACAGTCATGAGGTTAAGAAATAAAAGCGAGTTCAAAAAGTTTTCATGCTATTAAAAACACAACAGCCTTATTTTGTAATTCTATATCTCTGATTACAAAATGATTAGCTAAGATTAGTTAATATTAACCTTTTGGAGATAATATTATCATATTTAAATTACTTTGCAATTTTCCAATTAAGTTTGCTTCTAAATGGTGCCTCTAATTAGCCAGAGCGATAAGTTGACCAGATAACAAAGAGATCTTTGAAATCTTAGATAGCAGAGTCCATAGTGACAGCCGAAGTCCCCTCAAAGGTGGCACCTGCTGTCCCCGCAAAGGGAGAACAGCACGGGTAACCAGACAGCGTCCTTGGGGCTTCTGGAGGAAAAACTTCACTGGGGGCAGTGGCTCACGCCTGTAATCCCAGCACTTTGGGAGGGCGAGACAGGCAGATCACCTGAGGTCAGGAGTTCAAGACCAGCCTGGAGAACATGGTGAAACCCTGTAGCTACTAAAAATACAAAAATTAGCTGGGCATGGTGGCGGGCCCCTGTAATCCCAGCTACTTGGGAGGCTGAGGCAGGATAATTGCTTGAACCCAGGAGGCAGAGGTTGCAGTGAGCCAAGATCTTGCCATTGCACTCCAGCCTGGGCGACAGGAGCAAAACTCCATCTCAAAACAAACAAACAAACAAACAAACAAAACAAAACAAAAAACCTTTGCTACTGAACAAAAGACCATAAATTATGCCATCAATATTTAAGAAGATTCATTAATTCTACAACATTCTACAGAGCAGTTAAGACTAGTGTCATGTGGAGTATTGGAGACAGAAAACTGGAGAATCGTTATCTCCTGACCTAAATGAGTTCAAAGTCTAACAAGGAAGATAAGAAGGCAAGGAACAATTATAAGTGCTATAATTTATATAGCACTAATATCCCATGCGTAGAAGGAAGAATTGATAAGATTGAAATACAGAAGGCATTGCTGATAAATAAATGCATAAAAAATAAGTTATCCTGATGCCTGAGCTGGAAAACCAAATTTCCACCATCTATGTAATTAGGGTTCAATCAAGGATGCTTGACAAAAATTCAATTTAAAAAATAACTATCAAGGCTGGGTGCAGTGACTCATGGCTTTAATCCCAGCATTCTGTGAGGCTGAGGCAAGAGGATTGCTTGAGCCCAGGAGTTCAAGATTAGCCTGGGCAATATACCAAGACCCCCATCTCTATAAAAACTTAAAAAAAAAAAAATTCGCTGGGGCTGGCCGGGCGCAGTGGCTCATGCCTGTAATCCCAGCACTTTGGGAGGCCGAGGCAGGTGGATCATGAGGTCAGAAGATCAAGACCATCCTGGCTAACACGGTGAAACCCTGTCTCTACTAAAACTACAAAAAATTAGCGAGGTGTGGTGGCGGGCACCTGTAGTTCCCAGCAACTCGGGAGGCTGAGGCAGGAGAATGGCGTGAACCCAGGAGGAGGAGCTTTCAGTGAGCCGAGATCTCGCCACTTCACTCCAGCCTGGGCGACAGAGTGAGACTCCGTCTCAAAAAAAAAAAAAAAAATTAGCTGGGGCCAGGCGTGGTGGCTCATACCTGTAATCCCAGCACTTTGGGAGGCAGAAGTGGATGGATCACTTGAGGCCAGGAGTTTTGGCCAGCATGGTGAAACCCCACCTCTATAAAAAATGCAAAAATTAGCCAGGGATGGTGGTGTGCACCTATAGTACCAGCTACTTGGGAAGCTGAGTCAGAGACTCCCGTCTCTAAAAAATAAATTTTTAAAAATTAGCTTGGCTTGGTGGCACATACCTATAGTCCCAGCTACTCAGGAGGCTGAGGCGGGTGGGTCAATTGAATCCAGGAGTTTGAGGCTGTGGTATGCTGTGATCATGACACTGCCCTCCAGCTTGGGTGTCAGTGTGAGACCCCATCTCTACAATAAATAAATCAATAAATAATAAATCAATAAATAATCAAGAGCTCATCATTCCAAAGACTGAGGTTGTTATCAGTTGCTCAAAGATGGTCTCCAAGTACAGAATTGAAGCCATCAGGGAAGCAGTCAGGACCCCAGGACCCCACTTGGCTGTGCGAGGGTACGTCCTGGGATTTGATCTACCAGTCTTAGTCTTCAGGTGGGATCGGTCACATGAGCAACGGAAAGATAATTAATTTGGTTTAAATAGGGCATTGAGTCTACAACAAGAATCATGAAGATATTCACCCCTGTGGTCCAGGTGCCCTCGTCCTGGGAATATGTCTGTCTAGGCTTGGGTTCCCCCAGAAGTAGGATTCAAGAGCAAGAAATTTATTTGGGAGGTTGTGATGGTTAATTTTACGTGTCAACTTGACTGGGCTAAGGGATTCCCCAGAGAGCTGGTAAAACAGTATGTCTGAATGTGTCTGTGAGGTTGTTTCCAGAAAAGACTGGCATTTGGATCAGTGTACTGAGTAAGGCACACCCACCCTCCCCAGTGTGGATGGGCATCATGGAGGACCTGAGTAGAACAAAAAATGAGCTGGGATATCCGTTTCTCCTGCCTTTGGACATCAGAGCTCCTGGTTCCTGGGCCTTTAGACTTGGAGAGGGTTAGACCAGTGGCTTTCGTGGTTCTCCAGGTTGCAGACAACAGATTATGGACTTCTTAGCTTCCATGATCATAATGATTCTCCTGCCTCATTCTCCCACGTGGCTGGGATTACAGGGGCATGCAACCACACCGAACTAATTTTTGTATTTTTTGTAGAGAAGGGATTTCGCTATGTAGACCAGGATGGTCTTAAACTCCTGGTCTCAAGTGATCCACCTGACTCGGCCTCCCAAAGTGCTGGGATTACAGGCATCAGGCATGAGCCACTGTGTCTGGCCTATTTGGTTCCTTTTTTTTTTTTTTTTAGACAGTTTTTGCTCTCGTCGCCCAGGCTGGAGTCTAATGACGCAATCTTGGCTCACTGAAACCTTTGGCTCACTAAAACCTCCACCTCCCAGGTTCAAGCAATTCTTCTACCTCAGCCTCCTGAGTAATGGGATTACAGGCACACACCACCATGCCCTGCTAATTTTTGTATTTTTGTAGATATGGGGTTTCACCATTTTGGTCAGGCTGGTTCCAAACTCCTGACCTCAGGTGATCCACCTGCCTCGGCCTCCCAAAGTGCTGGGATTACACGTGTGAGCCACCGTGCCTGGCTCTGGTTTTTTTTTTTTTTTTTTTTTTTTGCTTTATTTATTGATTTTCTTTTTTTATTATTATAATATCCATCTATCTATTCATCTGTCTATGTGTCTACGTATCTATGCATCTATCTATCTATCTGTGTCTATTGATCTGTCTATCTCCTATTGATTCTGTTTCTCTGGAGAAGCCTAAGATTTGAACCTAGGAAATAACAGCAGGGGAATGAGGACCTAAGATAAAGGAGGAGAAAAGATGTTAACAATACATTCTCAAGCCTATCACCATCATGAGCAACTGAAACTCAGTCTGGCTGGGGATCTCCTGGAGCCGGTGGGAACACGCCTCAGAGTTATCTTCAGGAGTCAGGGCATTGATTCACCAATTCTGCTCAGTCAAGGTTGAGAGTTTCTCCTGAGAGGTGCTAACTTCCAGGCACTTCCATCCTGTCGCACATATGCAGAGGGAGGCAGAGCCACAGATGTCTGCATGGCAGGTGTGTGGGTTAGGGTGAGCACTGATAGTGTCTGCTACAATCCTCAAGAGATAACTCAGCCCAGGCTAAAGCATGCATGCAAGAAGATGTTCAAAGTTGTGTTGAGAAATGAGAAACAGATGACTAAAATCCACATGACCTGTCCAGCAATATGGGACTGATTTAGCAATGTCCATTTAGTAAAAGGAGGCTCTGCCACCACCATGTCAATTTCAAAGCCCATTAGCAACATGGAAAAGCCTTCCTGTCTAATGCTAAGCAGGAAATGCTTATGAACTAATCACAGACACTACAGTAGTGCCTGGGAAAACACCTGTCTTCAAGGGAACAAGGTGTATGAAGGAACCCTGAAGAAATGAAAATGTGTTAGGGTAATGGGACCATGGGAATTCTTCTGCTGTGTTCTCTTTACGATCTAAAGGAGAACCAAGATTAAATATGACTGATAAAGCCGCCAATTCCTATAGAGAAATATACTCCTCTTCCCCGGCCAGGGCTTCCTAGATTCCCCCCCAAATAGACTCCTTGAGGCCAGGTGCAATGGCTCACACCTGTAATCCCAGCACTTTGGGAGACCGAGGAGGGCGGATCATTTGAGCCCAGGAGTTCAAGACCAGCCTGGCTAACATGGTGAAACTCCATCTCTGCTAAAAATACAAAAATTAGCCGGATGTGATGGCGTGTGCCTGTAATTCCAGCTACTCAGGAGGATGAGGTAGGATAACTGCTTGAACCCGGGAGACGGAGGCTGTAATGAGCCGAGACGGCGACACTGCAATCCAGCCTGGGTGACAAAGTGAGACTGTCTCAAAAAAAAAAAACAAAACCCGAAAACAAAAAGCAAATAGACTCCTTGCTCTTAATCTTGGTCTCAGTTGGCTTCTGGGGGACTCAAAGTAAGATGGGAATATTCCCCAGACTGGAATAACTGGAATAACAGGGCATAACTATCTTTATGGTTCTTTTTATGGACTCAATGCCTTATTTTCATTTTTTATCTTTTGAGATGGAGTTTCGCTCTTGTTGCCCAGGCTGGAGTGCAATGGTGCGATCTTGGCTCACCCCAACCTCTGCTTCCCTGGTTCAAGCAATTCTGCCTCAGCGTCCCCAGTAGCTGGGATTTCAGGCATCTGCCACCATGCCTGGCTAATTTTGTATTTTTAGCAGAGTTGGGGTTTCTTTACGTTGGTCAGGCTGAGTCTCGAACTCCTGACCTCAGGTGATCCACCTGTCTCAGCCTCCCAAAGTGCTGGGATTACAGGCGTGAGCCTCTGTGCCTGGCCTCAATGCCTTATTTAAACCAAACTTGCTGTCTTTCTGTTTTCATATTGCTGATCCCACTTGGAGGCTCAGACAGCTGGATCAGATCACTGGAAATAATGCTCACAGGGTCCAGCCATGTCCTGACTACTTTCAGTGGAGCTTCATGCACACAGAGGTTAAGGGACATTGGGAGCTGATGTCAACAAGAAGAACACTGTGCCCAGGAGTCTGCAATTTATCAGAATGTAAAGAATGTGAACATGGAATTTAGCCTGCAGATTTGCATTTGTTATCAAATGTCCCCAAGCAACTTCCATTAGGGACATAAATTAAGCCTTTACCCTTTCTATTATCACTGCGTGTGACTTTCCACAGAGTTTTCGAAGGAAAGTTATTAGAAGGTTGACCTCTAGAGATAACAGGCCTGTTCTGCTCAGCCTGTGTCCTAGCCTGAGTCAGCAACGATCCTGCATCCTATCCTGGGCTCTAGCCCTTTCCCATTCTCTGTCTGGCAGGGTCACTCCAGAAGGATTGCAGTGGTTTCTAGGAAAATGACAGAGGCAACAGGGTAATCTCCAGGGAACTGGGAGATGGGGCCAGGCTGGCAAATATTCCTTGAGTCTTATTATGAGCCAGACATGGGGTAGACAGAGATTAAGAGATGTCCCTTCCCTAAGAAATTCACACAGTAAAACAACCCAAATGTCTATCAACCGATAATAGATAAAATGTGGTTTATCCATAGGATGGGATATAATTCAGCCATAAAAAGGAGTGAAGTACATGCTACAACGTGGATGAACCTTGAAAACATGATGCTAAGTGAAAGTAGCCAAACACAAAAGTCCACGTATTGTATGACTCCATTTAGGTGAAACATCCAGAATAGGCAAATCCATAGAGTCAGAAAATAGATTAGAGATACAAAAATCAGCTGGGCGTGGTGGCACGCGCCTGTAATCTCAGCTACTCGGGAGGCTGAGGCTCGAGAATCACTTGAACCCAGGAGGTGGAGGTTGCAGTGAACCAAGATCGAGCCACTGCACTCCAGCCTGCATGACAGAGCACGACTCCGCCTCAAAAAAAAAAAAAAAAAAAAAAAAAAAAAAAGATTAGAGGTTGCCACGTGATAGAGGAGGGGCAATGGGGAAAGAGAAAGAGTGACTTATGTCAGAGCAAGTTAACGGTCTAAAGCCAAATATTAGACAACTGCATTCTCTAATGTCTCTGGCTGGAGGAATTATATACCTTACACCTTTTCTGAACACTCCAGGGTCTCACCACATTGCAAGTCTCCCTCTGTAACCTCAGATTACTAATTTCTTATGCAGACCACATCATCCAACTATGGGCTTTTATTTTTATTTTTTTGAGACAGAGTCTCATTCTGTCGCCCAGGTTGGAGTGCAGTGGTGTGATCTCGGCTCACTGCAACCTCCGCCTCCCAGGTTCAAGTGATTCTCCTGCCTCAGCCTCCTGAGTAGCTGGGATCACAGGCACATGCAACCACGCCTGGTTAATTTTTTGTATTTTTAGTAGAGATGGGGTTTTGCCACGTTGGCCAAGCTGGTCTCCAACTCCTGACCTCAGGGTGATCCGCCCGCCTCGGCCTCCCAACGTTTTGGGATTATAGGTGTGAGTCATCTCGTCCAGCTCTTGTATGTGTTTTGTTGTTGTTGTTTTGTTTTTGTTTTTGTTTTTGTTTTTTTGAGACTGAGTTTCACTCTTGTTGCCCAGGCTGGAGTGCAATGGCGTGATCTCAGCTCACTGCAACCTCTGCCTCCCAGGCTCAAACAATTCTCCTGCCTCAGCTTCCCAAGTAGCTGGCATTACAGGCATGCACAACCATGCCTGGCTAATTTTTTTCTGTTTTGAGTAGAGACCAGGTTTCACCATGTTGGCCAAGCTGGTTTTGAATTCCTGAGCTCAAGCGATCCACCCACCTCGGCCTCCCAAAGTGCTGGGATCACAGGCGTGAGCCAACGCGCCCGGCCTCTTGTATGTTTCTTATGAGCTATATTATACACATACAAATAAATATTTAGATATGTTTTTATGCAAATGGGACTGAATTATATACAATATCTCATACTTAGCTTTTAATATTAACAAAAATCTCACCAGGTACATTGGCTCACATCTGTAATCCTAGCACTTTGGGAGGCTGAGGTGGGTGGATTGCCTTAGTTCAGGAGTTCGAGGCCATCCTGGGCAACTTGGTGAAAGCCCATCTCTACTAAAATACAAAAAATTAGCAGGGCGTGGTGGTGCCTGCCTGTAGTCCCAGCTACCCGGGAGGCTGAGACGCGAGAATTGCTTGAACCCAGGAGGTGGAGGCTGCAGTGAGCTGAGATTGCGCCACTGTACTCCAGCCTGGGCGACAGAGCGAGACTCTGTGTCTCAAAACAAACAAATAAAAAACAAAAACCTTAGGGATCCTTCCAAATTTGCAGAGGAAGAATTTGTTCATTTTAAAAGTGGTTATATATGATAGACCATGTTTTGTGAACCCGTTTCCTATCAATGGACATTTAGGTTGTTTCCAATTTTTCCTTCTTAACAAATTCTGCCAAGAATAATCTTATTCATATGGCATTTCACACATGTATGAATTTACCTGTTGGTGTAATTCCTAGATGTGTAATTGCTACATTATAGAGTTTGTGCTTTTAAAATTTTTATGGATATTATCACATTGCCCACAATAGAGGTTGTACCAATTTACCACCAGCAAGCAGAGAGACAGCTTGTTTCTCCACATTTGGGAGGATGTGTTTGGAAATACTCTCGGAGGCCAGACCATACAAAGCCTTGTATACAAAGCTAGGAAATTTGAACTTGATCCATGGACCATGGAAACCCACGGGAAGGTGTAAGTAGTGGATAAGGATGGTCAGTTCTGAGCTTATGACATCCAATAAATTTTTTAGGGGATTTTTATTCTCCAGCAGGTATGGGTGATGAATAATGTGGTGAATCAGAGAGGGGACCAAATATCTATTAGGATTTCAGCCACGCTGGGGAGAGAATGGGTATCATTTGGGCACAGCTGCCGCTCGGCACAATGGGCTTGGATATAAAAGCAACTTGGTTTCTTTACCGTCTTCCTGCCTTCCTGCCATTCTCCAACCTTCCTCCCATTTTTCTTTTATCACACACTTCCCACATGCTGATGGCTTTGCACGAAACATACAGCCCTCAGGGTAATGACATAAAACCAATAGCAAGGACTTTTTATCCACCGCTAACAGTTGACTGAAAGATAAGCAGACAGGTGATATAGCAACTTTATCTTTCCCGAGAAGACCATCTGACAAATTAATAGGCTTTGGAGCAGGCGTGGAACAAAGAGCTGGGTGACGCAAAAACGCAGACACTGTCAAGCTGAGCCTTTTGTTTCTTCAACAAAAGGTAGCTGCCATTATGTGATGCAAAGACAGAAGGGAAGATGGATGACGGGTGGATGTGAGGGCACCCGCATATGAAAGTCCCAAGAGCGAGCTCCATCCAGAGGCCCCAGCAGTGGTTCAAGCATGAGTGCAGTGGGCTTGGTACTCCTGGTGCTTGCTCTGAGGCTTAGGGCCACCACTGTTAAGCCAGAGGAAGGCAGCTTTTGCTCTAACAGCCAGGTGGCCTTCAGAGATGCTTGCTATGAATTTGTGCCACTCGGACGCACCTTCCGTGATGCCCAGAGCTGGTGCGAGGGGCAAGGAGGCCATTTGGTCTTCATTCAGGACGAAGGCACCCAGTGGTTTCTGCAGAAGCACATCTCCCAGGACAGGGAATGGTGGATTGGACTCACGTGGAACTTGGCACGGAATGGAACCACGGAGGGTAGGTGCCGTGATCGCTGTTTTATGAGAAACTTGTGTTTGCAATTCTTGCCATCACTTCTCACCCAAAGAAACATGGAACAAATTAATACGACCTAATTCTCATGGTATGGATACCCTTCCCTTTGGTTGTGTTGTGGATTAAATAATTCATGTCTAATGCCTAGCACAGAATCTGGCACATCAAATTCTGACCCTCTAGAAATGTTCGCTTCTTTGCCTGTTCCTAATAGTAATACTCTGACTGCTTTGATTCTTGCTAGGATAGTGCCAGGCACTATCCTGAGTGCTTCGTTGTCACTATCATGTTGAATTCTTACAATAACAATGAGAAAAATCATGTCCCCATTTTTTATTTATTTATTTATTTATTTATTTATTTATTTTTGAGACAGAGTCTCTCTCTGTTGCCCAGGCTGGAGTGCAGTGGCACGATCGCGGCTCACTGCAACCTCTGCCTCCCTGGTTCAAGTGATTCTTCTGCCTCAGCCTCCCAAGTAGCTGGGATTACAGGCAGATGCCACTATGCTCGGCTAATTTTTTGTATTTTGAATAGAGACGGGGTTTCACCGTGTTAGCCAAGATGGTCTCGATCTCCTGACCTTGTGATCCGCCTGCCTTGGCCTCCCAAAGTGCTGGGATTACAGGTGGTAGCCACTGCGCCCGGCCTTATGTCCCCATTTTACAGATGAGAAAACTGAGTCTCAGAAAATAATGACTAAGCTATTTTTTAAAGTGTCCCACTTGTCTTTCCCCACTTGCTCTGACATTAAAGCAGACCAAGTGCTTAGCATAGTTCCATTCACAGTCTAATTTTAATGGTCCTGAAAGTCTTAGTCCTCCTTTATTCTCTGAAGGCTCCTTCCCCCACCCAGTGCAGTCAGGTGAGTCGTTCTCTACGAGCCTGCAGGGCCCTGTTCACACTTCCAAGGCAGTACTTTTGCTGTGGCTTAAACAGCTAAGTTGTCTGTCTCCCTCCTAGACTACAAGCCCTTCAAGGAAAGAACCATACCCTGGCCATTTTTGTTTTCCCAGTGCCTAGACACAATTGAGAATGGACAAGGAGGCTGGGCGTGGTGGGTCACGCTTGTAATCCCAGCACTTTGGGAGGCCGAGGCAGGTGGATCACTCAAGGTCAGGAGTTCGAGATCAGACTGGCCAACATGGTGAAACCTCATCTCTACTAAACATAGAAAAATTAGCTGGGCATGGTAGCACGCACCTGTAATCCCAGCTACTCAGGAGGCTGAGGCAGGAGAATCCCTTCAACCCAGGAGACAGAGGTTCCAGTGAGCCAAGATTGTGCCATTGCACTCCAGCCTGGACAACACAGAGAGAAACTGTCTCAAAAAAAAAAAAAAAAAAAAAAAGAGAGAGAGAGAATGGACAAGAAAACATTTGCATTTAAGCCTCACACGGATCCCATGAGGTAAGCGTGGCTACTCTCCTTTCACGGAGGAGGAAAATGAAGTCTAGAGAGAAAAGACGTGCTCAACATGACATAGCTGGTGGTGCACAGTGGGGTCTCTACCAGTCAGAGCAATGCTAAGCCTGACTTTCCTACTGGGCACCTTGGTACCCAGAGGTTCTCTTTGCCCCTGTAGAAGCTACTGGGTTTGAGAAATGAGACATGGCCTGTGCCGAACAGCCACAGAACAACACCAGCGTGGATGGAAGTGTTTTAATAAATGAGCTACCGGGAAGCTCATTTAAGAAAACCCACAGCCAAGGGGATTTGAATTCTTAAGACGCCCCTGCAGACAATGTCTCCTGAATGGTTTCTTGAGGTGTAGATGCAACAATTGCCGATTTCTGTGTATTGAACATCCTTTCACATCCAGCTAGAGGAGGTGTGCCTATTAACACCTCTCCAGGGATACCGTGTGGCTGTTGCAGAAAATGAGGTAGTTCTAACTAGGCTGATAGGCAACAACCTCCAATATTTAATGTCATTTAAGAAGCAAGGGCCAGATACTGTGTGCAATCACATGACATTTATGTAAGTAGATTTCAGGCACTCATAGATGCTGATGTGTGGATACAATTCAATTCATCCTGGAATCATTTATGAGAAACATAACAATGATGGAGAAGCCCATAGCTTGGAGAGGGAAGATACTTTCATTTTAGACCCTTTGGATTTTTTAAAACCATTTCATTTGCATGAGTCTCTTTCAATAAATTAATAATTACGTTTCTGAGTACCCATAATAAATGTTTGTTTTTTGAGACAATCTCACTCTGTTTCCCAGGCTGGAGTGCAGTGGCGGCACCATCTTGGCTCACTGCGACCTCTGCCTCCCGGGTTCAAGTGATTCCCCTGCCTCAGCCTCCCTAGTAGCTGGAATTATGGCTAATTTTTGTAATTCTAATAGAGACAGGGTTTCACCATGTTGGCCAGTCTGGTCTTGAACTCCTGGCCTCAAGTGATCCATCCACCTTGGCCTCCCAAAGTGCTGGGATTCCAGGCGTGAGCCACCATGCCCAATCCATAGTAAATTTTGATATTTAGTGTTTTCTAGCTCTCTGGTGTCCTCGACATGGTTCTGTTTTACACACACACACACACACACATAAACACACACACACTCCTTTTAAAGAGTTACATCAGTATTTTCAAGGATCTGAAGAGGCCCAAAGTAACAATAACTGCTCATGTTTTAACTCAGCACTGCCCAGGTGTACTTGGCAAGGGACACAGCTTATGAAGAAGATGATATGTTAAAACATCCCTTAGCCCACTTCTGGACTTTATTATTATTATTATTATTATTATTATTATTATTATTATTTTGAGACAGGGTCTTGCTCTGTCTCCCAGGCCAGAATATAGGGGCACGATCATGGCTCACTGTAGCCCCAACCTCAGCTCAAGCAATCCTCCCAACTCAGCCTCCCGAGTAGCTGGGACCACAGGCAGCATGCCTGACTAAATTTTTTTTTTTTTTTTTTTGTAGAGACAAGGTCTCTCTAGGTTGCCCAGGCTGGTCTTAAACTCCTGGGTGCAAGTGATCCTCCCACCTCCACAATGTTAGGATCACAAGCATGAACCACTGGGCCTGGCCCCTGGCTCTTCCTTAGACTGTGCTCAGGGCCAGGTGTGGTGGCTCATGCCTGCAATTCCAGAACTTTGGGAGACTGAGGTGGGTGGAGTTTGAGCTCAGGAGTTGGAGGCCAGCCTGGGCAACAAGACAAAATCCCTGTCTCTGCCAGAAATACAAAAAAATCAGCCAGGCATAGCGGCTTGCACCTGTGGTCTCAGCTACTCAGGAGGCTAAGCTGGGAGGATCACTTGAGCCTGGGAGGTGGAGCTTGTAGCGAGCTGAAATGGCACCACTGCACTCCAACCTGGGTGACAGAGCAAGACCCCATCTCAAAATAAATAAATTATTGATTATGGTTAGACAGAGCTGGCAGCCTCATTTATTTAATCAAAGCACCTTTTGCAAGCTCTCCAATTTGGTGTTCCAGTTCTTACATTGAGTGTTTGATGATGACAGTGAGGAAGAGAACTTTATTGGTCCTGGAGAGAGAGGTCTCCATCCCATCAACATTAATTGCTGACCTGCTGCCCAGCAGCGGCAGAGCAGGCGTGAGTCCTGCATTTGTATAAATGGAGTTTGAAGACAGTTACTGAGTCCTGGTGGTCGTGTTGCCCTTCCAGGGCCGGGGACTTGGTTGGACACCTCCAATGTGACCTACAGCAACTGGCATGGAGGGCAGGCCGCCGCTGCCCCTGACACCTGCGGCCACATCGGGAGAGGCCCTTCCTCTGAGTGGGTGACCTCGGACTGCGCCCAGACCTTCGCCTTCATGTGCGAGTTCCGTGAGTGGCCCGTGCCCCTGAGTTCCCATCTCCCACCCTGTCTCCCTGCCTGCCTGCAGGCCTCTCTCCAGGCTCGCCTCTCCCTCCTGTTCCTGCCTCCATCTCTCTGACCTTCTCTTTCTCTTGCCGCCTCCCCTGTCTCAGTTTTCTCTGGGTCTTTCTTCCCCTTCTGTTTTTCTCTAACTCTTTCTCTTTCTCTCCCTTGGTCTCTGACTCTCTTCCTGCCTCTGTGGTCTCTCTGTCTCCCTCTCGCTCTTCAGGGCCTGCCGGTTTCTGTCCCCATCTCCCTGCTGAAGAGCTGACCTGTGTGTGTTTTTCTGACCTTACCTCTGTCCGCAGCTTTCTCTCCCTGTCTCTATGCATCTCTCTCTGCCCACGTGATGCTCCGTCACTCATCCCTGCCCTGTCCCCATCCACCTGCCCACCTTCCTGCCTGCCCACCTGTCTCATCTCTGTTTCTGTCTTTCCCGCTTTTTTTTTTTTTTTTTTCTGAGATGGAGTCTTGCTCTGTCACTGAGGCTGGAGTGGTGTGATCTTGGCTCACTGCAACCTCCGCTTCCCAGGTTCAAGTGATTCTCCTGTCTCAACCTCCCGAGTAGCTGGGATTACAGGTGCGAGCCACCATCCCCAGATAATTTTTGTATTTTTTTTAATAGAGACGGGGTTTCACCATGTTGGCCAGGCTGGTCTCGAACTCCTGACCTCAAGTGGTCCGCCCGTCTCGGCCTCCCAAAGTGCTGAGATTACAGGGGTGAGCCACGGAGCCCGGCCTGCATGAGGTTTAGTATGAGAGTGGGGGCACAGAGAAGCTAACTAACTTGCTGAAGGTCACACAGCAGCAGTGTGTGGCTGGGCTGGATCTGATCCCAGGGAACCTGGCTCAGCACAATGCTGCCGACAATCATATTCAATTTATCACCCCTGCCAAGCGGCTCCTATCGGGTTCTTGCATCTCAGCCCAACCCCCGGGACCCTCCTCTTCCCGTGAACCGGCACTCACCTGTCTGTAACCGTGAGCCCCCCTAATGTCTTGCCTTCCCTTTGCCTCAGGGGTTGGCCAGAGCCTGGCCTGCGAGGGACTCAATGCCACCGTGCACTGTGGCTTGGGGCAGGTCATCCAGGTCCAGGATGCCGTCTACGGGCGCCAGAATCCCCATTTCTGCACCCAGGATGCCGGGCGTCCTTCAGATCTGGAGCAGGGATGCAGCTGGGCCAACGTCAAGGAGGAGGTGGCAGGTAGGGCCCAAGGGCTCTGCAGCTCTGGCGGCCAGCAGAGGGCAGTTGCTGGTATTCTGTGCTCAGCAAAGGGTTCCGGAAGCCTCTGATAATCTTCATCTCTGACCGTGGGCCTCCAACATGGGGGAAAACTGGCCAGTCCCTGCCCATCGCACGGAGCAAGGAAGCAGGGGGCTGTGGTCCACCCTCCCCGACATCAAACACAGCCATGGATCTGGTGGGCATGGCGTGCCTCGACCCCTGCTGGATGCAGGAAACATCACTTTTTTAACTTAATTTTTAAATTTTTGAAATACTCCAAACGTATAGACAAGAATAGAAAATACTGTAATGAACTCCCACAGATCTACTACCCACCTTCATCAGATCTGAACACCGTGCCTCATTTGCTTAAGATTCCCTCGTTAGAAAAATCAATACAGTCGGGCGTGGTGGCTCATGCCTGTAATCTCAGCACTTGGGAGGCCAAGGCAGGTGGATCACCTGAGGTCAGGAATTCCAGACCAGCCTGGCCAACATGGTGAAACCCCATCTCTACTAAAAATACAAAAATTAGCCGGGCTGGTGGCACATGCCTGTAATCCCAGGTATTTGGGAGGCTGAGGCAGGAGAATCGCTTGAGCCCTGGAGGCGGAAGTTGCAGTGAGCCGAAATCAGATCATCGCACTCCAGCCTGGGCGATGGAACAAGACTCTGTCTCAAAAAAGAAAAAAAGAAAAGAAAAAGGAAAAAGAAAAATGAATACAACACTAGGAGACTCCTGTGGATCCCTCTCTTTATTTTGAGAGAGAGTCTCACTCTTGCCCAGGCTAGAGTGCAGTGGCCCGATCTTAGCTCACTGCAATCTCTGCTTCCTGGGTTCAAGCGATTCTAATGCCTCAGCCTCCCGAGTAGCTGGGATTACAGGCAGGTGCCACCACTCCTGGCCAGTTTTTGTATTCTTAGAAGAGACGGGGTTTCACCATGTTGACCAGGCTGATCTCGAACTCCTGAGCTTAGGCCATCCGCCTGCCTCGGCCTCCCCAAATGTTGGGATTACGGGCGTGAGCCACTGCGCCTGCTTTATTTTCACCTTCTAGGCACGTATTCCTAAACACTACAGACTGTTGCTTTTGCAGGGCTTTTTTTTAAATCTATTTTTTTAATTTATTTTTTATTTATTTATTTTTGAGACGGAGTCTCAGTCTGTCACCCAGGCTGGAATGCAGTGGCACAATTTCTTTTCACTGCAACCTCTGCCTCCTGGGTTGAAGCGATTCTTGTGCCTCAGCCTCCCGAGTAGCTGGGACTACAGGCGTGCGCCACCACACCAGGTTAATTTTTTATATTTTTAGTAGAGACGGGGTTTCACCATGTTTGCCAGGCTGGTCTCGAACTCCTGACCTCAGGTGATCCGCCCACCTTGGCCTTCCTGGGATTACAAGTGTGAGCCACTGTGCCTGGCCACTTTGCAGGGTTTTAATGTTTATATAAATGGTATCATATTGTGTGTCGTTCTATAGAATGCATTTTTCTTTTCATTTTGGTTCCTGTGTTTTGCTCAACATCTTGTTTTTGAGATGTATTATCCGTCTTGATACATGTTGTGCTGGTTTATTTGTTTCATCTGTTGTGTAACTGTGCCGCCATTTGTCTCTTCTCCTGTTGAGAAAGGTTGGTTCTTAATCTCTGTGACTGTGAATAACGCTGAAGCCAAGCTCCTGATAGATGGTATCTTGTTCACGTGGGAGAGTTACTCTAGGGCTTTGTTTTTCTAAATCAGATTAAATCTACTTCTGAGTTGCGCTTGCCCAGTGACTAGGATTCAATTTCCGGGATTATGGGGGTTTCTTGCACCCTGCTAGGAGGTAAAAACTCCTCAGAGACTTCCCTGGTCCAGGACATCGGGAAACCCTCTTCTTTCTGCTGCAGTCACCACTGTCCCCGCTGGAGGGTCCAGGAAAGCAAGTGGCCTGCTGCTTCTTGGCTAAGTGAGGACACAGCCCCGTGTGGCCAGGCTGCAAGCCTCAGGTCCTGGGGGCCAGCCTCCCCAGTTGTGCCTTTTGGCACTCTCCTCTGAGCCTCTGCTTCTGCCCAAAGACCCTTTGAAGATTCAGGGAGGGACGCCAGTACTCCCAGAACTTTCTCCTGCCTCGGGGAACTGAGAATGGCTCCTCTGTCCTCCTGCCTTTTGGAGCAGGCATGGGGAAAGGAAACGCTAAAATCAGCTGGCTGGTTTTCACTGACTCTTCTTACTCCAGCGTTCCTGAGGCTGTGGCCCCTGCAAGGAGAAAGGGCCCCGGACGGGAGAATGGATGTACCTTCCTCACCAAGGCACTGCTGGGGCTTAGTGAGCTGTTTCCTCAAAGGCTCAGCTGCAAGTTCCTGAAATGTGGTACCCACAGCTCAGAGAGCACGTTAGAGGGGAGCCCTGTTGTGGGAGTCGGAGGAGGAGCGCAGAGAGGATCCCGCGGGGTCTGTATCTAAGCACCCTGGTCCCTCATTCATTCAGTTAGCCAATAAACACTTGGTTTTTTTTGGTGGTGCTTTTTTTTTTTTTTTTTTTTTTTTTTTTTTTGAGATGGAGTCTTGCTCTGTTGCCCAGGCTGGAGTGCAGTGGCACAGTCGTGGCTCACTGCAACCTCCGCCTCCCGGGCTCAAGCGATTCTCCTGCCTCAGCCACCCAAGTAGCTGGAATTAGAGGCAAGCACCCTCACACCCAGCTAATTTTTGTATTTTTTGTAGAGAAAGGGTTTCACCATGTTGCCCGGGCTGGTCTGTACCTCCTGGCCTCCAGTGATCCACCCACCTTGGCCTCTCAAAGTGCTGGAATTACCGGCATGAGCCACCGCACCTGGCCCAAGCTCTGTTTTTCAAAGAGCTTGCGGCGGAGTGGGGAGACAGTGATATACAGGCAATTAACTAATGCTGTGATAAATGCCGCAACCCAGAAGAGCAAACACTATCTATTTAGTCATGCAAAACTTATTTTGTACCTACTATGTGCCAGGTACTGTTCTATGTCCTGGAGATGTTGCAGTGAACCAAAAATTTTTAAAAACCTCCGACTTGATTTCCAACTCACTCCCAAGTGATGCCACTTAGGATCCCAAATGTCTTTGGGCCACATTCTGAGCCTCAAGGCATCTGGGGACCTGAAGGGATTTTAAATTTTGTCTGCAAGGCGTGTTAAATCCTGGAATTAGATCAGATTTAGTTTTTTTTTTTTTTTAAGTGGATTATATGTGGCTACGAAGAGTCATAGAAAAAACTCTGTCCTCAAGTTCTGGAATTAGACCTCTCTTTGAGTCTGTTTAATCTGAGAACAGAGATGTGGTGGTGGCTCGTGTTCCCTTTTGATCAGAGGGGCCCCCCAGATCACGGGGTGGAGGTGGGGCTCAGGAAAGCTTTACGGGGGCGGCATCAGGAGCCTGGCTGTGAGGGAAGTGCAGGATCCAGCCACGAGAAAGACTGGGGGACAAGGTGGTGAGGACATGAGGTGGCAGGCTCAGGTGTGGACTGCAGTATGAACCGTGATGGTGGAGAGAGAGCCCAGGATGGTCTCGCTGGGTAACAACAGTATTAGAAAAAAACCTCAGCAGGGACGTGGCCTCTGCGTCTTGAGGCAGTTTATCCATTACAAGGGGATGTTGAATATTATGCGTGGTTTAATTTGTGAGCTGGAAGGTGAGCCCTGCTGCCACCCCCAGTTTGTCTAAGCAAACTGCTTAGACCGAGTCCAAGGATGGGGCAGAACCCCCTGGGATGTGGGCAGCAGGGTACATGGCAAAAGGGCGGCAGGTTGGGGTTCAAATCCCAGCTCAGCCCCTGCTGCCTGGGTGATCCAGGCAAGTTGCAGAATCTTTCTAAGTTTCATGGGGCTCCTGTGAGGGTCAGGAGAACCTGGGGGAAGAGTGTAGCACCTTGTATGCACTCTGCAAATGGGGTTGAAATTTCTGCATGCTCTGTTCCAGCTGGCTCTGGGCCAGCAGTATCGGGATCAGCATCCCCTGGGAGCTTGTTAGACGTGCACACTCTCCAGCTGCACCCCATACTTACTGAATCAGAATCCTGGGGGGTAGGGTCTGAGTCTAGTTAAATGCTGACAGCTGCCAGTTAATTGGAGCTTCCACTGGGGGAACTGCTGTGTCAAGGGAGAAGAGATGCTTAAAAAAAGCAAGAGGCTGGGTACGATGGCTCACACCTGTAATCCCAGTGCTTTGGGAGGCTGAGGTGGGTGGATCATCTGACATCAGGAGTTCAAGGCCAGCCTGTCCAACATGGTGAAACCCTGTCTCTACTAAAAATACAAAAATTAGCCGGGTATGGTGGTGTACATCTGGAGCCCCAACTATTCAGGAGGGTGAGGCAGGAGAATTGCTTGAATCTGAGAGGCAGAGGTTGCAGTGAGCCAAGATGGCACCACTGCACTCCAGCCTGGGTGACATGGCGAGACTCCGTATCAAAAAAAAAAAAAAAAAATGGCCAGGGGCAGTGACTCACACCTGTAAACCCAGTACTTTGGGAGGCCGAGGCAGGTGGATCACCTGAGGTTGGGAGTTCAAGACCAGGCTGACCAACATGGAGAAACCCCATCTCTACTAAAAATACAAAATGAGCTGGTTGTGGTGGCACATGCCTGTAATCCCAGCTACTCAGTAGGCTGAGGCAGGAGAATCGCTTGAACCTGGGAGACAGAGATTGCGGTGAGCCGAGATCGCACCACTACACTCCAGCCTGGGCAACAAGAGCAAAACTCCATCTCAAAAAAAAAAAAAAAAAGAAACACAGCCCTGACACCTTGGTGTCGGCCCTGTGATATGAGCAGAGGCCAGCTGAGCCCACCCAGACTTCTGACCACCATACAGAATTGTGAGATTTAAAAAATCTGTGCTGCTTTATTTTTGTTTATTTTAGTTTTGAGACAAAGTCTTGCTCTGTTGCCTTGGCTGGAGTGCAGTGGCGCAATCTCAGCTCACTGCAACGTCCACCTCCCTGGTTCAAGTGATTCTCCTGCCTCACCCTCCTAAGTAGCTGGGACTACGGGCGCGTGCCACCACACCCAGCTAGTTTTTGTATTTTTGGTAGAGATGGAGTTTCATCTTGTTGGCCAGTCTGGCCTCGAACTTCTGACCTCAAGTGATCCACCTGACTCAGCCTCCCAAATTGCTGGGATTACAGGCATGAGCCACCATACCTGGACAAAAATCTGCGTTTTTGTTTGTTTGTTTGTTTTGAGACTGAGTCTTGTTCTGTAATCCAGGATTGGGTGCAATGGCGTGATCTCTGCTCACTGCAATCTTCACCTCTCAGGCTCAAGCTATTCTCCTGCCTCAGCCTCCTGAGTAGCTGGGATTACAGGCATGTGCCATCACGCCCAGCTAATTTTTGTATTTTTAGTAGAGACAGGGTTTTGCCATGTTGGCCAGGCTGGTCTCGAGCTCCTGACCTCAGGTAATCTGCCCACCTCTGCCTCCCAAAGTGCTGGGATTATAGGTGTGAGCCACCACTCCCAGCCAAATCTATGTAGATTTAAGTCATTAAGTTAGTGGTAAGTTGTTACAACAGTGATTGGAAATGAATACACCACCCTCCAGTCTTTCAGTAGTGCCGGCCATTGGCCAAGCCTACCTGGGAGCCAGTGGCCAAGGGAGTTTGGAAAATGTAGTTCGCTGTGATACAAGCATGGCAGGGTGAGGGTGGCTCTGTGGGCCCAGGGCCAACTGCCCAGAAGAAGTGGGACCTAGCAGGTAACTGGGAGAAGCACAGGTGGGTGTTCTGGACCTGTTTCTTTCTCCCAGGCTTCCCTGTGGGCATCTAACAGATCTCGCTGGGCAGGAGGGAGAGGTGCTGGATGACCCTGAAGCTTCTGGAATGGGCTGTCCCTGCTCCTCCCTTCTGTGGGCATGTGGTACCATGATAGACGCAGGATTCCTAATCTTGCCTCCTCTGCCGGTTCTCTGGGTGTAGATTTCTATTTTGGGCCATCTCTCTAGACGCTGCTGGACCAGTGGTTCTTGAAGTGGGGTCCCTGGGCCAGCAATGTCAGGATCAGCATCCCATAGGAACTGGTTAGAAATGCATATTCTCCAGCTGCACTCCATACCTACTGAATCAGAATCGCTGAGGGTGGGGTCTGGAATATGGTATCTTCACAAGACTCACAGGGGGATCTGTTGCAAGCTGAAGTTTGAGACCAGGATGCTAGACCCTGAACTACTTGAGGACAGAAATCCTACTTCTCCCTCACCTGAGTACCTAGCCCAGTACCTGGTCTTCAGGAGATATCAAAAGCTATTTGTTGGGCGGATGGTGGGTAAATGAATGAGTGGGTGAGAGGCCATTCATCTCTGTACAGCTCTGTTGAATGTATCCTCTTTTGTCTTGCACACCATTCCTGCTTCCGCTGGGATGTGCGTGCTTCCCAGGCCAGTGCCAGGAGCTACAGTCATGCCAGGTGGCAGCAGATGAGACCTACTTTGGAAACCTGTGTCCGACTCAGGGCAGTTACCTGTGGGTGCAGTACCAGTGCCGGGAAGGTGAGTCCCCGACTTGCTTGAGCATAGAAATGTCCCTCTGATTTTATGGCATGTCCAGCTTCCCCTGAAAACAGAGACAGCAGCCACCCACGTGGGCTGATCTCTGTGTGCTAAGAGACTCCCTCATTCAAAGTTGCTCCCCTTGGCTGGACGCGGTGGCTCACGCCTGTAATCCCAGCACTTTGGGAGGGAGGAGGATAGTCTGAGCCCAGGAGTTGGAGACAAGCCTGGACAACGTGGAGAAACCCCGTCTCTACAAAAAATCTAAAAATTAGGCTGGGTGTGGTGGCTCATGCCTGTAATCCCAGGACTTTGGGAGGCTGAGGGGAGTAGATCACTTGAAGTCAGTAGTTCGAGACCATTGGCCAACATGGTGAAACTCTGTCTCTACCAAAAAATACAAAAATTAGCCAGCCGTAGTGGCATGCACCTGTAATCCCAGCTACTTGGGAGGCTGAGGTGGGAGAATCACTTGAACCTAGCAGGCAGAGGTTGCAGTGAGCAGAGATCATGCTATTGCCCTCCACCCTGGGCGACAGAGTGAAACCCTGTCTCAAAAAATAAAAATAAATATTAGTGGGTGTGGTAGCACATACCTGTAGTCCCAGCTACTCAGTCTCTACTGAGGTGGGAAGATCACCTGAGCCTGGAAAGATCGAGGCTGCAGTGAGCCATGATCGCATCACTGTACTCCAGCCTGGGTGAAAGAGCAAGACCCTGTGAGAAAAAAAAAAAAAAAAAAAAAAAGACCCACATAAAAATACTGGACAGGTAGCCAGAAGAGAGTCGGTTATAAACAGAAATGTGCAATTTTGCTTCACAAGTGCATGCAGCATTTTATGTTTTAATCCACAGCCCTGCAGCTGATGGTGTCCAGTGAGAGTTTCATCTTTGACAATGTCACCATCTCCCTGACGTGGCTCCTCTCACCCTACATAGGAAACCTGTCCTGTATAATTAGTACAGGAGACAGCCACACTTTTGATCCCTACAACCCGCCGAGGTAAGAGAAATCTCTGAGCCTTGAGCCAGGTTGTATCATCAGTTTTTTTGCCACATAACAAACCAACCCAAAACTTGGTGGCTTAAAACAATAGTTACCATTTCTTACGGTTCTTTGGAGAGCTGGGCGGCTTTTCTTGTCTGAGTGGAGTTGGCTGGGGTAGGCTGTCCGGGAAGACCTCACTCACTCACATGCCTAGTGGTCAGCTGGATGTCAGCTAGAAGCATATGCTGCTCATCACTCAACAGGTTAGCCTAGGCTCATTCACACAGTGTTCCTAGCAGCGGAGCCCAATGCGCAAACATTTTTTCAAATCTCTGCTTGTGTTACATTTTCTAAGATACCGTTGGCCAAAGCAAGTTCCATGGCCAAGACCAGATTCAAGAGGTGGAGGAATAGACCCCACCTACTGATAGAAGGAGTGTGGAGCCACACTGCGAGGTGCTTCTATATGGGATGGGAGGAACTGTTGCTGCTACTTTTGCAAACACTCTACCTCATAGGTTTTCTTTTCTTTTCTTTTCTTTCTTTCTTTTTTTTTTTTTTTTTTTTTGAGGCAGGGTCTTTCTCCATCGCCCAGGCTGGAGTGCAATGGCTCGATCTCGGCTCACTGCAACCTCCACCTCCTGGGTTCAAGCGATTCTCCTGCCTCAGCCTCCCAAGTAGCTAGAACTACAAGCATGTGCCGCCATGCCTGGCTAATATTTGTATTTTTAGTAGGGACAGGGTTTCACCACGTTGGCTAGGTTGGTGTCGAACCTCTAACCACAAGTGATCTACCCCCTCGGCCTCCCACAGTGCTGGTAGTACAGGTGTGAGCCACAGCACATGGCCCCCTGTCACATTTGTGTTCGTGGCTGCCTTGAATGTTTCATGGTGTCAAATGAGAAACTATTTACAGTGATGTTTTGGGGGCAAATATCTGGGTGATACAAATACCTATGCCACTGTTCTGTGGGTTTCTTCCTGACTGCTATGAGTTTGTAAAGAAAACGACAGATTGTAAGTTACACAATCTTTCAGCCCCCAAATCTTGTAGAACTTGAATTTGGCATAAGTCAAAATTGCCTAAATGTAGCCCCGCTATGACCCACAGCTACACAGGACTTTTCAGTGATAAACAGTGGTTTAGAACAGAAGCAAATGGGACCAAATGTTAATGTTTGTTAAGTCTGGATGGCGAATCCAAGGGTGTTTGTTGTATTATTCTCTGGAAGTTTTTGTGCGATTAAAATCTAAGACACAGCACTGTTTGACATTTGCAGTCTCTCTGGGCATTAGCTCTAAACAACAATCACTGACATTTTTTTCTCTTTCAAAGGAAATAGATGGTGGCACCTCCTCCACCATTGCCCCACCCAAATAGTCCATCTTCCTTTACATTAAAGATTTGTTGGACCTTGAAACTACCCACCCACCTTTTTTTTGGGGGGGGGGGGGGCGGGTGGAGGATTGGCAGAGTCTTGCTCTGTCACCCAGGCTGGAGTGCAGTGGCATGATCTCGGCTCACCGCAACCTCCATATCCCAGGTTCAAGCGATTCTCCTGCCTCTGTCTCCCGAGTAGCTGGGACTACAGGCATGCTCCACCACGCCCAGCTAATTTTTGTATTTTTAGTAGATAGAGGTGGGGTTTTGCCATGTTGTCCAGGCTGGTCTTGAACTCCTGACCTCAGATGATCTGCCCATCTCGGCTTTTCAAAGTGCTGGGATTACAGGCGTGAGCGATTGTGCCTGGTCACCACCCACCTTTTAAAAATCATTTTTATAAACACTGGGAAATGCCTTTCTGATGCCTTCTTATCAATACTAGCAGCCACAGAACTCAGGTTATGATAGGGAAAATAGCATGAATTTTGATTTTTGAATGTACGGAAGCCACATTTTTTTGTGTAAATATCACTGTGCTTTTCTCTTATGTGTTGGTGCAGCCTCCTTTTTCTTAACTCATCATTAGTCTAAGAGGTGAGATGTTTAAATCAAACCCTTCGTATCCATTGTTGATAAATAATAAGAGCTCCTGGGAAGAATTGCATTGCTTAGGAGTCAGAAGACTTCTCTGTTAGAAGCTCCTTTTTACCTTGCCTTATATTCATTTGCATGGAGGGCCTTTTTTTTTTCTGTGTTTGTCATGGAAAATTTTCCACATTTCTGAAACTGTATTACGGGCCTTACAGAACAATTTGCTTTTGGTGAAATCTGTGTGAATCCAGCGTTGGTTAGCTGAGCGCCACCTTCTGGCAAATCTAGGGATTGACATTGTTCTTCCGTTAATCGGCTGCTTCTGCGCACAGCTGATATTGGGCGTGCAGAGATTTGTCTGAAACTAATAATCCACAAAACAGCAGGAGCCTTAGAGTGACCTAGAGCTAAAGTCCTCTCTCGGGGAACCAGAATTATAAGGCAAGAGCAATGGATCTAGAGAAAAGAGAGTAGCATGGACCTGAAAGCATGTGGCGTATTCAAATAACTGCAAGGACCTCGCCATGCCTGGAGTTCAGGACTCTGTGGAAGAATGAAAGATGCTGAAAAACTCAGCAGGAGCCTGGTCCTGAAGAGCTGTTGATGCTAGCCAGTCTAACGTAGGTGGGGTCTGTCAACTAAAGAAAAATCAAGCTTTTTAAATAATTAAAGTTAGTTTTGTTCAGGACGACAGACTGAGAACTACAGCCTGGGAGGTCTTTCAAAGAGGTTCTGCCAGACTGCTCCAAAACAGTGTTTCAGCTCACAGCTTCTATATGGGTTGTGGAGGTTCAGTCCACGTAAAATCACATCAAAGTTTGGGTGCAAGAGTGCATCTGCCTCTAGATGACTAAAGTATATCTTGTTGGCCGGCTTCGGTGGCTCATGCCTGTAATCCCAGCACTTTGGGAGGCCAAGGTGGGCAGATCGCTTGGGGTCAGGAGCTCAAGACCAGCCCGGTCAACATGGTGAAACTCCATCTCTACTAAAAAAAAAAAAAAAAAAAAAAAAATTAGCTGGACGTGGTGGTGCATGCCTGTATTCCCAGCTACACAGGAGGCTGATGGAGGAGAATCGCTTGAACCTGGCAGGCGAAGGTTTCAGTGAGCGGAGATCCTGCTACTGCTCTCCAGCCTGAGCAACAGAGAAAGACTCTGTCTCAAAAAAAAAAAAAAAAAATCTTGTTGTAGATTGCAGAAGCATAATCACCAGCCATCTCAGATGTTATCTTTTTTTTTTTTTCTTTAAGACGGAGTCTTGCTCTGTCACCCAGGCTGGAGTGCAGTGGCGCGATCTCGGCCCACTGCAAGCTCCTCCTCCCGGGTTCACGCCATTCTCCTGCCTCAGCCTCCCAAGTAGTTGGGACTACAGGCGCCCGCCACCACGCCTGGCTAAATTTTTTTTTTTTGTATTTTTGTAGAGACGGGGTTTCACCGTGTTAGCCAGGATGGTCTCAATCTCCTGACCTCGTGATCCGCCCACCTCGGCCTCCCAAAGTGCTGGGATTACAGGCGTGAGCCACTGCACCCAGCGAGACATTATCTTATATGTAAGAAAAGGACCAGTCATTTATCTTTTTAGGGATATAGTGACTCAGGCTAGAGACGTGGAAGCCGAGCACTCTATTCTGTTTTGTCTTCAAAGTGTTCTGGAGGGCTGCCTGTCACTGCAGTCAGGGGCTTCCTGTGATTATGCTGGCTAACAGAAATGAGCACACCTATCTCCTTGAGTTTGCTACTTTGTCTCACAGGAACCAGGAAACAGACTCTGTTGTGGAGCATGGGAAGGGAGTAGTAAGATGGGGCAAGAGGAGAGTTGAACTGGGATGCAGGGGCCACAGAGACCCTGACGATCCTGCAGAAACCTCTGAGCAGAGATGGCCCTCAGAGTTGCTTCCAGTTGAGGCCAGAGAGCCAGACCATTATACCCCGGCACTGAGCACTCGTGGGGTGCAGATGTCCATGGGAGGGGAGGTAGGTTTGAGCGAGGCAGCTCCCTTTGGCTAAAAGGGACTCCTGGACATGGATTCAGCTGTAAGCCCTCAGCCACAGCTCACAGGTGTACTGGGGGAATGCATGCTCAGGCTTGAAGGGTGGAATCTGGGGGATTCCCTGTAGCACCCACTACAGAGGATAATAGGAGGGTTTTCAGGCCAGGAACGACATAGTCTAAGTTGTTACTATTATTGCTAGTGTTACTAGTACTCGCTGGATTTTTTTTTTTTTTTTTTTTTTTTTTTTTTTTTTTGAGACAGGCTCTTACTCTGTCGCCCAGCCTGTAATGCAGTGGTGCGATCTCAGCTCACTGCAACCTCCGCCTTCTGGGTTCAAGCGATCCTCCTGCCTCAGCCTCCCTAGTACCTGGGATTACAGGTGTGCACCACCACGCCCAGCTAACTTTTGTGTTTTTAGTAGAGATGGGGTTTCGCCACGTTGGCCAGGCTGGTCTCTGTCTCCTGACCTCAAGCGATCTGCCCGCCTCGGCCTCCCGAAGTGCTGGGATTACAGGCATAAGCCACCAAGGCTGGCCAGCCATACACTTTTAAACAACCAGATCTTGTGAAAACCCACTCACTACCAAGAGAACAGCATCAGGGCGATGGTGCCAAGCCACTCGCGAGAAAACGCCCCTATGAGCCAATCACCTTCCACCAGGCCCCACCTCCAACATTGGGGATTATAATTCAACATGAGATTTGGGCAGGAGCGCAGATCCAAACCCTGTCAGTGCATGTGTAAATGCGTGTCTTTGTGTTTCCCCAACACTGGTCATGTCCCTGACTGTGGCCGGCAATGTGTCCAGCAATGTGACCCACCAGTTCACATCTCCTGGGGAATTCACCGTGTTTGCTGAATGCACAACCAGTGAGTGGCATGTGACAGCTCAGAGGCAGGTGACCGTGCGAGACAAGATGGAGACGCTCAGTGTGACTGCATGCTCCGGCCTGTCCCAGTCAGGAGCCGGCCCTCTCTGCCAGGCTGTCTTTGGGGATCCTCTGTGGATTCAGGTGGAGCTTGATGGAGGTGAGTCTGCAGAATTGGGCACATCAAGGCAAGCTATAAAATCACTGATTTCCTCCAAATCTATCCAACTCCCAGACCTTAATAAATAGTGGGCTGGGTGCAGTGGCTTGAGCCTGCAATTCCAACACTTTGGGAGGCTGAGGCGGGCGCATCGCTTGAGCCCAGAAGTTCGGGACAAGCCTGGGCAACAGGGTGAGACCCCATTTGTACAAAAAGTACAAAAATTAGTCAGGTATGGTTGCACATGCCTGTAGTTGCAGCTACTTGGGTGGCTGAGGTGGGAGTATGGCTTGAACCCGGGAGGTCGAGGCTGTAGTGAGCTGAGATCATGCTACTGCATGCCAGCCAGGACAACAGAGTGAGACCCTGTTTCAAAAAAAAGTAAATAAATAGTAACAAGGATCACCTACTGAGTTCTTTTTTTTTGAGATGGAGTTTTGCTCTGGTTGCCCAGGTGGAGTGCAACGGCACAATCTCAGCTCACTGCAACCTATACCGCCTGGGTTCAAGTGATTCCCCTGCCTCAGCCTCCCAAGTAGCTGGGATTACAAGCATGCACCACCACACCTGGCTAATTTTTTGTATTTAGTAGAGACAGGGTTTCACCATGTTGGTCAGGCTGGTCTCAAACTCCTGACCTCAGATGATCCACCTAGCTTGGCCTCCCAAGGTGCTGGGATTATAGGTGTGAGCCACCACACCTGACCGAGTTCATTTTTAAACTATCATTTATTCATTTATTTAGCACCTAGTGTGTGCCAGGCACTGTTCTAAGTGCTTTGCATAAACTTGTCTACTCATTACATAGTAGTATTATCTTCATGTTACAGATGAAGAAATGAAGACACAGAAAGGTTAAAACATTTGCCCAGAGTCAGAAGGCTAGTAAGGTAGTGAGTGCTCCTAGCCTTCCAAAGGCCCTTCTTTGCATCCCTGTAGAACCGAACTTCCGAGTCACTTCCTTTTGGGAATTTAACTAGGATGAGGTGGCACTGGGACTGCTACCAACTGGGCCTGAGCCCATCTCAGTACAGCCAGCATCGACTAGCTTGGCACAATCAAGTTGCCCCTGGCCAAGGCCAGTATTCAGCTGCACCCACTGGTATAGCCATGCCAACTGTTATGGCTGAGGTCCATTCTCATTGGTCACAGGGTGTTTTCTGATTGGTCACAGAGACTGCTCTGATTGATTGTCATGTCCATTCTGATCGGTCACAGTGTCTTTTCTTTTTTTTTGAGACAGAGTCTTGCTCTGTCATCCAGGCTGGAGTGCAGTGGTGCGATCTCAGCTCACTGCAACTTCCACCACCCGGGTTCCAGTGATTCTCGTGCTTCAGCCTCCTGGGTAGCTGGGACTACAGGTGCGTGCCACCATGCCAGGTTAATTTTTTATTTTTTTCTATTTTAGTAGGGATGGGATTTCGCCATGTTGGCCAGGCTGGTCTTGAACTCCTGACATCAGGTAACCTGCCCACCTCGGCCTCCCAAAATGTTGGGATTACAGGCATGAGCCACTGTGCCTGCCCACAGTGTGTTTTCCTTTTTTTTTTTTTTTTTTTTTGAGATGGAGTCTCGCTGTGTCCCAGGATGGAGTGCAATGGCATGATCTTAGCTCAGTGCAACCTCCGCCTCCTGGATTCAAGCGATTCTCCTGCCTCAGCCTCCCAAGTAGCTGGGATTACAGGCGCCCACCACCACACCCAGCTAATTTTTGTATTTTTAGTAGAGACAGGGTTTCACCATATTGGCCAGGCTGGTCTTGAACTCCTGACCTCATGATCCACCCGCCTCGGACTCCCAAAGTGCTGGGATTACAGGCATGAGCCACCGCGCCCAGCCTGTGTTTTCTAATCGGTCACAGAGACTGCTCTGATTGGTTGTCATGTCTATTTTGATGGGTCAGGGTGTCCATTCTGATTGGTCACAGCATCTATTCTGATTGGTCATGGCATCTATTTGTTGGTCGCAGTGTCTATTCTGATTTATCAGAGCATCCATTCTAATTGGTTGGCGCCCATGCTGTGCTGGTTGTTAAATATTTTAAATTATCATCCTTTCTCTCAATAGAGACTCTCCTGGCTAAGACTCATCCTCACCCAGGGCAGCGTTTTTCCTGAAGCCCAGGACCAGTTTGAGATTAGAATAGAGGCCTGTTGATGTAAACAGGGCAGCAGAGAGCTAGTGCAATGAGCAGGTGGCTCGGTTTGACCTCACATCCCACCTGGAGCCCTCTCATAGCAATAGCTGTGGAAGTCATAATGGGGCTTTAACACAGCCCTCAGGAAACCCCTTCTGTTCTTGCATGTTTGTTGGATGAAGAGGGCTCATATGTTCCCCTGAGGAAACAAAATAATCCTTCATTTATTTACTCATCCTACTAATATAATTGAGTGCCTACTACTCTGCCGGGTGTGGGCGAGGCAGCAGTAAATATGAAAGTCAGGGTTCCCATTCTCATGGGGCTTATATCGTAGTTATCATCATCATCACCCAGATGAGAACTACGCTAGCTTGGTTTTTATTGGAAGGAATCCTAATTTGTTGATTTAAGTCAGATTTTAAGAGTCAACCGCAATATTTATCATCCAGTAAGAACAACCATCTGCAACCTGCAAGGGAGCCCCCATCTTCCCGTGAACGGGCTGAGTTCTCATGTTGGTTTGCAGGGTTCTGGGCGGTCACCAGTGTAGGATGAAGGAATGGCTTTACTTGCTCCTGCTTAAAACAAGACCCAAAGCTAATTCTCATGCATAAAAATCAGCCCCCACCCTTAAGAAATGCTCCCTTTTAGTCCTCCTCCTCCTCCCCCGACCAGGACATCCCTGGCAACTAAATGTGGTAATTTTTTAATTACAAATATTTAGGTTCTCGGGTAAGACATGTATAGTATAAATAAGTTAGAATATGCAAATGAACAGAGCGGACCCCCAGATGACAAAATCACGGCCGGGAGCGGTGGCTTACGCCTGTCACCCCAGCACTTTGGGAGGCTGAGGCGGGCAAATCCAAGGTCAGGAGTTCAAGACCATCCTGGCTAACACGGTGAAACCCTGTCTCTACTAAAAATACAAAAAATTAGCTGGGTGTGGTAGCAGGCGCCTGTAATCCCAGCTACTCCAGAGGCCGAGGCAGGAGAATCACTTGAACCGGGGAGGCAGAGGTTGCAGTGAGCTGAGATCGCACCACTGCACTCCAGCCTGGGCGACAGCGCCAGACCCTGTCTCAAAAGAAAGACGAAATCAGTCATTAACCTAATACTCAGGGATAACCACCATTAATATTTGAGAAGGGGGCATATCCTTACATATTTCTTTATGTCTGCATCTGTATCCAAGTTTGTATCCAGAATCAGGCTTCAGAGACTGACTCTGAGCTGCCATAGTATTATCAACCGCATGGTTGTTACCAACATTCTTTAATTTTTCTTACCCCACTTAGGAACAGGAGTGACTTACACTGTGCTTTTGGGTGACATAACCCTGGCCGAGTCCACCACCCAAAAGGGCTCGCTACCGTACAATCTGATCCTGGACAGAGAAACCCAGAAACTGATGGGCCCTGGGAGGCACCGCCTGGAGATCCAAGCCACCGGCAACACCACCACCTCTACAATCTCCAGAAACATTACAGTCCACTTGGTGGAGCTGCTGTCAGGGCTGCAGGCCTCCTGGGCTTCTGACCATTTGGAGCTTGGACAGGACCTATTGATCACCATCTCATTGGCTCAGGGCACCCCGGAAGAGCTGACCTTTGAGGTGGCTGGACTCAATGCAACCTTCTCCCACGAGCAAGTGAGCTTTGGAGAGCCATTTGGGATTTGCCGCCTGGCTGTTCCGGTTGAAGGTACATGGGGTTAGTGGCTCCCCTTCTGATGCCCCTCCTCTTCCCTTTGTGACTTGGTGCCCAGGGTCCTGCCGGCCAGTTTTCCAGTGTGTCCGGGACATAGATTTGGTTCACAGCATCCTGCCTGGGTCATAAGATAAGGAACAGCCAGATGTAATCTGCCATCGTTGAGTTATCAGCTCTCCACTTCGGCACTTCTGACATTCGGAGCTGGATCATTCCTCGTTACAGTTGGGGGCTGGTACTGAAGGAGTTTTAGCAGCATCTCTGGCTTTTATTCACCAGATGCTAGTAACACCAGCACCCCAAGTCATGATGACAAAAATGTCAGACATTGCCAAATGTCCCCTGGGGGGCAAAATCACCCCCATTTAGGGCCCCTGTAAGAGACCAGGCATATTCAGATTTCTTCAAACATCTCTAGAGAAGAGTGTGGTTTGGGGAACTGCAGGTGATGCCCTAGCGGGAAAGAGGTAAAAACCAAGAATGGCAGAGATGGGGATGGAGAGAGGAAGTGTTGCCGACCATGGGGTCTTAGGCTCTGATGTACTCAAACTTTCCTGGACGAGGCTTTTGTTAGAGGCTTATGTTCAAACATAAAGAAGGCAGCACTGGAGTGGAGGTTCAGGGGCTGACTCCCCAAAAAGTCCAGAAGGCGTTCTTTTTTTTTTTTTTTTTTTTTTAGAGATGGAGTCTTGCTCTGTCTTCCAGGCTGGAGTGCAGTCAGTGGCGTGATCTTGACTCACTGCAACCTTTGCCTCCTGGGTTCAAGCAATTCTCGTGCCTCAGCCTCCCAAGCAGCTGGGATTACAGACATGCGCCACCACGCACGGAGAATTTTTTTGGTATTTTTAGTAGAGAGGGGTTTCACCATGTTGGCCAGGCTGCTCTTGAACTCCCAACCTCAGGTGATCCACCCACCTTGGCCTCCCGAAGTGCTGGCATTACAGGCGTGAGCCCTCGTGCCCGGCCTGTCTTTTTTTTTTTTTTTTTGAGATGGAGTCCCACTCTGTCACCCAGGCTGGAGTGCAGTGGCGTGATCTCAGCTCACTGCAACCTTCACCTCCCTGGTTCAAGAGATTCTCCTGCCTCAGCCTCCTGAGTCACTGAGACTACAGGCATGTACCACCATGCCTGACTATTTTATTTTTAGTGGAAACGGGGTTTAACCATGTTGGCCAGGCTGGTCTTGAACTCCTGACCTCATATGATCTGCCCACCTCGACCTCCCAAAGTGCTGGGTTTATAAGCATGAGCCACCACTCCCGGCATTCTGAAAGGAGGTAGGATGGGAAAAGGGCGATGTTTAAGCATGTGGAGGTGGGGAATGTTCAGCGCCTGTGCAGTCTGGTCACATGCTTCTTGATGTGTGGTATGTCTCATTAGCATGTTAAAGCTCCACCCTCGGGCATGATTTTTAGTATTATAATGAGGCAAAGGGTAAAGATGGTCATTTTTCTGGTCTTCTGTGTGTGCGGGCTATAGGGTTAACTCCCTTGAGTAAGATTTAAGGTGGGAGCTGTTTGTTTTCGTTTCCTCAAGGTCTGCACTCAGTGGGCATGGCACCTTGAGCAAGATTTGTGGTGCAACGTCTGGATGATCTGACTGGGGTCTGTGCCTGCCATGGGCCACCCTCCCCAACCAGCTTGTAGTAGAGTCCTCGATGAGGCAGGGCAGGGGTCCAAGTCCCATCTCTGGTCTATCTCAGAAGTATTTGCAATGATGCTGACGGGAGGACAGACTGGCAGGCACCAGCCAGGGGAGGTGGCCACAGCGCCCATTTGCATTTAATCTGTAAGGAACAGAGAGTTCTTGAGGGCCCGGATGAGATCAGCAGGCAGAAATGTGATGAGAATGGCAGAGTCTCCAGCCCATCCAGGACCTGCCCGTAGCTCCCCCTGGATCTCAGAAGTGTGTTAGAAAACGGGTGATACTGTGCAGGTGTGGGGTTACCATGCCCTCTGCAAGCAACTCCACAAACCAGATAGCAGAAGGGACAATAGGTTTGAGAAGAAAACCATCCGGGCTTTGCCAGATACCAAGGGTCCAGCTTGGAAGAGGGAAAGTCTAGAGGCTGCTGCAGCTGGAAAATCACACCACGCGTGGGTTATAAGCCAGATGCAGGTTTTGCTTTGTCACCTATAAAAATTACTCCTGCCATGAAAGTCGCTGCTATAAAGGTCACTCCACAGGGGAAGATGATCCCTCTCTGATAAAATATCCATGTGCTTTGTGACTTTTGCTCACTATTAGATGATTAACAGACTGTTCCTGCCCCTAAGGCCAACAGATTTGGATGACTCCAGGGGTGGCGGGAGTGGAAGGATGGAAAGGGAACGGGACAGGGCAGGGACATTTGCACTTGGTGGTGCTGGCCGAGTCCTAGCTGGCCTGGCTCTTGAGGGCTAGCAGATGTTTCAAGCTGCCTCTTTCTTGTAGGAGCTTCTCTGGGTTCTTGGGGCCCCCAGCTGGGCCTTATAGGCCTTTGTTCCTGGGGTGGTGGGGGATGCCTCCCCTTTAGCTGGTCACACGCCCTGGCTGCTTCTCCCTGGCCACCTCCCCTCTCTGTTGGACTCTCCTCATTCTCCCTCCCCTCGTCAGCATCCGTCTCCCCAAGGCACACATCTGGTCCACAGAACATTCTGACCCATGTCTTGGCCGACTCCCAGCCAAATGCAATTATTTCCCAGACGCAGAAATGGAGCCCCTTCCTCCCGTCCCCTTCCCACCCGCACGTCTTCCCGTCACAGACTGTTCCTTCAAGGGCATGAGTATGAAGCCTGTCCATGCGGACCCCAAACAGACACATACCGGGCTTTCCAAGGAAGGCTCCTCTCTCAAGCATTTCTCTCTGGGCTTGAGAACACAGAAGGTAGCCCCTACCCATAGCCCCTTCCCCATGAGGGAGAAGGGATGGGACACACATGTATCTAAATAAATCTTACAAATCCTTCTCCAAGCCTGGCCAACACGGTGAAACCCTGTCTCTACTAAAAATACAAAAATTAGCCTGGCGTGGTGACATGAGCCTGTAATCTCAGGTACTCGGGAGGCTGAAGCAGGAGAATTGCTTGAGCCTGGGAGGTGGAGGTTGTGGTGAGCTGAGATCGTGCCACTGCACTCTAGTTTGGATGACAGAGTAAGATCCTGTCTCAAAAATAAAATAAAGTAAAGTAAAATAAAATAAAATATCCTTTTCCACTGTCTCCACGCTTCTGACAATCCTGCTATGTGTCTCCCTCTTGGGAATCTGCAGTCTTATCTATCGAGAACCTACTTCTCCTTTGGAATTTAGCTCCAGCCCTGGCTCTATCCTGTGAACCATTTCTTTCTCTCCTGAGGTTGAAGCGGGCCCACCCAATGCCCACTGTGCCCCATGCCGATTCCTCCCGTGGTTTGGCGTTCACTGTCCTATGTGTCTACTACATGATAAGGCCCTTGAGGACAAGAACCAAGCTCCTTCATCTCTGTGTCCCCAGAGCCTTGCACCATGCCTGACATACAGCAGGGATTCATTAAATGCTCAGAGGTGAAAGATTTCGTTGGAGGCATCGGTGGACTAGAGAAGCAAGCTGGGAGAGTTTTCTTGGTCAAGTTCATGACAATGGCTGTGACTCTGGGTCCTTTGTATTGCAGGCACCTTTCTGGTCACCATGCTGGTGAGGAATGCCTTCTCCAACCTGAGTTTGGAAATCGGGAACATCACTATCACAGGCAAGGTGTTTCTGCAAGGGAGCATAAAACCTTTTACCAAGAGTCCAGAGCATTGCACCTGCTTGGGCTCCAGTGAGGGGCCTTTCCAAACACGGCTCTGAATATGTATCTTGTTCTACAGATGGTTAGAATTCTCCAGTTATTCTAAGGAGGCAATGATGTTTACAGTAAAACATTTCACCACTGACACAGAATTCTTTTTTTTTTTTTTTTTTTTTTTTTTGAGATGGAGTCTCACTCTGTCACCCAGGCTGGAGTGCAGTGGCATGATCTCGGCTCACTGCAAGCTCTGCCTCCTGGGTTTACACCATTCTCCTGCCTCAGCCTCCTGAGTTGCTGGGACTACAGGTGCCCACTACTACGCCTAGCTAATTTTTTTGTATTTTTAGTAGAGACCGGGTTTCACCATGTTAGCCAGGATGGTCTCGATCTCCTGACCTCATGATCCGCCCGTCTCAGCCTCCCAAAGTGCTGGGATTACAGGCGTGAACCACCGCACCCGGCCAACCACTGACACAGAATTCTAAAACAAGAGTTTGCGTTCATTATGATGCTTTAAGCTGCAAGTAACAGAAGGTCCAACCTAAGTAGCTTCAGATTCAGGGCTTTCTTGACTCACATAAGAAGTTAGGAGGTAAGCACTTCCAGGGTTGGTTCGGTGGCTCAGTGATGCCAGCGAGAAACCAGGCTCAGTCTATCTTTCTCGTCTGCCATCCTTAGAGCTTTGGTGCTGCCTTAGGCTTGTTGCTCAAGGAATCAAAGTGACTGCTGCAGTTCCGGATATTACATGTCAACGCAGCGTACCAGCAGCGGGAGCAGGGGTTTCCTCCTGTGCACCTCTTTTTATTAGGGGAAAAATCTTTCCCACTCACTCTAAGCAATCATCACCTCAGATACCATGACCAAAGTAGGGTCAGGTCCGCTGCTATAAAGTGCACTGGAAAAGCAGATACCCAGCATTTTCAGTTTCTGTGGGAGAAGGTGGATTCTGGCTGCCAGGAGGAAGGCTGGGGTAATGGCTGTTGGGGAACTAGCTGAGAGTAGCCATCACAGAGGTAGGGTTCACTTGAATGTGTTTGCTAGGACAATTCAAGTAGCAAGGGACAGAAACGAAGGTGAAACTGGCTTGGGTCAAAAGGAAATTTTATCAGCTCAGAAAATGAAAAGCCAGCTGGGCACCGTGGCTCATGCCTACAATCCCAGCATTTTGGGAGGCCGAGGTGGTGGATCACTTGAGGTCAGGAGTTTGAGACCAGCCTGGCCAACATGGCGAAAGCCTGTCTCTACTAAAAATACAATAATTAGCTGGGCGTGGTGGCACACACCTGTAGTCCCAGCTACTGGGGAGGCTGAGGCCAGGAGAATTGCTTGAATCTGGGAGGCAGAGGTTGCATTTAGCCAAGATCATGCCACTGCACTCCAGCCTGGGTGACAAAGTGAGATGGTGTCCCCACCCCCCGACCAAAAAAAAAAAAGAAAAAAGAAAATGAAAATGAAAAGCCCAGGGAGTAGACCTGTTCTTAAACACAGCTGGATGAGTCGCTCAGACAGTGTCTTCAGAAACCTGCCTCTTTCCTCCTCTGGTTCTGTGTTGACTTCTTTTGGATTCTCTCTTCCCAGCAGTAGCAAGATGACCCCAGGCTTTGATCTTTAACCCCAGAGGAGAAAGAGTACGTCTTGATGGATATTTCTAGTAGAAGTCCTGAGGCTGCCTCTTGCTGGCTGAAGCTCAGTTCATGGTTTCTCCTGGACCAGCTGCTGAGACCAGGGGAAGCAGCAGTCAGTTTGGCAGGTCAGGGTCTCACGCCCACGCTGGAGTACAATGTAGGGTCAGCTTCACCCAAACCAAGGCCTGAGAGTTGGGGAGGGATGGTTCTTAGGGAAAATATCACCCGTAGATGCTGCTACCAAGGGAGGGGATCATAGATGCCTGGAAATTCGACAGCCAGATGTGGGATTTGAGACCCAGAAAGTTTAATTGACTTTGCAGAAGTCACATGGCTGATTCATGCAGGATCAAAGGCAGCAAATGTTTCTCCTAATTTTTTCATTCAGGGTGATTGGACTGCCTTCCTTCTTAAGGTTAAGAAAGTCCCCTTTCTCTGGCATCTTAGCCTTGATTTGTACAGTTTTACATGCCTTTGGAATTATAGTTGTGTGAATGAGAATTCACTGGGAGAGAATTTTTTAAAGATCAGTGGTACTCAGACCTTAATATATCCAGGGCCTTAGTGAATCACATGAAATAACTCTAAGTTCCTACTTTAAGCACTACACTTTAATTAGATATTAATCATTAATATTTCAATATTTTCAGTAGGCCAGGCACAGTGGCTCACGCCTGTGATCCCAGCACTTTGGGAGGTCGAAGCGGGTGGATCACTGGAGGTCAGAGGTTCGAGACCAGCCTGGCCAACATGGTGAAACCCTGTCTCTACTAAAAATACAAAAATTAGCTGGGTGTGGTGGTGCACACCTATAACCCCAGCCACTTAGCAGGCTGAGGCAGGAGAATTGCTTGAACCCGGGAGGGGCAGATTGCAGTGAACCGAGATCACGCCACTGCACTACAGGCTGGGCAACAGAGCTAGACTCCATCTCAAAAATATATATATTTTCAGAGACATCAATTGATTGTATCTTTTTCCATTGTTTAAACTTGAAAAACTAGCGTTCTTTGTTTCTTTCTTTCTTTCTTTTTTTTTTTTTTTTTTTGAGACAGGATCTTGCTCTGATGCCCAGGCTGGAGTGCAGTGGAGCCATCTTGGCTCACTGCAAGCTCCGCCTCCCAGGTTCAAGCGATCCTCCTGCCTCAGCCTCCCGAGTAGCTGGGACTACAGGCGCCCGCCACCAAGCCCAGCTAATTTTTTTGTATTTTTAGTAGAGATGGGGTTTCACTGTGTTAGCCAGGATGACATTCTTTCTAGATGTATAGTTTACAAAGCAATTCTATAAACAGCACCACATTCAGTCTTCCTGGAGCCCTGAGAAATGGGGATGGACTCCAGGTATTTTTACAAATGAGGAAACCAAGACTCAGAGAGGATAACTCACCTGCCCGGTTCACATAGCCAATGGGAGGCCAGTAAGAGGATCTGACAACAGGGTAGTGTGTGGTGCCGACTCCACCCACTTGCCAGAGGTGAGCGTGCCCATCTCTCCTCACTCTATATTCAGTAGCATCAGGCTTATAGATTGGTGGGAACATTTATACCATGGAAATTGACAAACCCTACAAATCAGGGCTTCTCACTCCCACCTCCTTTACTGGTAGTTAAACATTAGCAGTGCAGGCTGGGTGCAGTGGCTCATGCCTCTAATCCCTACACTTTGGGAGGTTGAGATGGGCGGATCACCTGAGGTCAAGAGTTTAAGACCAGCCTGGCCAACATGGTGAAACGCCGTCTCTACTAAAAATACAAAAAATTATCTGGGTTGGCCGGGCGCGGTGGCTCACGCCTGTAATCCCAGCACTTTGGGAGGCCGAGGCGGGTGGATCATGAGGTCAGGAGATCGAGACCATCCTGGCTAACAAGGTGAAACCCCGTCTCTACTAAAAATACAAAAAAAAAATTAGCCGGGCGCGGTGGCGGGCGCCTGTAGTCCCAGCTACTCGGGAGGCTGAGGCAGGAGAATGGCGTGAACCCGGGAGGCGGAGCTTGCAGTGAGCCGAGATTGCGCCACTGCAGTCCGCAGTCCCGCCTGGGCGACAGAGCGAGACTCCGTCTCAAAAAAAAAAAAAAAAAAAAATTATCTGGGTGTGGTGGTGGGTGCCTGTAATCCCGGCTACTCAGGAGGCTGAGGCAGGAGAAGCACTTGAACCAGGAGACAGAGGTTGCATTGAGCCAAGATTGCCCCACTGCACTCCAGCCTGAGAGACAGAGCAAGACTGTGTCTCAAAAAACAAAAACAACAAACAAAACAAAACAAAAACACACATTAGCAGTGCATAGCTGCATCTGTCTGACTCTAAATCTTGTGTTTTATCTGCACTGGCAGCTGCCTCTTTCTCAACTACCAAAGGGGTGTCTTTAGTCCAGTGGTGGACAAGATGACTCACTTTTAATCCATTTCCCTAGGACCTGAATGTTTGCTATGTTCCCTTAAACCATTTTCAAAGACAGGCTGACGCCCCTGGTGGCATTTTCCACATGACTCTCTGACTCTATATTTTGACAGCCTTTTATAAGGTTTCCAACCAAAGCTTGATACCCGTTCCCACTGTGTTCACAGCCCCTTCCGGTCTCCAAGAACCATCTGGGATGAATGCTGAAGGAAAGAGTGTGAGTATTGTCTTTAAAAAACGTTTAACCTCACAAGGAAAAGATGTCCAAGCACTCTGTTTTAGTTTTGAGTTTTGGTTTTTTGGTACCAATACCCAGAGCACTAGGAATCCCTGAGGCTTCTTCCATTTGAGAAGAGGCCCAAAATGACTGAATTCAAACAAAGCAAGTTGTCTAATCACAACAGAGTTATGTTGTAAATCTATAATGAGCTATCTAGGATATGTAGATATCTGTTAGATATCTTGGCAATTAAACAGCACACTTGTAAAAAAATCAATAGGTCAAGAAGAAATCACAAGGGAAATTAGAAAAAATTTCTAACTACATGATAATGACAATACAACCTATGCACATTTGTGGAATGCAGCTAAAGCAGTGCTCAGAGAGAAATTTATCGCTTTTAATGCTTATATTAGAAAGCAGGAAGAAAAGAAAACAGACCAAGCTCTTCAGTTTTTATAACAAGACTGAGTTCAGCTCCTTGCTGTTGACGTTGTTCGTGCGTGCACTTATTCTACAACAAAGACTTACTGTGCATCTACAACATTCAAGGCTTGGTATCAGGGGCTGGGAATGCAATAGTGAATAAGCACATATGGTCTCCGCCTTCAGGAAGCTTACTGAGTGATACTAACGAACATATCGGCCCGGTACAGTGGCTCACGCCTGTAATCCCAGCACTTTGGGAGGCCAAGGTGGGAGGATCACTTGAGCCCAGGAGTTCAAGCAAGAAAGTGAGACCCTCATCTCAAAAAAAAAAAAACAAAATTAAAAATTAGCCAGGCATTAAGGTACATGCCTATGGTCCCAGCTACTTGGGAGGCTGAAGTGGGAGGATAGTTTGGGCCTGAGAGGTTGAGGCGCAGTGAGCCATGGCCGTGCCACTGCACTCCAGCCTGGGTAACAGAGTAAGACTCTGTCTCAAAAAAAAAACTCCAACAAACAAATTATCATAGAATTAGGAATTGTGGTAAGTATCTAATAAGAACCAATAGAGTGCAACGATAGCAACGAACAGGGTGGTCTGGCTGATGTGGTCAGACATGGCCTCTCCAGAGGTGACATGTAAGCGGACACATGAAGATAAGCCAGCCAGCCATGCCTGAAAGCAGAACAAGAGCTTTCTGAGTGGGCAGATCTGAGAGGCAGGCGATGGCCTGAAGCCAGCGTGGCTGGAGCCTGTTGGAGGGAGGGATGTAGGAGATTATGGACACGTGGACAGAGGCCAGATCACGCGGAGCCTTAGTTGCCAAGGCAAGAAATTTGGATTTTATTCTCAGGCCACGGGAGGCCACTGGGGCTTGAGTTCCACTGGAGCCCTGTGTTATTTCAGGTCAGGACTTCGGGGCTTGAGCAAGAAGCTCCACAGCCCAAGCTGTTTAACAAGTCCCACCAGAACTTACTCCAGGAACACCCCGTGTACCCCGAGCCAACACTCAGAATAACGTGACTTGCCCAGGGATCCTGAGCAACCAACTCCACGCCCCATGAGGGGAAGGAAGCCAGGGGGATTGGCCAGGGTCTGTCTCCACCCCACGCCTTACACTGCAGCTGCTCTTGGTGCAGACTGCTCTGGGGTGAAAGGGGAATGCCAACAGCACCCCACAGTGAGCCTGAGCTAACTGTAGTTGGAGTCTCACCAGCTGGCTGCTTTTTTTTGCAGAAAGATAAAGGCGATATGGAGGTGTACATCCAACCTGGTCCATATGTGGATCCTTTCACGACAGTGACCCTGGGCTGGCCAGACAATGACAAGGAGTTACGCTTCCAATGGTCATGTGGTAGGTGACAATAGAGTTCTTTTTTTTTTTTTTTTTTTGAGATGGAGTTTCACTCTTGTTGCCCAGGCTGGTGTGCAACGGTGTGATCTTGGCTCACTGCAACCTCCACTTCCTGGGTTCAAGCCATTCTCCTGCCTCAGCCTCCCAAGTAGCTGGGATTACAGGTGCCTGCCACCACGCCCAGCTAATTTTTGTATTTTTAGTAGAGACAGGGTTTCACTATGTTGGCCAGGTTAGTCTCGAACTCCTGACCTCAAGCGATATACCCGCCTTGGCCTCTCAAAGTGCTCGGATTACAGGTGTGAGCCACCGCGCCTGGCCAATGATAGAGTTCTTGAATTGTCCTGTTTCACTAAGAAGTGGTGAGCAGTGGTCAGATTTTGCTGTTCTTTTTCTTAATCTTCGCACCAGCTTTCCCTATGGCCTACATTTTGTATAACTTGTACATGCCAGAGCTTGCAAATTCCATGGAAATAGGAGGTGGGGCCGGGCGTGGTGGCTCACACCTGTAATCCCAGCACTTTGGGAGACCGAGGCAGGTGGATCACTGGAGGTCAGGAGTTTGAGACCAGCCTGGTCAACTTGGCAAAACCCCGTCTCTACTAAAAATACAAAAATTAGCCAGGCGTGGTGGCGCACACCTGTAATTCCAGCTACTCAGGAAGCTGAGGCAGGAGAATTGTTTGCACCTGGGAGGTGGAGGTTGCAGTGAGCTGAGATTGTGCCATTGCACTCTGGCCTGGGCAACAGAGCAAGACTGCGTCTCAAAAAAAAAAAAAAAAAAAATAGAAGGTGGGAGAAAGCAGTGACAGACCAAGGGTGGCCCTGAATGCAGGCAGCAAGGGGATCTAGAGAATTTTAAAACAATAATGAAACCTGAAAAGCTGGTCCATACGCTGACAATTCCAAACAAAAGTGATAAAGTGCTCCTCTTCTCTGGTGTGGACTCCTCCCCTTTCCCCAGCCCTTTGGTATATCCCTAGGGAGAGAATCTAGAAGGGGGAAGTGAGTCAGGCATTTTCCAACAAACCAAGATGGCAGCACTAGCGCTCACATTGTAGAAATGGTATCCTCCTTTTTACAGGAATATAGCCTAGCTACATACACATTCTTTTAGCTTTTAGACATAAAATAAATGGGCCAGGCACGGTGGCTCATGCCTGTAATCCCAGCACTTTGGGAGGTTGAGGTGGGGGGATCACTTGAGGACGGGAGTTCGAGACCAGCCTGGCCAATGTGGTGAAACCCCGTCTCTACTAAAAATATAAAAATTAGCCAGGTATGGTGGTGGGTGCCTGTAATCCCAGCTACTCAAAAGGCTGAGGCAGGAGAATCGCTTGAATGTTGGAGGTAGAGGTTGCAGTGAGCTGAGATTGTGCCACTACACTCCAGCCTGGGCGACAGAGTAAGACTCCGTCTCAAAAAAAAAAAGAAAGAAAGAAAGAAAGAAATGTTATTCATACTGTTTTCTTTACCCTTTTCTCATTGAACAATGTAACCTGCATATTTGCATATTATAATGTCGTGGTATCGTCTCTATATTGATTTTCTTAATAGCTGCACAATAGACCATAATGTTGATGTGTGATTTTTTTTTCTTTTTTGAGATGGAGTCTCGCTCTGTCACCCAGGTTGGAGTGCAGTGGCGCAATCTCGGCTCACTGCAACCTCCACCTCCCAGGTTCAAGCGATTCTCCTGCCTCAGGTCCCGAGTAGCTGGAATTGTAGACACGTGCCACCATGCCCAACTAATTGTTGTACTTTTAGTAGAGATGAGGTTTCACTATGTTGGCCAGGCTGGTCTCGAACTCCTGACCTCAGGTGATCCACCTGCCTCGGCCTCCCAAAGTGCTGGGATTACAGGCGTGAGCCGCAGTGCCCGGCTGATGTGCGATCATTTCTTTACCCTCTTTTTGGACATTTAGATTGTTTCACATTGTTTGCTCTTATACAGTTCAATCTCTATTTACAACTGTGGTTACTTTCATAAATAAATTTGTAGAAATGGAATAACTGGGTCAAAAGTCATGCAACATTTTAAGGCTTTTGATGTTAATTGTTACGTGGTAATGACATCCCTCTGAATATTCATTCTCCTTATCTGAATACAGAGTATGCAAGTCCAGAGTTTAGGCGACCGAGCTGATGAGCCTGAACCCTGAACATATTTTGGAAATATGCTCAGGGAACATATCTTGGGACTGTTCTCCCAGGGCTGTAGATCTAGGGAATCTTGGAATTCTTGGAATAGTCCCAGGAATCTTGGGAATATTCTCCTGGGGATTTAGATCTTCCTGGCCTCTCTGCTGCTATATGCCTGTCACCATATTGGAGATGGTGGGAGGTGAGGTATTGATGAGTAAACATCTGTCAATAGAGTTGAAGGGCAGAGGATACAGAAACTTAGGAAGCTGCTAACATAAAGCAGGAGGTGACACAGCAGCCTCCCAGATGGCAGTACAACCTCCCAGGCCGCCGTAGTAGCCCACAGGGACTTGGCGCTGTGGACAGCCTCATCCACATGGAATGACAAATATACCGGGATAAGAAGCTGCCCTGGACCTTCTCCCAGGGCCACAGATCCTCCTGGCCCCTCTCCTGCTACACACCTTCCTGAGCACCAGTGCAACACAAGCCAACCACATCCTGCAGATTTGCTCAGAGTTTGGGTGAAGCATGGTTCTTTTTCCCAAAAGCATCCTTCCATAGCACCATTTCTGCAACCTGCATTAAAAGTGACGTTTTGGCCGGGTGTGGTGGCTCAGGCCTGTAATCCCAGCATTTTGGAAGGCCGAGGTGGGTGGGTCACCTGAGGTTGGAAGTTCGAGACCAGCCTGGCCAACGTGTTGAAACCCCAACTCCAGTAAAAATACAAAAATTAGCCAGGTGTGGTGGTGCATGCCTGTAATCCTAGCTACTCTGGAGGCTGAGACAGGAGAATCATTTGAACCCAGGAGGCGGAGGTTGCAGTGAGGCAAGATGGTGCCATTGCACTCCGGCCTTGGCAATAAGGGGGAAACTCCATCTCAAAATAAATAAATAATAAAACTGACATTAAAAAATTAAAATGTCTATTTAGAGCTGATGTTATTATTCATGACCCCTTTCAAAACCAGAAGCTAGCAGTGTGTGCCACGTTCAGGGCTCCTGATGGATCATAGTGTCTGTCCATTTCTCTCAGGGTCTTGCTGGGCTCTGTGGAGCAGCTGTGTTGAGAGGCAGCTGCTTCGCACAGACCAGAGGGAGCTGGTGGTTCCAGCATCCTGCCTGCCGCCGCCTGACTCTGCTGTCACCCTGCGCCTGGCTGTTCTGAGAGGCCAAGAGCTGGAGAACAGGGCAGAGCAGTGCCTCTACGTGTCTGCGCCCTGGGAACTCAGGCCTCGAGTCAGGTGGGGCACGTGGGCAGTTCCTCCAGGGTCCTGATTCATTCGTTCAGCCAACACTTACTGAGGACCCACTGAGGCTGGGGCTGCCTTGGGGCAAGGCTTGCTGTGGTGGTCTCTGTTGTCATAGGGGTTACTACCACCTGGTGATCAGCACTTCTGGACACGAATGAAGAAGGCAGAGAGCGCACCTCTATGAAAACTGCCCTGACTGGGGTTAGAGAGACTTCTCTCAGGAACTGCAGCTCAGCAGAGGTGTTCAGGAGAAATTCACAGGGCAGGGAAGGGGCAGCTGGAGCAGGAACAGAGCGGGCAAAGGGAGGGAGCAGAGAATCATCAGGGAGCGAAAGAGGCCAATGTCCTGAGGATGGAGAAGAGAAGGGTGGGAAGGAGCTGGTAGTGTAGGCAGGGCCTGGCTCAAGTGGGGCCTTGCCGGTCATATCAAGATTTTAGCCTTTTTCCTAAGAGTGATACAGAGAAACCACCCAAGAGTTCTTTATTTTTATTTTTATTTTTTTGAAATGGAGTCTCACTCTGTCACCCAGGCTGGAGTGCAGTGGCACCATCGCAGCTCACTGCAGCCTCCGCCTCCCAGGTTCAAACATTTCTCGTGCCTCAGACTCCTGAGTATCTGGGATTACAGGCACACATGCCACCGTGCGCAGCTAATTTTTGTATTTTTTGTAGAGGCAGGGTTTCACCATGTTGGATAGGCTAGTCTCAAACTCCTCACCTCAGGTGACCCACCTGCCTCGGCCTCCCAAATTGCTGGGATTACAGGAATGAGCCACCATGCCAAGCCAAGCAACCAAGAGTTCTAAGCATGTGACTTCAATATGCTCTGGTGGCTCAGTGGAGAATGACTTGGAAGAGGGCAAGAGAAGACCCAGGGAGATTGCCCAGGCTCTTGCAGGAGTCAAGGTAGGAGGTCAAGTTTGCTTGGACTATCAGCCAGTCCCTGCAGGAAGCTGATGGCTCAGCCAAACCAGGAATGAATGGAAGAGAGCTGATGAAGGGACTATTTACAGGTGAGGGCAGGTATAAGGCAATGAAGCAGGGGCGACAAGGCAGGACTACAACCAAGGGAAGCCATTATCACCCCCAGGAATGCAGAGGTAAGATTAGGCAGGACTACATACGTAGGGAGCTGTGGCCTTGGTTGGAGAAGCACAGCATCTCTCACCTGCAGCCCATCAGGGAAAAGAGCAGGGAAAGCCGTGAATAAATTCCCCAAACTCTCTCCTCTCACCCTCCAATCCTCTATCAATGGTTCCCATTGGCTGGACCCAGTTAGAAGCTGGAGGGTGTGGCAGCTTGGGTGATGCAGTGTATAGAGCTCAGTCTCCCAGGTCAGAGCCGCACGTGGGAGGAGACTGGATTGGAGAGGCAGATAGAGAATGTCCTGCACACTTGGACTAGGGCAGACATGAGGAGATAAGTAGGAAGTTCAAGAGCTGTCATCAAGTTCAGACCAAAGGGGAAACTGGGGGACCGTCCTGTGGAGGGCAGGTCTATGCAAACCTTCCCGCAAAGTTCGAGGAAGCAGAGAGGCCAGAGAAAGAAGCTGACAAATTTAGTTTCTTAGAAAGAAACATTTAATTGAGACTTGCGAACAGAAACCATGATGTCTAGGGCAGCTGCAAGACAAGATGGTGAAAGCCAGCGCCATTACCCGCCAGAACCAGGGCTTATATACCATAGGAAAGGAATGTGTAGGACAGTCGTAGGGAAAGGTAAGAATACTATGTGAATCTCTTTCAGGGCAGCACTCATAGTAAGTACATGCTCTTACACAAAGAACTGTAGAGAGAATAGAAATCTTAGAGGCATTCCTGGAATTGGGGTTAATCAGTAGTCAACGTGGCAGATTAGCATCTGAAATGGAGTTGCTTTGGCCTTCACAGAGACATTATAGAGAAGGCCAAGAGTTTGGATCCAGACACGATGGTTCACATTCTATCTGCCCACTTAGAAGTTACATCACTTAGGACAAATCACATAAGCTCTCGGGGCCTGGTTAGCTCACCTGTGATGTGGGGATGCTAATATGTCACTCATAGGGCTATTGTGAGCATTGGACAAGCTAGAGACAATGGAAGTAATGTGTGCATGGCAGGCGTGCTGTTGAACCACAGCATTAGTTTACTATTATCTGAACTAAAAAGAATCACAGAAATTATCTAGGCTATCCCCTCATTTTGCAGGTGAGGAAACTGAGGCTTAGAGAGTTTAAGTGATTCGGCTGGGCATGGTGGCTCATACCTGTAATCCCAGCACTTTGGGAGGCCGAGGCGGGCGGATCACCTGAGGTCAGGAGTTTAAGACCAGCCTGGCCAACACAGTGAAACCCTGTCTCTACTAAAAAAATACAAACGTTAGCCGGGCATGGTGGTGAGCGCCTATAATCCCAGCTACTCGGGAGGCTGAGGCAGGAGAATCTCTTGAACCAGGAGGTGGAGGTTGTAGTGAGCCGAGATCGTGCCACTGCACTCTAGCCTGGGCGATAGAGTGAGACTCAGTCTCAAAAAAAAAAAAAAAAAAAAAAAAAGTTTAAGTGATGCACACAAGGTGACCCTTCATAAGTGACAAGGACAGGATTAGAACCCAGGTCCTGTCTCAGCCTCATTCACCTTCCGTATCATTACGCTGTCAGTGAATGACATGGGAATTCAGTCAGGCCATGACTCAGTCCATCTTCACAACCAAGGCTACGTCCCAGTGTTGGTTGGGGCAGGGGCGGCTTTTATTCCATCTTTAATTTGAAAAAGGGCCATTTCCTACCCTCTCAAAGGACTTGAGAAGGACTGGACAAAAGACCAGGCCAGTGGTCACAATGCCTGTCTGAGTCCGTTTTGCATTTTTTTTTTTTTTTTTTTTTTTTTTGAGACGGAGTCTTGCTCTTTCACCCAGGCCGGAGTGCAGTGGCGCTATCTCGGCTCACTGCAAGCTCCGCCTCCCGGGTTCACGCCATTCTCCTGCCTCAGCCTCCCGAGTAGCTGGGACTACAGGCGCCTGCCACCACGCCTGGCTAATTTTTTGTATTTTTAGTAGAGACGGGGTTTCACCGTGTTAGCCAGGATGGTCTCGATCTCCTGACCTCGTGATCCACCAGCCTCGGCCTCCCAAAGTGCTGGGATTACAGGTGTGAGCCACCGCGCCCGGCCCATTTTGCATTGTTATAAAGGAATATCTGAGGCTAGGTAATTTATACAGAAAAATGGTTGGCTGGGCGCAGTGGCTCATGCCTGTAATCCCAGCACTTTGGGAGGTTGAGGCGGGTGGATCACTTGAAGCCAAGAGTTCAAGACCAGCCAGGCCAACACAGCAAAACGCTGTCTCTACTGAAAATACAAATTAGTTGGGTATGGTGGTGCCTGTCTGTAATCTCAGCTATTCAGGAGGCTGAGGCAGGAGAATTGCTTGAATCTGGGAGGCAGAGGTTGCAGTGAGCCAAGATCGCGCCACTGCACTGCAGCCTGGGCGACAGAGCGAGACTCTGTCTCAAAAAAAAAAAAAAAAAGAAAAGAAAAAGAAAAGAAAGAAGAAAAGAGATTTATTTGGCTCATGATTCTTATGGTTGGAAAATCCAAGACTGGACATCTGTATCTGATAAGGGCCTCAGGCTGCTTCCACTTACAGTGAAAGATGAAGGGGACCTGGTGTGTGCAGAGAAGGGTGGGAGGTGCCAGGCTCTTTTTTTTTTTTTTTTTTTTTGGAGATGGAGTGTTACTCTGTCACCCAGGTTGGAGTGCAGTGGTGTGATCTTGGCTCACTGCAACCTCCATCTCCCTGGTTCAAATGATTCTCCTGCCTCAGACTCCCGAGTAGCTGGGACTACAGGCACCCACCACCACATCCCACTAATTTTTGTATTTTTAGTAGAGACAGGGTTTCACCATGTTGGCCAGGCTGGTCTCAAACTCCTAACCTCACATGATCTGCCCGCCTGGGCCTCTCAAAGTGCTGGGATTACAGACGTGAGCCACTGCTCCCGGCCATCTTTTTAGCAACCAGCTCCGGTGGTGACTAATAGAGCAAGAACTCGCTCCCGAGGGAGGCATTCATCCAGTCATGAGGAATCCAACCCCATGACCCAAACACCTCCCATGAAGCCCCGCCTCCAACATTGGGGATCATATTTCAACATGAGGTTTCAGGGGACAAACATCCAGATGATAGCAATGCCTCGGGGAGCTTCCTCACTCTGTCCTCTGTCTGCCTTTCAGCTGTGAGAGGAACTGCAGGCCAGTTAATGCCAGCAAAGACATTCTGCTCAGGGTCACCATGGGGGAGGACTCTCCAGTGGCTATGTTCAGCTGGTATTTGGACAACACCCCAACAGAGCAGGTGAGCACAGTGACAACCACTCAAGAATGGAAATCTCCCTTGCGCTTTCAGCACACCCGTGTCGCATGCCCGGTACTGGGCCAGGGTTGGGTCAATTCCATTCAGAGCCTGTGGTGTGGGACTCAGGGTATTGGGCTGGGGAGAAAATCAGGGAATTGACAGCAGGGCAAATGGGCACAAAGGAGCATAAGCTCTGGAGAAACTTTGCAGCGGGTGCTCTTGGCATCTCAGCAAAAGTCCTGCTTCCCAGGCGGACGATCCTAACTCCAGCTTTTGTGGCCTGACCATTGGCCAACGACTGATGGGTGGAGGGTCTAATAGCCCAGCTTCTCTGTCCCCAGGTAGGGTGATTTCAGTTGTGCAACTTACACTTCAGGGCTCTCCGTGTGACCAGGCAGAGGCTGGATGCCTCCAGTAACTGTTTTTTGCCTTGTTTTGTTCTCTGCTGTTTCCCTCTCTGCACTGCTTTTCCCTGTGAATCCTCCTTCCATCAATAACCTGCACACAAGGCTGGATATGGTGGCTCAAGCCTTTAATCCCAACACTTTGGGAGGCCGAGGCAGGCAGATCACCTGAGGTCAGGGGTTTGAGACCAGCCTGGCCAACATGGTGAAACCCCGTCTCTACTAAAAATACGAAAACATTAGCGGGGTATGGTGATGCGTGCCTATAATTCTATCTACTTGGGAGGCCGAGGCAGGAGAATGACTTGAACCTGGGAGGCAGAGGTTGCAGTGCACAGAGATCATACACTGCACTCTAGCCTGGGCAGCAGAGTGAGACTCCGTCTCAAAAATATTTTCTTTTTAATTTTTTTTTTTTTTTGAGACAGAGTCTCACTCTGTCACCCAGGCTGGAGTACAATGACACAATCTCAGCTCACTGCAACCTCTGCCTCCTGGGTTCAAGCAATTCTCCTGCCTCAGCCTCCCAAGTAGCCAGGATTACAGGCACATAACACCATGCCCGGCTGATTTTCGTATTTTTAGTAGAGACAGAGTTTCCCCATGTTGGCCAGGCTGGTCTTGAACTCCTGAGCTCAGATGATCCACCCACCTCAGCCTCCCAAAGTGCTGGGATTAGAGGTGTGAGCCACTGTGCCTGGCTCAAAAATAAACAAATAAATAACCTGCACACAAATCCCCATCTCAGGCTCTGCTTCCGGGGAGCCCAATCTAAGACAGACACCGCAGTGAGGCTGGAAAGTGTATATTCCAGGTGACTTCTTGGGGAGCTGGGGCTGCCTGTCCTCCGTTCATCAGTAATAAATCTGAAAGGCTGTCTAGCACCCAGAAGCCACTGTCCTGCTGCAGTCCTGTGGCCTGGCTGTAGCGTCAGCAGCCCTGGGCCATCCTGTCTTTCAGGCTGAGCCCCTCCTGGATGCCTGCAGACTCAGAGGATTTTGGCCAAGGTCCTTAACCCTCCTCCAGAGCAACACCTCCACGTTGCTGTTGAACAGCTCGTTTCTGCAGTCCCGGGGAGAGGTCATCCGAATCAGAGCCACAGGTGCGAAACCTCCCTTTTATCTCCTCTCAGGGAACCCAGATAAACCCAGAAACACTCAGATATTGGGTGTCAGTTTATTTTTCTTTTAAATATTGAAATAGAGAGATGTGATCTCACTATGTTGCCCAGTCTGGTCCTGAACTCCTGGAGCCAAACGATCCTCCTGTCCCAGCCTCCTGAAGTGCTGGGATGGCAGCTGTGAGTCACCATACCCAGCCAGGGCATCAGCTTAGTGCAGAGGCCACAGCGCAGGCTCTGGTGTAAATCGCACCACTTCCGCTTTCTACGTGGGAGACTCTAGGCAGAGGATTTCGCCTCTCTATGCCTCAGTTTCCTGACATATAAACTGGGATAATCGAAATGCCTGCCTCAGAATGGTTATTTTGCAGGATGAATGAGATAACCCCAGTGTTACAAGCAGGTCATTCTGGGGTCGTGCAACCTGTACACCCTGCCAGGATTGTTCAGGGCTTCTCGTTTAAAACAAGCCCTGTGTGAGAAACATAGATTCTCAAACACACAAACAATGGAGGTGATGATTCTTTTTAGGAAGGATTGCTTTGCTTCCATTTTTCCCGAAGTGGCCCACAGACCATGCACATCAGGATAAACAAGGAATTAGTTAAACATGCACACTCTTGGGTCCACCCCAAACTTTCCGAATTGGGTCTAGGCCAAGGAATGAGTTTTTATGGGTTCAAATTCTCTTTATGCCCAGCTCTTCCAGGCATGCGCTCTCTGAAAATGTAGGTGGCTACTCCAGGTGATGTGGGATGTGACTGCAGGTCCACTCGTGGCTCTTAACAGTGATCTCGGCGCCTGGGAAGAGTGTGGGCTTCGGGGTGGGCTCAGCCTGTTTCCGGATCCTGGTTCTGGTCTTTCCTGGCTCTGTGATCTTGAGCATTTTCCCAGCATACTCCCACCTCACAAGATCTTTGTGCGGAAGCTATTATCATCAGCCTCATTCTACAGATGAGGAACTGACTCTCAAAAAGGTCAAGTTCTCAGCCCGGGTCCAGTGGCTTATGCCTGTAATCCCAGCACTTTGGGAGGCTGAGGCGGGAGGATCCCTTGAGGCCAGGAGTTCAAGACCAGCCCTGGCAACAGAGCGAGACCCTGTCTCTACAAAAATTAGAAAATTAGCCAGCCGTAATGGTGTACTCCTGTGGTTCTAGCTGACTCGAGAGGCCAAGGCAGTGGAATCACTTAAGTGTAGGAGTTCAAGGCTATAGTAAGTTATGATTGCACCACTGGACTCTAGCCTAGGTGACAGTGCAAGACCCTATCTCTAAAAAGAAAAAAAATTAGGAAAACAAAATTGGAAAAGAAAAGGTCAAGTCTGAGGTCACTCGGTTAACAAATGGCAGAACTAAAATTCAAGCTCAGGTCTGTCTAATTATCTTCCCCTATCTCTGCCCAGTTTCTCAAAGTGAGGCCCTGGGATCCCTTGCATCAGGGGGAGTTGTTTTGGGGTTTCATTGTTTAATTGTTAGATATGTACATTTCTGGGCTCTTCCCAGATCCAGAGATGTCTGAAGTTCTGGGTTTGAAGTAGAGCCCAAGAATCTTTGTGTTTAATGAGCTCAGGGGGCAATCTAACAGCAGGATGGAGTTTGTGGGCCCCACGTGGCCCCCTGAACATGATCTCTCTTTACTCCCAGCACTGACCAGGCATGCCTATGGGGAGGACACCTATGTGATCAGCACTGTGCCTCCCCGTGAGGTGCCTGCCTGCACTATTGCCCCAGAGGAGGGCACCGTTCTGACGAGCTTTGCCATCTTCTGCAACGCCTCCACAGCCCTGGGACCCCTGGAGTTCTGCTTCTGTCTGGAATCAGGTACCGGCTGAAGACTCTGCTCTTCCCTCAGCTCCTGGGCTCATCTTCTTGCAGAACAGGGGCCTGTTCTCTCTGGGAGCTGCAAAGAATATGTTCCGTGTGCGAGAGAGGTTGGTAGGATGAGGGCTCCCCTAAACCTCAACCCCTAGCCTCAAGACACTGACTCAGCCATCAGTCCACAGAGACATGAGAAGAAGGTCTCATCAATAGCTCTTCCACAACTGGAAGCCAAAATCCATTGCCCTGGCGTGGGGGACAGTGATGGAGTGAAATGAACGAGGATACCCAAAAGTATGACCATGTGGGGCCACCACCAAGACACCATCCCCCAACCCCTGCTCACCACACACACACACACACACACACACACACACACACACACACACACACACACACACACACACACACACTTGTAGTAGCTGGGACTCCCAGAAGCCTGGAGCTATTCAGGAAGACAGAGATGGGTCTGGTTAACAGAATCTTCAACAATTTCATTGACGCTGCTTTGCAAGCAGCCCCAGGGAATGGGTGATAATTGCAGGACTAGCTGAACTGAAAGAACATTTTTGCAAAGGTGTACAGGTGACAAACATGGAAGACCCCATCCACAATGCATAAAACCCTACACAGTCTCCCTGCTTTCACCCTAACCACTCACACCCCAGGACAGCCACAGGGCATTAGCAGGAGAGATGAGGGAGCCACTCACATTGCATTTATTCTTCCATTTGGAGAGTGATTGGTCCTTGGAGGGCTCATCTGAGCCCTGATCTCCACCCACTGGGCTTTGGCTTCTTCTTTTTTTTTTTTTTTTTTTGAGACAGAGTTTTGCCTTGTTGCCAAGGCTGGAGTGTGGTGGCACGATCTCGGCCCACTGCAACCTCAGCCTCCCGGGTTCAAGCGATTCTCTTGCCTCAGCTTCCCGAGTAGCTGAGATTACAGGTGCCCGCCACCACACCCGGCTAATTTTTGTATTTTTAGTAGAGATGGGGTTTCACTATGTTAGCCCGGCTAGTCTCAAACTCCTGACCTCAGGTGATCTGCCTGCCTCGGCCTCCCAAAGTGCTGGGATTACAGATGTAAGCCACACGCCCGGGAGAGCTTTGTCATTCTGTGCTCTGAAAATGCTCTAATCAGATTGTAAATTTCCACCAAAGTCAGCCACCAGTAGTGTTGCCAGGATGGTCCCCCAAATCCAGCATCAAACATCACAACGGCATAAACACTACACCTTGATTAGGGAAAGTGCACGTCAGCTATTGTAATACCTAAGAGAGTGTAGTTTTCACGAGCGCCCTGTCTAATAGATGTGGAAATGCATCACCGTTAAGAGGGCTGTGAATGGGGCTGAGTCTGAAAGGAAAAAGTTCAAGCAAGGTAAGTGGATGTTATTTCAAACTGCGTCCCGCCAGAGGGAAAGGCCAGGACAGCTGCCCTAATTCCAATAGGCTATTCCTCTTTAGTACCTCTCCCCCATCATCCAAGTGAGCACGGAGGCAGGAAAGTGTGGCTACATAAAAACGAGTCCCAGGCTGGGCGTGGTGGCTCATGTCAGTCATCCCAGGAACTTTGGGAGGCTAAGGTGGGTGGATCACCTGAGGTCAGGAGTTCGAGACCTAATTTTTACTTTTTTTTGTAGAAACAACGTCTTCCTAATTTGCCCAGGCTGGTCTTGAACTCCTCGCCCCTGAGCTAAGTTTTAAGTTGTCATTGTTGCTCCTCCTCCTCCTCCTCCTTCTTTTTCTTCCTCTTATAATTTGGTTTACCACCTTGACTTTTTTTAAAAAAAAAACTGTAAATGGGATGTTTTTCCTGCAATTTTTTATGGATTTTAGTAAAATTTTTCCAAAGTTACAGCAACCTGCAGTTGCTTAGAGAAGACAGTGAATCAGCATACGTGACTGTCTCATACTTGAAAGTGTGGAATCCCGAGAGCCTACCATGCCTTCAAGAGCTGTGGCTTTTGTGTCCCTGTCACCAGCCTCTACCTGAGTGGGTTGCAGTCTACCTGGGGCTTAGCGATGCCCCCTCATCGGTCAATTTCTGGTTTTGCCAGGTTCCTGCCTACACTGTGGCCCTGAACCTGCCCTCCCATCAGTGTATCTGCCACTTGGAGAGGAGAACAATGACTTTGTGCTGACAGTAGTTATTTCTGCCACCAATCGTGCAGGGGACACGCAGCAGACCCAGGCCATGGCTAAGGTAGGTGGTGGCAGTGGTCACTGTTTCTTTACTGAGAAAAATTCTCCACCCATATGAACCTCACTAAAAGGATGGCCGGATGGAAGATAGCCAGGGGCATAGCCAGATAAGTCAGTGATTCATCCATTCCTTCCACAAATATTTACAGAGCATCTACCCTGGGCCACGTCCTGGGGGTATAGCCAGGGACACAACAGACATGGTCTCTACCTTTGTAGATGTTATGATTTAGTGGCCAGAATAGGGGGAGGGTCCTGGGAGCTGGTGGGTGGGTGAGGGGGGTTGGAGAATGACTCTGGCATGAGTTAGGCCAGCACCTTCAGAGAGCTCAGAAGAAGTAGGACCAAGATTAGCCAACAAGGACTCAAGGAAGAGCCTGGATAAGATTCCAAGAAGATTTCAAGCGTCAGAGGCCAGGTGGGGGTGGAAGAGGTTGAGACCAAGAGAGGAGGGCGGCCAGTGGTAGAGCAATGACTTGCGCCAGGCTGGAGCCAACCAAGGCTTGGTTTGGGTGGCTGTCAGCTGCCTGGTGCGAGCAGGTCTGGGTGCCCTCCAGCCTCAGGAAGTGCTCGAGAGCCCACAGGCCAGGCCAAAGGCATCCAAGCCTCTCTGACCCCACATGAAGACCCCTGACTTCAGAGGCCAGCTTCTTCCTAGCAGGTTCTGAGCATATTTCTGATTTCCTAACAGGTGGCACTCGGAGACACATGTGTTGAGGATGTAGCATTCCAGGCTGCCGTGTCAGAGAAAATCCCCACAGCTCTGCAAGGCGAGGGTGGCCCCGAGCAGCTCCTCCAGCTGGCCAAGGCTGTGTCCTCCATGCTGAACCAAGAGCATGAAAGCCAGGGCTCAGGACAGTCACTGAGCATAGACGTCAGACAGAAGGTACCCGTGGGAAGCTGGGGGGCTCCTTTCATTCCCTTCCTCTGGGGCCCCAGGGTCTGCGTGCGGCCATTTGGGCTGTGGATCAAGGTTCATGGATCAGGGGAGAAACCTGTGGTGTCTCCCAAGCGGCTGACACCACCTCCCTCTCTGGTCTTTTGGGTGAGTGACATAAAGTGAAGAAAATGCCTTCTTCCTTGGTAACCTGCTTTCTCGGCTGGCCCTCATGGAGGCACAGGCCTCTGGGATGGGGGGAGTTTAGAACACATCATCCCCTGCTTTTCATGTTTCAGATGACAAGGCAGAGCCCCAGAGCAGAAAGGGGACTGTCCTCGGTCACATGGGTAGCGGTTTGGAGTTGGACCACAGATGGCGTCCCGGCTTTGTCACTTACCATTCGCATTGTCACAGGCCAGGGACCAAACCTCTCTAAGTCTCAGTTTCCCCATATAGAAGAATACTAGTCTCCTCATACAATTGTAGTAAGAGTTAAATAAGAATTACGATCACTGCAACTAAAAAACTAGATAAGACCGTCAACATTCAATCAGTTTTAATCTACAAAAATGGCCGTTCCATTGTTACAACCTAGTATGATAAACTATTGCAGAACGTATGATTGTGTCCACTCCCAGCATGTGCCACATGAGTTTGTGTTCGTGTGTGTGCATGCACACACCCACACACACACCCCTGTGGGCACGGAGAAGAGAAGAAAGACTTCTCTTGGCTCCCTGAAAGGTTTGCAGGAAGGTACTGAGTGTGGTGCTAGAGGCCTGGTAGGTACTTAATACAGGAAGCCGGATTGTCATTGTGGTCGCTTACCGAGAGAAACTAACATGTATCAAGCACCTGCTATGAGCTGCCAGGCCCTGAATTAGGGCTTCATGGATCTGTAATCCCCACTACAACCCTGGGACGTAAATGGTGAGGCCTCCATCTATGTTACAGCTGAGGAAACAGAGGGTAAGAGAATCAGAGGTGCCTGCCTGTGTCCCTGTGTCTGGTAAGTGGTGAAGCCTGGGTTCAAACCCAGTTTAGAGGTTCCCCCTCCACCTCCAGCCCTCTTACCCCAGACCCCCTGCCACATACATACACATTAGCTCTCACACATCATACATACACACTTTCACACACACTCTTATGCACACACACACACTCAAACATGTTCACACACACACACTCACAAACACATTCACATACTCCCACACACATACTCACACACTTATACGCATATACATACATGCTCACACACTCACTCATATGACTCATACTCACACACATACACACACTGACAGATGCTCACACACACACACTCATATACACACATACACATGCACACACAAACTCACACACATGCTCACACACATACACTGACACGCTGTCACACACACACATACTCCCACACACAATTATGCTTTCACACATACACATACATACACACTCACACACTTTCACACACACACAGCTCTCATTCTTGGTCACATTCACTCTGAGAAGTACCAATGGGAAGCTTCCCCTGGACATCCTGTGGTCCCCAAGCACACAGACCACACAGCCTAACCCAAGGTCTCCCCATGAAATGCCCGGGGCCTGGCACAAGACAGATGTCAAACTCTCACTGGGAAGCTGAGAAGATGTTAACAAGGGCTCTGTTGAGACAGGTGTGTGCAGGGCTTAGGGAACAAACTAGACAGCGTGGAGGACCCCAGAGGCCCGGCCTGCCGTGAGCAGGATCCAGGGGGCGGCTGCCCACAGAGGGACTCTCTGGTAGGAGCTGTGGCTTTTGAAGAATGAGGCGGCCAGCCCCCGGTGACCTGGCCGAGGGCATCAGGAGAATGACCCCTCCCAGCTCTCTCTCCTCCTGCCATCTCGTCCCCTGCTGGGCTCCTGCTGGGTGAGTCCATTTGCCGGAGGGTCCAGAGCCGGTGACATCTTTACCCAGGGTAGGTGACAAACGATGGGGTCAGGGCCTGCAGAAGCAAATGTGAGATTACCCATTATCTGAGTTTCCCTTCTGGAATATTCTGCAAAGAGTCTCCTGCCACACTGACCTATTCTTTCCTCAACCCAAGACACAGCCGGGATGGAGGCCTGGCTGTCCCTGGAATGGATGGCAGATGCACTCATACTTGGAAGCTTCGGGAAAGCCTGTCAGGCTGAGCCAGGTGTGAGCAACAGGCCACGGTGTCTCTGCCCCATCAAAAGTGGCTGCTGCTTAAATCTAAGTCATTATTAAAATTAAATAAAGTTACAAATGACAGTTCTACTGGGCAGTGCTGAAATGATGTTCTTAGTTTTTCTCTGCTCCTACCAAAGCCCCTCACCAGCCCCTCATTAGTGCTTTGTAGTGTAGAAAGCACTTGACCCTGAAGCCCGTGGCCTGGCCCAAGACAGGAGTGGAGGGCTGGGTAGGGGGGTTCTTGTCCCCACTGCTGCAAAGGCACACAGGGACCCCAAGCCTCCGGTGAGACCTCCCATCCATGCCAGACCAACAGTCATCCAGTTTCTGAATTTCATGCCATTCTGGTCACAGGTGCCACGCTGAGACACAATTTATTTTCAAATAGTGCCAAATTCTACAGATTCAATTTGAAGATTTGGAGAAAGCTTGAGACATCCTATATATGTTTGCTAGGGCTGCTGTTACAAATGACCACAAAGATCATGGCTTAACGCAACACGCATTTATTCACTTTATAGTTCTGGAGGCCAGAAGTTTAAAATGGGGTCCACTAGGCCAAAAGTAAGGTGATGGCAGAGCTGCAAACCTGGAGGCTCCAGGAGAGAAGCCATTCCTTGCCTTTTCCGGGTTCTAGAGGCCGCCTGCACTCCTTGACTCCTATCTTCAAAGCCAGCCACGCAGCATCTCCAAAGTCCTCTCCTCTCCCTCTGTCTCTCCCCACCCTTACCTCATCCTCTTTCCCTCTCTTTTTCTTCCCCCTACCCCTGCCTCCATCACCCATCTCCTGTTCTGATTAACGTTCCTACCTCCCTCTTAGAAGGGTCGTATGATGACGTTGGTCCCACCTGTTCGGATAATCTCTCCATCTCAGAATTTTTAACTTAATTGCTTCTCCAAAATGACTTAGTCAAAGTGCCTTTTGCCACATTCAGTAACATATTCACAGGTTTCAGGGATGTGAATGTGGGCATCTTGAGGGGGCTGTTATCTGCCTAATCACACATCATACAAGGCAGACAGAGGTCTGCAGGGCTTTAGAAACCACCAGTGAGGCCAGGTGCGGTGGCTCACGCCTGTAATACCTGCACTTTGGAAGGCTGAGGCAGGTGGATCACTTGAGGTCAGAAGTTCAAGACCAGCCTGGCCAACATGGCAAAACCCTGTCTCTACTAAAAATACAAAAAATTAGCTGGTGATGGTGGTGCGCACCTGTAATCCCAGCTACTCAGGAGGCTGAGGCCCGAACCCAGGAGGCGGAGGTTGCAATGAGTCGAGATCATGCCAGTGTACTCCAGCCTGGGTGACAGAGCGAGACTCTGACTCAAAAAAAAAAAAAAAAAAGAAAGAAAAGAAAAAGAACCCCCTAATAACCCTGGTCACTCCTGACCCTGCATCTTCCTGACACTACTTCATGGAGCCACAGAATTACATTTCCTCTCCCTGCCTTTCTCCCCCGTGCCAAGGTCAGAGAGCATGTGCTGGGATCACTGTCTGCAGTCACCACCGGCTTGGAGGACGTGCAGAGGGTGCAGGAGCTGGCCGAGGTGCTGAGAGAGGTGACCTGCCGGAGTAAGGAACTCACACCCTCGGCCCAGGTGAGTAGCTCCCATCTACAGAGGCTAACATGGGACACGCTCCTTCACAGCAGGTGGGTGATCAGCATAGGTTGAAGGGGTCCCTTGGTCACAGGGCTATTTTGGGGCTGCCAAGACCTCTGTCATCTTCTTTCCAGGGGTCCTGCATGGGCGATTCATGGGAAGGTGCCCCTCCTGCTGCCCATGTATCTCACGCTAGGTGAGAGGGCCTGTTTGCCCAGACTCTCACTCCTGCATCTGCTGGTGAGCAAGTTGAGGGAGTAACTGAATCTCATTAATATTTGGGTGGCCAAATGTGAGTCCAGACACTGCTACTGACTGCCCATGTTCTCAACTTCAGTACATGCCAGCCTGACATCTGGCTGCCAGCTCCTGTGCTTCCTTATCCTTCTGGGGGTCTTCTCTGACCCTCAGAGCCTACTGTACCTGCCCATATGGCTGTGAATTCATGCAGTGTTCAGTGACTAATGAAGCTGGCTTATAAACACCCCAGCTACCTCACCCCTCTTGATGGATAATCCCAAGCAGGAGTGAATCCCAGGTAATGGGCTTGATCACACTCCTGTACTGGCTTCCACCCTTCCCTGTCTCACACCCCCTACTCCCCACAAGTGTTTCTTGGGATCATGTCCAAATAAATGACTTGCTCTCAAATTCTTGCTCTGGGATCTGCTTCTTGGAGAACTCAAATTAAAACACCGTGTTCCCAGGGTTCTGACAGCCAAGGGTTAAAAAAGAAGCCATAGGTGAGGCACGGTGGCTGACGTCTGTAATCCCAGCATTTTGGGAGGCAGAGGCAGGAGGATCGCTTGAGGCCAGGAGTTTGAGACCAGCCTGGGCAACATAGTGAGACCTCATCCCTTCAAAAACAAAACAAAGGCCGGGCACGGTGGCTCACGCCTGTAATCCCAGCACTTTGGGAGGCCGAGGCAGGTGGACTGCCTGAGGTCAGGAGTTTGAGACCAGCCTGGCCAACATAGTGAAACCCCATTTCTACTAAAAATACAAATATTAGCTGGGCGTGGTGGTGTGCGCCTGTAGTCCCAGCTACTCGGGAGGCTGAGGCAGGAGAATTGCTTCAACCCAGGAGGTGGGGGTTGCAGTGAGCCGAGATCGTGCCACTGCACTCCAGCCTGGGTGATAGAGACTCCATCTCAAAAAAACAAACAAACAAACAAAAACAAAGCAAAACAAAATTGGTTGGGCATCATGGTACACACCTGTAGTCCTAGCTACTTGGGAGGTTGAGGTGGGAGGATCAATTGAGCCCGGAAGGTCGAGGATGCAGTGAGCCATGATTGTGCCACTACACTCCAGCATGGCAGACAGAGCAAACCCTATGAAAAAAAATAACAATAAAAAGAAGCCCTAAAAACAGGGAAAGCGGGCCAGCACAGTGGCTCATGCCTGTAATCCCAGCACTTCAGGAGCCTGAGGCAGTAGGATCACTTGATCCGTAGAGTTCAAGCCCAGTCTGTGAAACATAGGGAAACCACATCTTTACAAAAAAAAAAAAAAAAAAAACAACACCTAAATACTGGCTTATACCTGTAGTCCCAGCTACTCAGGAGGCTGAGGCATAAGGGATACTTGAGCCCAGGAGTTCGAGGTTACAGTAAGCCATGCTTGCGCTACTGCACTCCAGCCTGGGCAACAGTAAGAATCTATCTCAAAAACAAACAAAAAAACAGAAGAGAAGAGAACTGTCCTGGCTTTGCCCCACGCACTCTGGTAGGAGGTTGTGCTCCTAAAATCTTCCAGCCTGAAGCCAGCAAGGCTGGTCTTGATTCTGGGGCTAATTCTTGATATGACACTTCCCATTTACACATCCATTTGCTAATCCATCTATTTACATGCATATACACTGTATATACATGGACCTGTACACATCCTCCACTCTATCCTTCTATCCATTCATGCATGCATTAATTTCATCATTCATTTAACAAATGCTTCCTGAATGTCAAGTATGTGCCAGGTAATGTGCAACGCATTGAGAATTCAGCAGCAAATCATGTAGACATGGCATCTGCCATTACGGTCCTTTCAGATTACTGAGACAGCCAGACATTAGACAAATAATTTCAAAAATACATAGAAAACTACAAAATTTGAATATGTACTGAATCCATCCGCCCACCCACCCACGCAACCATCCACCTATTCATTCATCTACCATCCACCCATCTATTCATCCATCATTCATCCATCCTCCATCCATTCATCTTCCACCCATTCATCCATCCACCTGTCATCCATCCATCTATCCACCCACTTATCCATCCTTCATTCTCCATCCATCCACCCCCCCACCATTCATCCATCCACCCACCATCCACCCATCCATCCATCTACCATCCATCCACCCACCCATCCATCCATCCATTCATCACCCATTCATCCTCCATCCACCCATTCATTCATTCATCCTCCATCCATCCATTTTCCACCCATCCACCTATCATCCATACATCCATTTATCAAACTGCCTATCCACCCTTCATTTATCCATCCATCCATCCATCCATCCATCCATCCATCCATCCATCCGTCCCCTAGTCATTGAATGTTCTTGAAGACCTGCTATGTGCTGGGCACTGTGCAGGGCGTTCTGGGAAGGATTCAGAGGCAGACCAGGCTACTCTCCTAGAGGATCTCAGAGGACTGTAAGGTGGGAGGCCCTGGTCTCAAGCCGGAGATACAGGGAGCTCGTGTGCCAGGTCTAGCCCAGCTCTTTCCTGGCTTGTTCCCCTCCTTGCTTCCCTTGTCCCTTGAATGACACAGGAATGGTCTATCTTAAGCAGAGGCTCACATCGCTTTTCCTTATTTGGGTGAACCCAGTGGGAGGCCAGCTTGGCTCTACAGCATGCCAGTGAGGCCCTGTTGACAGTGAGTGCCAAGGCCCGCCCTGAGGACCAGAGGCGCCAGGCAGCCACCAGGGACCTGTTTCAGGCTGTGGGCAGTGTGCTGGAAGCTTCCCTGAGCAACAGACCAGAAGAGCCTGCGGAGGCCAGCAGCAGCCAGGTGGGTGTCCAGGCCAGATGCAGACCTCACACACACTGAATGCTTAGTCACATCAGCTTTTCTAGGTGGAACTTTCCCCCCCCATCTTGCAGATGAGGAAAGTGCGGCACAGAGGTTAAGGTGTTGCCCTGGGAGGTGGAAGAAAATTTCCAGAGAGCATGCCGGGCGCGGTGGCTCAAGCCTGTAATCCCAGCACTTTGGGAGGCGAAGGCAGGAGGATCACCTGAGGTCAGGAGTTCAAGACCAGCCTCAACATGGAGAAACCCCGTCTCTACTAAAAATACAAAATTAGCCGGGCGTGATGGCCGGCGCCTGTAATCCCAGCTACTCGGGAGGCTGAGGCTGCAGAATTGCTTGAACCTGGGAGGCGGAGGTTGCAGTGAGCCAAGATCGCGCCATTGCACTCCAGCCTGGGCAACAAGAGTGAAACTCCTTCTCAAAAAAAAAAAAAGAAAGAAAAAAAGAGAAAATTTCCAGAGAGCAGGGCTTCTGGGAGGCAGTGTGGAGTGGTGGCCAAATCACAGGCTCTGGAATGAGACGGTCTGAGTTTGAATCCTGCCTCTGTCGCTTAGGAGGCTTGTGACCTGGGCAAGTTACAGAGCTTACCTAAGCCTCATTTCCTTATGTGTAAATCAAGGCACTCTGCCTCATCCCAAATAAGCTGCCAACTGGAGAGATCATATGGACCCACTAGCAGGTCTGGGTAAACTTGTGGCTCATTTTACCAAGAACACAGAAGAGAGGCAGCTGCCCAGAGTAAGAATAGGTGTAGCACTGTGTCACGTGGCCCCAGCATCCTGGTGGGGACATAGCCTCCTAGATGGCATCATGACAGAGCCACAAAACCCATTTCTTGCTGTTGCATGGTTCTTGATCACATGGGGCCATCACCTCCATTCAGGAAGAACTGAAAGACACACAACACGCAAAGATGCGTGGATGCACACACGCACATGCTCAGACACACTCAATCTCCACAAACACACACAAAAACACATGGCCACACTCACACTCATGTGCAAGCTCACACACACACTGAGAGGACCTCATACTCACACGGCCTCAAGCACACACTTTTGCACACAGATGCACATTTACACACACGCATCTTCACACAGGGCCATGCAGTCACATGCACTCACATACTCACAGACCCTCACATATGGTTGCACACTCCATAATCATGCAGTCACCTGTGCACACTCACACACTCAAACACTGTACCCACACACGCTCAGGACCACACTCACATTCGCTCACACATACACACGCTCAAACACTGACATTCACATGCAGTGATGTCACCCTCACACTGTGTGTTCACGTGTGTGCGCACATGCACACATACACTCACACACACTCACACCCACACGATCTGTGCCCCAACAGGAATTATGTGCAAACATCCAGCCCTTCCTGGGTCCCCGCACCAGCCGTGGTGTCAGGATGCATCTCATCTGGGGGTTGGGACGGGTGGGGAGCAGATTCGAAGCCCAGGTGACCTGGTGAAATGGCCTCGCTCTCAGCTGTCCATTTCCCCTGGAACAAGCCTTAGGGTGCTGGCAGATGTCAGCAGCCCAGACAGCCACATTGTCTGACAGCCCAGCACACGGGCTCTGTAGCCATATGCTTTGCCGTGAGTCCTGGCTCTTCCCCTTATCAATTTGTGACCTCCCACAGCCTCCTACCCTCTCTGTGCCTCCATCCCCCATCTGTCCAATGGGGCTAGTGAAGCCCCTGCCACACCGAGTTACTGTGAGGATGGAATGGGCTCACAAAAGCCAGTCTGGAAGCTTTATGAGTACTGTTCTTGGGCCACCTCCGAGGCAGTCTTACTCCCTCCTCTCTGTACTCTCCCGATCCCTCCTGAAGGTCCCACATTGGCCTGGTGACAGTAACCAAAGATGGTGTATGGCAGCAGGTCCATAGCAACATCTTCCTGCCTCCTTTTTCAGATTGCCACAGTGCTGCGGCTGCTTCGAGTCATGGAGCATGTGCAGACCACCCTCCTGCTGGGAAAACTGCCAGGGGGCCTTCCAGCCATGCTGGCCACCCCCTCCATCTCTGTGTACACAAACAGGTACAAACCAGCTGCGTTACAGGTCCCCAAGAAAGCTCATCCCCTAACCTGGTTCATTCCACACCGGCACTCCAAAGCCCTGTGCTAGGCAGAGCTCAGGAGACCAGCCTTGGAGCTAGAGAAGTGATGGGACCTAGAGCTGGGAAGGGCTTCCCACCGAGAGAAGGCCCCCTTGTCACCATGTTGAGTGTTTGCACAGCACAGGAAGGGAGGCATGGAGTGCCAAGCCCAGTGTTAGATCCACCTGAAGGAGTCCTGAGAGACGGTCACATGGCAGCTGTGCAGGCCAGGGGGCTGAATGAATGGGACTAGCCTGCTGTTAACCATGCTGTGCATGTGTCTGACCAGCCACTGCTCCTTGGGCCTGCAGGGACTCAAGATCCTCTTACTTTTGGCGTGCGCGCGCACACACAAACACACACACACACAGAGGGCTCATCTCTCAGTGAGCACTGATGCCATACCTGGGATGCTCCACACCTTCCATTCCTCCACCTGACAAGCAGGAGCTGGACAATGCTGCTGGCAACACTGGGACCCTCTGCCCCAAGCCTCAGTTCCTCCTGCCAGGGTTTCCCTCTTAGATCTCACAGACAGTTTCCCAAAGCAGTATCCTGATTAGAGGAACGATCTGAAGTGGGGTCCCCAACAAGATCAGAAAGGGGCAAGGTCAAAGACCAGAAAAGATGGGGCGGGGTTAAGACATGACGTCAGAGGTCCAGGTGGGAAGGGGAGATAACCCTGGAGAAAAACCTGCATCCAAGCTCATTTATTCATTCAACGAAAATACTGATGGACTACCTGTTATATGCCAGGCGCTGCTGTAGACATTGGGGATACAGTAGTAAACCAGGCTGGCAAAGCCCCACCCTCATGGAGCCTCCAGTCTAGCTGCCTCTTGTGCTGCTTCTGCTGAAACAAACATGCTGAACCACCTATGGGAATCAAAACACACCCCCACTCTGATGGTGAAGCTGGGCTCCCAGTAGTGCAGGAGGTGTGAGGGCTCCCTCGAACACTGACTTTCTCCTCCCTCCCCTGCCACCTCTGTCCTCACCTTGTGGCCAGAATACAACCCTGGAGTTGGCAAGGCTCCTCCCTGCGCCCTGATGCCGCAGACTCTGCAACCTTCATGCTGCCCGCTGCCTCCTCCCTCAGCTCTCTGGAGGGCGGCCAGGAGCCCGTGGATATAAAGGTAATAACGGTAGTAGCGTCCTTGGGGACAGCCTTTACAGTTTGCAGAGCACTTTCACGTGCATTTCCTTATTTGTGTTTAGTATGATGATGCCCGCTGTACCAGTGAGGTTCAATGATTTTCCCAAAGCCACAAGTAAGTGGCTCTGCCGGCCTTCAGACCCACACCTCTGGGCTCCCAGATTTACCCTCTTTCCATTGTGCTACAAAATTTCTCCAACAGCCTTGATTCAGGTAGTCACTGGAAATAAAGCTCTTCAGCTTAGTGTCATAACTTGGAAATGGCCAACCCAGGCTCTCTTCCATCCGCAAATTAAAGCACGTCTAACTGTGTACTCCCTGAGCTCTAGTGAAAGCAAACATCTTTCTCTTAAAGACTTACTGGCTTTTGGGGAAGAAAGACTTGGATGGGGAGGCTGAGGAGAACAGATCACCTGAGGCCAGGAGTTCGAGACCAGCCTGGCCAACATGGTGAAACCCCATTTCTACTAAAAATACAAAATTAGCCGGGCATGGTGGTGCACACCTGTAATCCCAGCTACTCAGGAGGCTGAGGCAGGGGAATGGCTTGAACCCGGAAGGCAGAGGTTGCAGTGAGCAGAGATTGTGCCATTACACTCCAGCCTGAGTGACAGAGCGAGACTGTGTCAAAAAAAAAAAAAAAAAAAGACTTGGATGGTTTTACATTCCAGTCATTGCTCAGCCCAAGCAAGTCTGATATGGGTCCTCTAGCGCAGGTTCTCTGCGGCCTCAGCCCTGAGGCTGGAAACATGCCAGGGGAAGCAGCAGCAGCCGAAGGCAGGCCCCACCCGCCCCACACGCCAGGGCTACTTCTCCTTGAGTCTTAGGACCTTGTCTTTCACCCTCCAGCTTCTCAGGGGCCTTGGCCAACACTCCTTGCTCTTGGTTTCAGATCATGAGTTTCCCAAAGAGCCCCTTTCCAGCCCGAAGCCACTTTGATGTCAGCGGGACTGTCGGTGGCCTCCGTGTGACCAGCCCTAGTGGTCAACTCATACCTGTGAAGAATCTGTCGGAGAATATCGAGGTAGAAGTTTGGGGTGTCGTCAAAAGTTAGGTGGGCCCAGGCTGGAGTTCAGTGGCATGATCTCAGCTCACTGCAACTTCTGCCTCCTGGGCTCAAGCGATCCTCCCACCTTAGCCTCCCAAGTAGCTGGGGCAACAGGTGCACGCCACCACATCCAGTTGATTTTTTTTTTTTAAGTTTTGGTAGCAACAAGTTCTCACTATATTGCCCAGGCTGGTCTTAAACTCCTGGGCTCAAGCAGTCCTCCCACCTTGGCCTCCCAAAGTGCCAGGATTATAGGTGTGAGCCACTGCACCTGGCCACATTTCTGTTTTTTTTTTTTTTTTTTTTTTTGAGATGGAGTTTTGCTCTTGTTGCCCAGATTAGAGTGCGATGGCGAGATCTCGGCTCACTGCAAACTCTGTCTCCTGGGTTCGAGTGATTCTCCTGCCTCAGCCTCCCGAGTAGCTGGATTACAAGCATGCGCCACCATGCCCGGCTAATTTTTTGTATTTTTATTAGAGACGGGGTTTCACCATGTTGGTCAGGCTGGTCTTGAACTCTCGACCTCAGGTGATCCACCTGCCTCGGCCTCCCAGAGTGCTGGGATTACAGGCATGAGCCACCACGCCCAGCCTCTGTCTTCTTTTTCAACTTGGTTGAAATTGAAAGTTGGCCAATTATTTTTTTTAAAAAATGGTTAGAGAAGAGAATTTTCCAAAATGATCCTTACCAGCTGGTCCTGGTAGTTCACACTTTGGGACTGGTAGTCCCAGCACTTTGAGAGATCAAGGTGGGAGGATCACTAGAGACCAGGAGTTCAAGACCAGCCTCGGCAACAATGTGCAACACCATCTGTACAAAAAATACAAAAATTAGTCAGGTGTGATGGCATGCACCTGTGGTCCTAGCTACTCAGGAGGCTGAGGCAGAAGGATTGCTTAAGCCCAGGAGGTCGAGGCTGCAGTGAACCAAGATTGGTTTAAAAAATAACAGCAACAGGCTGGGCGCACTGGCGCATGCCTGTAATCCCAGCACTTTGGGAGGCTGAGGCGAGTGGATCACCAGGTCAGGAGATCAAGACCATCCCGGCCACCGTGGCGAAACCCTGTCTATACTAAAAAAAATACAAAAATTAGCTGAGTGTGGTAGTGCGGGCCTGTAATCCCAGCTACTTGGGAGGCTAAGGCAGGAGAATGGCCGGAACCCGGGAGGCGGAGATTACAGTGAGCCAAGATCGTGCCACTGCACTCCAGCCTGGCGACAGAGTGAGAATCCATCTCAAAAACAAAAAACAAAAGAACAACAAACAAAAAAAGGTCCTTACCCTAGCTTAATCATTGTACTTAACTTAAAACTACAAATGCATGTTCATTCACCAATCCTTGGGTATATAACCAGAGTTTTCCTGGTTATATAAATCTGTTGTTTGGAATTTTAGTTATCTTCGTTACATAAACCATTCCCACTACATAGCCTCTAAAATGTCCAGTTAGGCTGGGCACAAGGGCTTACACCTGCAATCCCAACACTTTGGGAGGCTAAGGCGAGTCGATCACCTGAGATCAGGAGTTTGAGACCAGCCTGGCCAACAGTAAAACAGTTTGCATAGCACTTTCTCGTGCATTTGCTCATTTGTGTTCAGTAAAACTCCGTCTCTACTAAAAACACAAAACTGGCTGGGCGTGATGGCAGGCACCTGTAGTCCCAGCTACTCAGAAGGCTGAGGCTGGAGAATCACTTGAACTTGGGAGGCAGAGTTTGCAGTGAGCCATGATCGCACCGTTGCACTCCAGCCTGGGCAACAGAGCAAGACTCCATCTCAAAAAAATAAATAAAAAATAAAATGTCCAGTTAGATTTTCTTTAAACAAAAACGTAAACATACCATGGTGCAACCTAAATACATTTTTTCAAAATTTTAATGATTCTATTCTAGTCTTCTACAATTTTCTCATCAATGCCTAATTCAATAACAATTTTAGTGATGTCTGTGTTCTCATCCCTGGAGCCTGTGAATATGTCACCTTAAATGCAAAAGGGAGGTCAGGTGTGGTAGCTCACACCTGTAATCCCATCACTTTGGGAGGCTAAAGTGGGAGGATCACATGAGCCCGAGACTTCAAGGTTATAGTGAGCTTTGGTCATGCCATTGCACTCCAGCCTGGGTAACAGAGCCAGGCCCTGTCTAAAAACAAAAACCCAACAAAACTGCAAAAGGGATTTTGCAGATGTGCTTGAGTCTTGCCCATCCTGAGCTGGGGAGATTATCCTGGGTTATCTGGTGGGCTCCGCGTCTTCCCAGGGGTCCTTATAAAAGGGAGGCAGAAAGGGAGGTGACTCCAGAAGACAAAAAGGTGACTTGATGCCAGAAGCAAGAGGCTGGAGTAATGCGAGGAAGGGGCCATGAGCCAAGGAATGCAGGCGGCCACCAGAAGCTGAAAAAGGCAGGGAAGTATGTTCTCCCCTAGCCCTGGGAAACTGATTTTGCACTTCCAGCCTTTAGAACTAAAAGATAACAACTGTATATTGTCTTAAGCTTCCCACAGTGGTCATTTGTGATAGAAGCCTTAGGAAACTAATACAATGAGCAAAGCCCGGCCTGGATTTCTGTTCCCAGGTGCTCAGGCCACACAGCTCTACACAGCAGTCCTGATGCCCACGGGCTGGCATTGCCTTCCTGGCACACCTTCAATAGGATTGTTTCTGATCACAGATCCTGCTGCCCCGGCATTCACAAAGACACAGCCAGCCGACCGTGTTGAACCTGACCAGTCCTGAAGCTTTGTGGGTGAACGTGACTTCAGGGGAGGCAACCTTGGGGATCCAGCTGCACTGGAGACCAGACATTGCACTCACGCTTAGCCTGGGCTATGGCTACCACCCCAACAAGAGCAGCTACGATGCCCAAACTCACCTCGTACCAATGGTGGCTCCAGGTAGGCCTGTGACCATTTCCTGAGCTGCTGCCTGGGGTATGATCAGCTTCACTTGGAAATCAGAAGCCACAGGAAGAAAAGCAAAGAAAAAAACCACCCCACACATTCAGTGGCTTATTTTTTATTGGTGTTACTATTTGCCAACATTAGGTGAGCACTTACTATATGCCCCAAAGAAGTTTACAAGCTCATATAGGACTGACCTCATTGCAATCCTCATGACAACCCTTGGCAGGGGGAACTATTGAAATTTCCACTTTCAGCCAAGTGTGGTGGCTCACGCCTGTAATCCTAGCATTTTGGGAGGCCAAGCCGGGCAGATCACTTGAGGTCAGGAGTTCAAGACCAGCCTGGCCAACATGGCGAAACCCCATATCTACTGAAAATACAAAAAGTAGCTGGGCGAGGTGGTGCACACCTGTAATCCCAGGTACTCAGGAGGCTGAGGCACAAGAATAGCTTGAACCCAGGAGGCAGAGGTTGCAGTGAGCTGAGATCACACCACTGCACTCCACCCTGGATGACAAAGCGAGACTCTGTCTCAAAAAAAAAAAAAAAATCTCTACTTTCCAGATAAGAACAAAGAGGTTAAGGAAAAGGAACTGGTCTGAGCTCATACAGCCAATAAGGGGCAGAATCTGTGTTTGAGCCCTTGTCTGCCTGAGTCAGCTGTGCACCCTGACTGGGGAGTGCCCCTTCTTCTATGCTCCTGGTCTCAGGAGGAGAGAGTGCTTGTAGGACATCAGGGGTGGGGGAAAACCGGCAGGGTCTGCTTCCCTGCCAAGTGGCTCAGTCACCCTCTCCCATGATCTTAACGCCCATCTCAAGGAGGCTTCAGGCTGACCTGGAACCCCCTTTCCTACAGATGAGCTGCCCACGTGGATCCTGAGCCCACAGGACCTGCGTTTTGGAGAAGGGGTCTACTATTTGACTGTGGTCCCTGAGTCTGACCTGGAGCCAGCCCCCGGCAGGGACCTCACGGTTGGCATCACCACCTTCCTGTCTCACTGTGTGTTCTGGGATGAGGTCCAGGAGACTTGGGACGACTCAGGATGCCAGGTAAGGAGAGCGAAGTGAAGGAGATGAGGCAGCTTGGTGGGCTGTGCCCAGCTCATGTAGGGTTCCCTTTTGGTGCCTCTGGCACAGCATCTTGAGCCTCTCCGTGGGGCCTTTGCTGTTCCTGGTGCCTAGGATACCCGCCTCATCCTCGCTTCAGCCTAAGCATTGCTTCCTCGAGAAAACTGTTCTTAACTCCCTAAGTCAGATTTCCTATTGTGAACCCCCAGAGCACACACATCCAGAGCATCCAACCCCAGTGCTCCTCATCCATAGCGCTAAGCAGAGGGGTCATTTCACCTCTACGCATGAGATCATTTAAATGACGTCTGTCTCCCTCCATGCACTGGGAGCCCCCAGTGCAACAGGAACAATGTGCTTTGTTCATCACTGAGAACAAATGGTCATTGACCCAGGCGACGAATGACTCAGGAAGGCCTGCTGCCTCTAGGTTGTTAAGGGAGGCCAGGGTGTCATTTCCAAGAGAATGAACTCATAGCTCAGCCCTTAGTTCTGTGCCAGGTGCAGAGCTCCATGCTTTGCTTACATCGGCTCATCAGATCTGCACAATCATCTCCAAGACAGCTGTGACTCTCATTTTACAGGGGACAAAACAAAGGCTCAGGAAACTCAACTGACTTGTCCCAAATCTTACATGTAGGGCCAGGCACGGTGGCTCAAGCCTGTAATCCCAGCACTTTGGGAGGCCGAGGCGGGTGGATCACTTGAGGTCAGGAGTTCAAGAGCAGCCTGGCCAACATGGTGAAACCCCATTTCTACTAAAGATACAAAAATTAACCGGGTGTGGTGGTGGGCACCTGTAGTCCCAGCTACTCAGGAGGCTGAGGCAGGAGAATCGCTTGAACCTGGGAGGTGGAGGTTGCGGTGAGCCGAGATGATGCCACTGCACTCCAGCCTGGGCGACAGAGCAAGACTCTGTCTCAAACAAACAAACCATCTTCTTTACCCACCAGAAGGCCCTAGGGGGTGACTGTGAGCTCGCGGGGGATTGGGGGTGGCCATGTGGGTGTGAAGCACAGGCACAGATGGCAGCCCCTGCCCTGGTTCACTCCGGTCCCCTTGCTGCCCGGCCATGTTGTCCTGCACCACAAGGCACCACCTGTGTAAGTGCCATCACACCTTCTTTGTGCCACAATGCCAGCTTAGGACTCAAACCTGTGTCCTTCTCTTTTTCTTCTTTTTCTTCCTGTGGTTCCCCCAGGTTATTTTGCTTTTCGGCATAAGCTGACCAACTGTCCCGGGTTGCCCAGGACTGAAGGAGCTCCTGGGACTCAGGACTTTCTGTTTGAAAAGCAGGAAAGGCCCTGGCAAACTGGGATGAGTTAGTCACACCAGTGTCCTCTCAGCACCTAGCCTGTTGCTGGATGTAGAATTAGCACCCCACAAATATTTGTCCTGTGAATGAGCACCAGGTGCACCACGGGGGTGAATGCCAAATTTGTGATCCTGGTTGCCTATAGGGGAAGAGGGACAAAGGAGATCTCAAATTTACTTGCCATATATATGTATTTTTTTGAGACAGGGTCTCTGTCGCCCATGCTGGAGTACAGTGGCGTGATCTCAGCTCACTACAACCTCTGCCTCTGGGGTTCAAGCAATTCTTGTGCTTCAGCCTCCCAAGAAGCTCAGATTGCAGACGCGAATCACACTGTGGTACACGCCTGCAATCCCAGCACTTTGGGAGGCTGACGCAAGCAGATCACTTGAGATCAGCCTGTTTGAGACCTGCCTGGCCAACATGGCGAAACCCCGTCTCTACTGAAAATACCCAAATTAACCGGGTGTGGTGGCGCTTGCCTGTAATCTCAGCTTCTTGGGGGACACAGGCATGAGAATTGCTTCAACCCAGCAGGCAGAGGTTGCAGCAGTGAGCCAAGATTGTGTCACTGCACTCCAGCCTGGCCGACAGAGTGAGATCCCGTCTCAGAAGAAGAAAAAGAAAAAAAAAGGAAAGCAGACTGGCAACATATACACAGTTGTCCACTGAGAATGATGGACACAAAAATATAAATAATATTATCTCCATATTTTAATTAAATAAAAAATATTGGCCAAACACAGTGGCTCACTCCTGTAATCCCAGCACTTTAGGAGGCTGAGGCGGGCGGATCATGAGGTCAGCAGATTGAGACCATCCTGGCCAACATGGTGAAACCCCGTCTCAACTAAAAATACAAAAAAAAATAGCTGGGTGTGGTGGTGCATGCCTGTAGTCCCAGCTACTCGGGAGGCTGAGGCAGGAGAATTGCTTGAACCCGGGAGGTGGAGATTGCATTGATCCGAGATCTCGCCACTACACTCCAGCCTGGCAACAGGTGAGACTCCATCTCAAAAAAAAAAAAAAAAAAAAAGATCAAAAGGGGCTTTTGAAGCTGGTCTCCCAGCGGTCTTCCCACCACACACCCCAGCAGAGTGTGCACTCTTCAAAGCGAACACCGTTCTCCTCCCCTGGGCTCGAGCGAGCCGGGGTTGAGCTTCCCGAGCGTCTCCACTGACAGCCCCTTTATGGGTTGTAGGTGGGGCCTCGGACCAGCCCCTACCAGACACACTGCCTCTGCAACCACCTCACTTTCTTCGGAAGCACGTTCCTGGTGATGTCCAATGCCATCAACATCCACCAGACTGCTGAGCTCTTTGCCACCTTTGAGGACAACCCTGTGGTCGTGACCACCGTGGGCTGCCTGTGTGTGGTCTACGTGCTGGTGGTGATCTGGGCGAGGAGGAAGGACGCTCAGGATCAGGCCAAGGTGAGGCTGAGAACCATTGGCGCTGCGTACACCGTCCTGGAGAAAACTCCATTGTTTTCAAATAATATTAGGCTTCACGAGAAGAGGGTATTTGTCTACTTAAGATTTTTTCCAACCGGGCGCGGTGGCTCACGCCTGTAATCCCAGCACTTTGGCAGGCCAAGGTGGACGGATCACCTGCGGTCAGGAGTTGACCAGCCTGGCCAACATGGTGAAACCCCATCTCTACTAAAAATACAAAAATTAGTTGGGCGTGGTGGCATGCACCTGTAATCCCAGCTACTCAGGAGGCTGAAGCAGGAGAATCACTTGAACCTGGGAGGTGGAGGTTGCAGTGAGCTAAGATTATGCCACTGCACTCCAGCCTGGACAACAGAACAAGACTTCATCTCAAAAAAAACAATTGTTTTCCAATGTATGCAGTATGCCTGACACATACATAGTAGGCCTTCAGCCAATATTTATGGCTATCTGAAGAAGAGGTAATGAATGAATGCAAGGTTGCATTGTCACAGAGCTGTGAAACTCTATCCGTTCCTACCCCTTCCCCCGAAGCAACATCACTCAGGATTTCATGTGGGTTAAATTTAATAAGATAATGTTTCAGCATTGATACTGCTGTCTTTGATTCACCCAAGAGATTAAGCATTAATACTTGAAGTGCCTCTGCTGTAGGTTGGTTCCCAGGAAGCAGACTCCGATGCAAAGGTGAGCATGCAGAGTGTGCAGGGTGTTTATTAAGGGGGCCTGGGACCTGCACCTGGGAAGGGAGGGAAGGAGGCAGCATGCGCAGAGAGAGAAGCTGAGCTGTGATGTAGCCCAGTGACAGCCCGGCCCAGACCCTGGGGAGCACCGGAGCTGTCCCAAGTCGGGTTGAGATACCCAGGTCTTGACCACACCCAGACACTCCGCCTATTGGTCATTGGGTGCTGGCTGCCCCAAGGGGGCACAATCTCAACAGAGGTAGGTGTTGCATTTTTTACCCCATTAACTGAGGCAACGAACCCTGCGTGGGAGGGGGATCTGGGCAGCGCATTCAGAGTCGACTATAGCCTCTGGCCAACTCTGGCTAACTCTGGCTAATTTCTTTTTCTTTTCTTTTTGCCAAACTCTTTAAAAATTTTTGTTAATTCTTATGGGCACATGGTAGGTATATATACATATGAGATATATGGGACATTTTGATACAGGCATGCAGGGTGTAATAATCACATTGGGATAATTGGGGTATCCATCTCCTCGAGCATTTATCCTTTGTGTCACAAACAATCCGATTATACTCTTTTAATTATTTTTAAATGTACAATTATTATTGACTGTAGTCACCCTGTTGTGGTATAAAATACTAGATCTTATTCATCTTATTCATTCTTTTTTTTTTTTTTTTTTTGACCTGGAGTCTTGCTCTGTCACACAGGCTAGAGTGCAGCGACGTGATCTCAGCTCACGCAACTTCCACCTCCTGGGTTCAAGCAATTCTCCTGCCTCAGCCTCCCGAGTAGCTAGGATTACAGGTGCCAGCCACCACGCCCAGCTAATTTTTGTGTTTTTAGTAGAGGCAGGGTTTCACCACATTGGTCAGGCTGGTCTGTAACTCCTAACCTCAAGGGATCCACCCGCCTTGGCCTCCCAAAGTGCTGGGATTACAGGTGTAAGCCACCGCGCCCGGCAGACATCTTACTCATTCTTTCTAATTTTGTACCCATTAACCACCTCATCTTCCCCCCCATTCCCGCCCCCACTACCTTTCCCAGCCTCTGCTGACCATCATTCTACTTCCTATCTCCATGAGTTCATTTGTCGCTAAACTATCTTAACGTTTCATTTCTTTTAAATTCCCTCAAAAACACCACCTGGTTCCAAATGTTATGAGAAATTATACATGTACAGAGTATGTATGGTTCACCAGGTCAAACATTCAATGTTCTCAGCTTATCAAGTTCATTTCCAATTGGACTACATGGGGGTCATATCTCATAAAGAATGTACTTTGGGGCCGGGCGTGGTGGCTCACGCCTGTAATCCCAGCACTTTGGGAGGCCGAGGTGGGCAGATCACTTGAGGTTAGGAGTTTGAGACCAGCCTGGCCAACATGGTGAAACCTCGTCTCTAACTAAAAATACAAAAATTAGCCAGGCATGGTGGCACACGCCTGTAGTCCCAGCTACTCTGGAGGCTGAGGCAGGAGAATCACTTGAACCCGGGAGGCAGAGATGGCAGTGAGCTAAGATCACGGCACTGTACTCGAGCCTAGGCAGCAGAGCGAGACCCTGTCTGAAAACAAAAAAAAAAAAGGAAGAAGAAAAAAATGTACTTTGTGTTTTTTTATTTTCCGAGCGTTTTGCACTTGAAACCCTGCTTTTATAAAGAACAGTTCTCACCCGAGGGGATGAATAAATGGCACATGTAATTTTGCTTTGCCCAATTCATGATTATCACAAATCATCAGCTCCTTCTTGGCTGGTGGGTGATGCAGGAACCCACTGAGCAAGGCCTTCCTAATGCTGTCCTTCTCTTCAGGTGAAGGTCACAGTGCTGGAAGACAATGATCCCTTTGCTCAGTACCACTACCTGGTGACAGTCTACACAGGACACCGACGAGGGGCAGCCACGTCCTCAAAGGTACCTGCCTATGCAAGATCCACTGATTAATCAGCACATCCCACCCAGCCCTGCTATGCCACTGTGGAGTTGGCCACTTCTGGTCTCTGGATTTCAGGTGACTGTCACCCTGTATGGCCTGGATGGAGAGAGAGAGCCCCACCACCTGGCTGATCCCGACACTCCGGTTTTTGAGCGAGGAGCAGTGGATGCCTTCCTCCTCTCCACCCTGTTCCCCCTGGGAGAACTGCGGAGCCTCCGGCTGTGGCATGACAACTCAGGGGACCGGCCATCGTGGTGAGTTGGGGGCAGACAAACCTTGAGAATCTACAGAGTGACAGGCCCAGGGCTGGGCACTGTACATTTGCCTCCTTCCTGATCTTCGCAAGCCTCCGCAAGACACATAGAATGATCTCTGTTTCACAGATGAGGAAACTGAGGGTCAGAAAAGCCCACTGGTTCATGGTCCACACAAACTGGATCGGTAGCTAGGAAAAGGACTGGAAGCTACAGCTAGCCCCATCTTCAGTGCTAGCCCCACCCTTGGCCCTTTTGCAGCATCAACCTGTGACTTGCCCAAGGTCACACAGCTGGCAAGTTTGGAGCAAGGTTCTCTGCATTCTGAGGCCAAAATGAGTGACCCAGATGAGTGGTGTCCAGTCTGACCACCCATCAGTAGCTGGCGGCTTTAGAAAAACAATAGCACTTTAATTCACCTATGGGATTAAGCATTAATATTTTAAGCGTGGCCGCTGTAGGTTGCTCCCGGGAAGCAGGCTCTCAGATGGAGTTGCATATGCAGGGTGTTTATTACAGGGCCCTGGGACCAGCACCTGGGAACAGAGGGAAGGAGGCAGGATGGCAGAAAAGTCAAGCTGTGATGCAGCCCAGCAACAGTGTGGTCCACCACTGGGGAGCTCTGGAGCTGTCCCAAGTTGGGTTGAAATACCCAGGTCTTGATCCCTGTAGGTACTGCATCACTGGATGTCAGCTGCCCCAGAAAAGCCTGTGACCTTGACATAGGTGGCTTTTGCATTCCTACGGGGCTGCCCTTCCTGAAATGAGAAAATGCATATCAAGAGCATCTTAGCATAGCCCCCGCTATGTAGTAAATTCTCAGTGAAGAGCGGCTATTGCTATCCCTACTGTTCTTTTTTTTTTTTTTTTTTTTGAGACAGAGTCTCACTCTGTCACCCAGGCTGGAGTGATGGCACAATCTCGGCTCACCGCAACCTCTGCTTCCTGGGTTTAAGTCATTCTCCTGCCTCGGCCTCTTGAGTAGCTGGTATTACAGGCATACGCCACCATGCCCAGCTAATTTATTTATTTATTTATTTGTATTTTTAGTAGAGATGAGGTTTTACCATGTTGGCCAGGCTGGTTTCAAACTCCTGACCTCAAGTGATCTGCCCACCTTGGCCTCCCAAAGTGCTGCAATTGCAGACGTGAGCCACTACACCCAGCCATCATTGCTGTTCTTGTTGGCTGTATAGCAACAGGGAAAACTGCTGCTCGATCTGACATCACAGGATAGGCAAGATAATTTCAATTCTTCCCCATACCTCAAAGACCTAAATCAGGTTAGAAGATACCCACAAAGTCCTCAGCCCAAGATAGACGGTGATTCTTTGGTTAGAAACGCAAGAGAGGAGGCCAGGCGCGGTGGCTCACGCCTGTAATCCCAGCACTTTGGGAGGCCGAGGTGGGTGGATCACCTGAGGTCAGGAGTTCGACACCAGCCTGACCAACATGGAGAAACCCTGTCTCTACTAAAAATACAAAATTAGCCGGGTGTGGTGGTGCATGCCTGTAATCCCAGCTACTCGGGAGGCTGAGGCAGGAGAATCGCTTGAACCTGGGAGGCGGAAGTTACAGTGAGCCAAGATCACTCCATCGCACTCCAGCCTGGGTGACAGAGCAAGATTCTGTCTAAAATTTAAAAAAAGAAAGAAAGAAACGCAAGAGAGGACCATGTTCTGCGTACCCCAGCCTGCACCTGCCTGAACATGCACACTTTACACAATTTGGCTTTACTTGCTCATGCCTGGACGCTGGCCCTGAGCTTGGTGCCATGTGTACAGGTTAATGGTCTCCGAATGCATCCTTTTGCAGCATCTTTGTGGAAACATGGCAGCTTCCCAGAGTTGGCTCTCTACAGTAGCTGACCTCCTTATGTGACGCGAATTTTAATTAAGGCACCAAGAACAAAGAAAAATATGGTTTCTTTTTCTGAGGAGCTCTTGTTCTTTGGGTTCATGTTTGCAAAACTGTTACCTTGGTGATGTCCAGTGAAGTCTCCTCCCCTGCTCCACCTTATCCTCAAAACTCTGGGTCCCTTCTCCAGGTATGTGAGCCGGGTGCTGGTCTATGACCTGGTGATGGACCGGAAGTGGTATTTCCTGTGCAACTCCTGGCTATCCATCAATGTTGGAGATTGCGTCCTCGATAAGGTGTTTCCTGTGGCCACGGAGCAGGACAGAAAACAATTCAGGTACTTTATTTTTGTTTTCTTTATTTTTAAGATAAGGTCTTGTTCCGCCACCCAGGCTGGAGTGCAGTGGCACGATCACAGCTCACTGCAACCTCTACCCCCCTGGGTCAAGCAATCCTCTCACCTCAGCCTCTTGAGCAGCTGGGACTGCAGGCATGCACCACGATGCCTCACTTTCTTTTTCTTTTTTTTTTTTTTTTTTAAGTAGAGACGAATCTTTGCTATGTTGCCTAGGATGGTCTCGACCTTCTCAAGAGATCCTCCTACCTCAGCCTCCTGAGTAGCTGAAACTGTAGACATACACCACCATGCCCAACTGTTTTTGTAGAGATGGGGTTTCACCATATTGCCCAGACTGGTCTCAAACTCCTGGGCTCAAGGGATCCTCCGTATCAGCCTCCCAAAGTTTTGGGGTTACAGGTGTGAGCCACTGTGCTTGGCCATGCCTGGGATTTTTTTTTTTTTTTTTTTTTTTGAACAGAGTCTCTGTCACCCAGGTTGGAGTATGGTGGCACGATATTGGCTCACTGTGACCTCTGCCTCCTGAGTTCAAGCAATTCTCCTGCTTCAGCCACTCAAGTAGCTGAGATTACAGGTGCATGCCACCATGCCTGGCTAATTTTTGTACTTTTATTAGAGACGGGGTTTCACCACATTGGCCAGGCTGGTCTTGAACTCCTGACCACAAGCAACCCTCTCTCCTTGCCCTGCTAAAGTCGTGGGATTACAGGAATGAGCCACTGCACTCCGTCATGCCTGGGATTTTTAACCACTGTACTCCAATGATCTAACTGTAACAAAACTAATAGTATTTTAGCTATATTATTATATTAAAATTACAGCAAAAATAACAATGCTGACACTGATTGAATATTGACCTATATGCCAGCTACTGCCCCAAATGCTTTACAGAATCATCACTTTTATTCCTTTCAACAATCCAGTGAGGTAGGTTCTGTTATTATTACTTGCCCCAATTTACAGACAAGTCATCTAAGGTACAAAGAACAAAGTAACGTGCCCGAGGTCACACAGCTGGGAAGAGGGCCGTCTGTAATTCTAATCTGACTTCCAGAGCCTTCATTGTTAACTCTAAGTGATGCTGCTAAGATGCTGTGTTTCTTCTATTAAAAAAAAAAAAAAAAATTGGGGGGGGAGCCGGGGACGGTGGCTCATGCCTGTAATACCAGCACTTTGGGAGGCTCAGGCGGGTGGATCAAGGGGTCAAGAAATCGAGACCATCCTGGCCAACATGGTGATACCCCGTCTTTACTAAAAATACAAAAAAAAAAAATAGCTCACACCTGTAGTCCCAGATACTTGGGAGGCTGAGGCAGGAGAATCACTTGAACCCCAGAGGCAGAGGTTGCAGTAAGCCAAGATCATGCCACTGCACTCCTGCCTGGCAAGAGCAAGACTCCATCCGAAAAAAAAATGTGGCTAGGCGCGGTGGCTCACACCTGTAATCCCAGCGCTTTGGGAGGCCAAGGCGGCCAGATCACTTGAGATCAGGAGTGTGAAACCAGCCTGGCCAATGTGGTGAAACCATGTCTCTACTAAAAATACAAAAAATTAGCCAGGCGTGGTTGTGGGCACCTGTAATCCCAGCTACCTGGGAGTTTGAGGCAGGAGAGTTGCTTGAATCTGGGAGGCAGAGGTTGCAGTGAGCCGAGATCGTGCCATTGCACTCCAGCCTGGGTGACAGAGCAAGACACAAGACATTATCTGAAAAAAAAAAAAAAAAAAAGTGTGAACAATCTTAGAAACAAATCTCTGCCGCTCTTCCTGCTTCTCATCCCAAGAACGACCCACAGAGACCAGTTTCCCCCATTCCTGTCTCCCTAAATGCCTGTCCCTCTCTCCCTGCCTGCCTGCAGCCACCTGTTTTTCATGAAGACTTCCGCGGGCTTCCAGGATGGACACATCTGGTATTCGATCTTCAGCCGCTGCGCTCGCAGCAGCTTCACCCGCGTCCAGAGGGTGTCCTGCTGCTTCTCCCTGCTGCTGTGCACCATGCTGACCAGCATCATGTTCTGGGGGGTCCCCAAGGACCCAGCTGAGCAAAAGATGGACTTGGGTAATTCCCAGTGTCATGGAGGTCAGGGTTAGTGGCTGGTGGACCTGAGCCTTCACTGCTCCAGCAATGCCACTGCCATTCCAGAGTCCCCAAGACCGCCCTCCAGTTCAGTGATCCACTAGCAGGACTTACAGAACCCATTGTACTCATAGTTATGGTTTACTGCAGTGAAAGGATACAGCTGGCACGGTGGCTCACGCCTGTAATCCCAGCACTCTGGGAGGCGAAGGCAGGTGGATCACCTGAGGTCAGGAATTTGAGACAAGCCTGGCTAACATGGTGAAAACCCATCTCTACTAAAAATACAAAATTAGCCGGGTGTGGTGGTGCACACCTGTAGTTCCAGCTATTCAGGAGGCTGAGGCAGGAAAATCACTTAAACCCAGGAGGCGGAGATTGCAGTGAGCTGAGATCTCACCATTGCACTCCAGCCTGGGTAAAAAAATGCAAAATTCCATCTCAAAAAAAAAAAAAATAAACAAACAAACCAAAAGAACAAAAAACACAGAAAGGATACAGATTAAAACCAGCAAAGGGAAGAGACACATGGAGCAGGGGCCAGAAGAGACCAGGCACATAGCTTCCAGCATCCTCTCCCAGTGGAGTCGTGGATGGTGCTGACTTCTCCTGAGGATGTGTGACAGTGCACATGGAGTATTGCCAACCAGGGGGACTCACTCCAGCCTTGCAATTCACAATTTTTTTTTTTTTTGAGACAGAGTTTTGCTCTTGTCATCCAAACTGAAATGCAGTGGTATGATCTCGGCTTAATGCAACCTCTGCTTCCCGGATTCAAGCAATTCTCCTGCCTCAGCCTCCCGAGTAGCTGGAATTACAGGCACCCACCACTATGCCCAGCTAATTTTTGTATTTTTAGTAGAGAAGGGGTTTCACCATGTTGGCCAGGCTGGCCTCCAACTCCTGACCTCAGGTAATCCACCCACCTTGACCTTCCAAAGTGCTGGGATTACAGGCATGAGCCACCATGCCCAGCCACTATTCAGAGCTTTTACTGGGGCTCCAACATATAGGCATGGCTGACACCCACTTGGCTGCCCTTCGCCTCCAGCCCCTCTAGAGGTCAAGCTGACATCATATGGTCTAGGCCCCCACCTAAATCTCATCATTAGCACAGACCATCCGGTGTGACCCAAGACCCTAGGGAAACAAAGACATTCTTAGCAGTTGGGAACTTCCAAGGGCTGAGCGGTGACCTCCCAGGCGTTGGGCAGGGTTAACCCTTCACTGCACAGCCAGCTTCCACAAGGGGCAGAAGGGACTGGGCTCCGGGCGGTGGCCTCTCCCTTTGATCCCTTCCTTCCCTTTCCCCAGGTAAAATTGAATTCACCTGGCAGGAGGTGATGATTGGCCTGGAGAGCTCCATCCTCATGTTCCCCATCAACCTCCTGATTGTTCAGATCTTTCAGAACACCCGTCCCCGGGTCGCGAAGGAGCAGAACACTGGAAAATGGGACCGGGGGTCCCCCAACCTGACTCCCTCCCCACAGCCCATGGAGGACGGCCTTCTGACACCTGAGGCAGTGACCAAGGCAGGTCCTCAACCTCAGCTAGCCTGGGGGGTGCTGTAGCCTCAGCAGAAGTGGGGGTGAGGCCTGGGGCTTGAGACCCAGCAGCCCTGTGTTGCCTGGCAACGTGAGGTGCCAAAATTCATCAACTGAAGACACACATACACATGCAACATGCATGCACCCATGCATCTGTACACACATGCACACACAAACACACAGGTGCACATATGCATACATGCACACACATACACAGAGAGACACACAGACATGTACATACACATGCACATGTGCACACACGCATACACCCACATACTTTTTGAGTATCTACTGTGTGCAAAGAATTATGCCTTCATGGTAGACTCCCAGGCTGGAAGCCCATGGACGAGACTCCCCGCTCTGCGTTGATGCATTCAGTAAGCTTTCATTGAGCACCTACTGTGTGCCACGCTTTGAGGAGTACAGCCTGGAATGAGTTCAAACCCTAGAAGAGGGATTCAAGAGCTGACAAATGGAAGCTCAGGGAGGTCACTATCACATCTCAGTGGGCAGAGCAGGGGTCCCTACACAGGTTGCCAGGCCCAGGGCGTGTGCTCTTGACCCCTGTGCTGCACCCCTCACCTTGGCTTATGGCCCCTTTCCCCACCAGGATGTGTCAAGAATCGTCAGCTCCCTCTTCAAAGCTCTCAAGGTGCCATCCCCCGCCTTGGGCTGGGACTCAGTGAACTTGATGGACATCAACAGTCTCCTCGCCTTGGTGGAAGATGTCATTTATCCACAGAACACATCAGGGCAGGTGTTCTGGGAGGAAGCCAAAAAGAGAGAGGACCCTGTAACACTCACTTTGGGGTCATCAGAAATGAAAGGTAAGCCCTGGACATGTCTGTGCCAAGAGAAGCCGCATTTTGGGGCCGGGTGGAGACACAGCAAAGGGGTACATCAGCATCACTAGGGGAACAAGAGGTCTCCCTCACCAGCCTCTGCTTGAACCACCGGCCATCCCCTCCCTCTGTATACCTCAGGCACCTACTGTCCCTACAATGCCAAGCTGCCTTCCCACTAACAGCCTTCACACAGGCTGGTCCTTTAGTCTAGAATGTTCTTTCTCCTCTCTTCGCCAGGCCAATACCTACTGAAATTTTAGTTTTGGCTTAAGCATTCCTTCTTCAGGGGAGCAACCCAAGCCTCTAACCTACACTAGGGCCTCTGACCACGCGCTCTTTAGCTCCCTAAGTTTTTTTTTTTTTTTTTTTTTTTTTTGAGATGGAGTCTCGCTGTGTCGCCCAGGCTGGAGTGCAATGGCACAATGTCAGCTCACTGCAAGCTCTGCCTCCCAGGTTCATGCCATTCTCCTGCCTCAGCCTCCCGAATAGCTGGGACTACAGGCACCTGCCACCACGCCCGGCTAATTTTTTGTATTTTTAGTAGAGACGGGGTTTCACCGTGTTAGCCAGGATGGTCTCAATCTCCTGACCTCGTGATCCATCTGCCTTGGCCTCCCAAAGTGCTGGGATTACAGGCGTGAGCCACTGTGCCCGGCCAACTCCCTAAGCTTCTTGCATTCAACCTGTTTGTGGCCAACTAATGAATCAGGTGAAAATTGTTTAAAGCTTGCGCCATCCTTCCTGGAATGTAAACTCCGTGAGGTGGGAGCCGTCCATCTGTCTTTTGTCTCATCTCCACTAGGAAGAACCATGTCTGGGTCCTGGCTCTGCCACTAGCCGGCTGTGTGACCGTGGACAGGTGACCTCCATTCTCAATGCCTCGGTGCCTTCTTCTGTAGAGTGCTGGGGTGCAAAGCTGAACTCGATCCGTGCCTGAATATGTGGGGCAGGAAGCAAGATCACAGTCAGGGCAGCAAAAACCATTAAGGAACATGGAATTGCAGACTGGAAAAGTTATTCCTTTCTCTATTCGTTTTCAATCCTCCTAATTAAGCAAATGGCTGGGAGCACTGGCTCACGCCTCTAATCCCAGCACTTTAAGAGGCTGAGGCGGGAGGATTGCTTGAGGCCAGGAGTTCGAGACCGGCGTTGGCAACATAGGGAGACCCTGTCTGTACAAAGAGTTTAAAACTTAACCAGGTGTTAGCCAAGCACGGTGGCTCATGCCTGTATTCCCAGCACTTTGGGAGACCAAGGTGGGCAGATCACTTGAGGTCAGGAGTTCGAGACCAGCCTGACCAACATGGTGAAACCTCATCTCTACTAAAAATACAAAAATTAGCTGGGCGTGGTGGTGCACATCTGTAATCCCAGTTACTTGGGAGGCTGAGGCAGGAGAATCACTTGAACCCGGGAGGTGGAGGTTGCAGTGAGCCAAGATCACACCACTGCACTCCAGCCTGGGCAACAGAGCAAGACTCCTTCTCAATGGGCACCTGTAGTCCCAGCTATTTGGAAGGCTGAGGTGGGAGGATCCCTTGAGTCTTTTTTTTGAGTTTGAGGTTACAGCAAACTGGTTTGAGGTTACAGGTGCCACTGCACCCCAGCTTGGGTGACAGAGCAAGACCCTAGCTCTAAAAAAAAGGGAGAAAGTCTCAGTTTGGTGCGACTATGTCTTTAATGCCTCTCTAACACTCCTTAATCTGTTTGACAGAGATAAAAGATCTCAAATTCAGAGGTTTTTCCAACAATATCCAGCTAGAACCCAGTAACATTGTTTTCTTTTCATTAAACAAATGTATATATGGCATATTATTCCGGTTTCAACTAGTCTCCTGGTTCCCTTCATGCCCCTTTCCTGTCCATCTTCCCATTTAGAGCGGTGCCATCCAATAGAACTTTCTACAGTGACAGAAATGTTCTGTGGAACATGGTGGATAGTTATGTGGGTTTAGAATGCTACCATTTTTAATACACAAGGGTGGCCACTATCTAAACCTTGTTTAGAACACGAAAGTATGGTTTATAGAATAAGCAATTTGAATTCATAATTCTTGGCCCCACCCCTGATAGAGTTACTTGCCCCTGTAGTCCCAGCTACTCAAGAGGCTGAGGCAGAGAATCGCTTAAACCTGGGAGGTGTAGTCAGCAGTGAGCTGAGATCACATCACTGCACCCCAGCCTGGGTGACAGAGCAAGACTCCATCTCAAAAAAAAAGAAAAAAAAAAGAATTTGCCCCAGAGAGCTGGGTTTGGGCTGCTTATGGAGGTCATCCCTGCTTCCACTAGATCCTTGACTTTGAGTTTGGGAGTTTTAGCATTCACAGCTGGACACACTGGACCTTAAGAACATGAACTCTGGAGTCGGCCAGAACCTTGGGATCTCCCAGCTGCAGTAGCAGCGGTGCAACTTTAAACAAGTTGCTCAACCTCTCTGAGACTTCATTTCTTCCCTTAGAAAATAGAGGTGTTGGCTGGGCGTGGTGGCTCACGCTTGTAATCCCAACACTTTGGGAGGCCGAGGTGGGCAGATCACCTGGGGTCAGGAGTTCAAGACCAGCCTGGTCAACATGACAAAACCCCATCTCTACTAAAAATAAAAAAATTAGCTGCATGTGGTGGCACACGCCTGTAGTCCTAGCTACTCGGGAGGCTGAGGCAGGAGAATCACTTGAACCTGGGAGGTGAGGCAAGAGAATCACTTGAACCTGGGAGGTGGAGGTTGCAGTGATCTGAGATTGCACCACTGCACTCCAACCTGGGTGACAGAGCAAGACTCCTGTCTCAAAAAAAAAAAAAAAAAAAGGGGGTGTGTTAAAAATTAGCTGGGCGTGGTGGCACATACCTGTAATTCTAGCTACTTGAGAGGCTGAGATAGGAGGACTGCCTGAGCCTGGGAGGCAGAGGTTGCGGTGAGCCAAGGTTGCACCACTGCATTCCAGCCTGGTTGACAGGGTGAGACCGTGTCTCAAAGTAAAAAAAATATAAAATAGGGGTATTGATCCACCTAGCTCGTTGGCTTATTGTGAGGGCTGAATAAGATTGTAAGACATGTAAAGTATTTAGATCCCAGCCTGACACAAAGCAGGTATACAGTAAGTGGTGTTATGATTGGCAGTGATGTTATCTTTCAGAAACATTAGCAGAAGCCCTGCAAAATAAAGTGTTGACTTGGAATCTTCAGCTGAGGCTTCAGTGAGGGAGCCCAGTCAGGAGGGTGAGGGAGGAGGCTGTGAGTCAGAGGAAGGTAGGAGTTGACCTCACCATAGCCATTTACCCAACACCCTAACCTTATCTGAGTCAGGGCTGGAGATGCATATACCTGGCTGTAACCAAAATGCAGATATAGTTGCTTGCCATTTGCAGAGTCCAGTTAATCAGAGTGAGATCTGGTATTTAAAAAGTGACTCTTGACCGGGAGCGGTGGCTCACGCCTGTAATCCCAGCACTTTGGGAGTCCAAGGCGGGCGGATCACGAGGTCAGGCGATCGAGACCATCCTGACTAACACGGTGAATCCCCGTCTCTACTAAAAATACAAAAAATTACCCCGGTGTGGTGGCGGGTGCCTGTAGACCCAGCTACTAGGGAGGCTGTGCCAGGAGAATGGCGTGAACCTGGGAGGCGGAGGTTGCAGTGAGCCGAGATCGCACCACTGCACTCCAGCCTGGGCGACAGAGTGAGACTCTGTCTCAAAAAAAAAAAAAAAGTGACTTTTTTATCTGGGCATGGTGGCATGTGCCTGTAGCCCCAGCTACTTGGGAAGCTGAGGTGGGAAGATCACTTGAGCCCGGGAGGCAGAAGTTGCAGTGAGCCAAGATCACGCCACTGCACTCCAGCCTGTGGGACAGAGTTAGACCCTGTCTCAAAAAGAGATAGAGGTCGGTGGGTGGAGAGAGAAAGAGAAGTAACTTTTTATTCCAAAGCTAGCTTAGGGGAAGAAGTACAGGCTTCCTGACTTAAGGATATCACTACACCTCTGAGGCAGAAAGCAGGGATTTTAAAAGGAGACTTGGCATGAATGGCGGGGAGGAGAGGAAGCAAGCCAGTGGGGGTCGGCGTAACGCACTTCAGTGAATTAGAATTATCTACCAGGAGGTCCAGCTTGCACCTTCCTGGGCAGGGCTAGCCTGTACAAGTGGCTGAAACTCTCAACATGAGAGACAGTTTCGTCGGAGGCGTTCTTTGGGTTGCAGATGGACTGCTGTCTCTCAAGGCAACCTCCAGGTGGGATAGTGCTCTGCCTTGGAGATGCTAAGCACAGTTAGAAAAGCTTGTCCTGTAGGTGAAGGGAAGATACAAGATTATAACTGCATTTCTTCTTTTTTTTTTTTTTTTTTGAGACGGAGTCTCGCTGCGTCATTTTGATCATTTTGACGCTGTGTCGCTGTGTGGCTTCATCTCATCATTTGCTCTAATTTTATATGTTTGAGATGTTTCATAATTTTTAAAAAAGCTAAAAACACAAGATTAAGGATTACACTGTATTGGCCGGGCGTGCTGGCTCATGCCTGTGATCCCAGCACTTTGGGAGACTGAGGCTGGCCGATCCCCTGAGGTCAGGAGTTCAAGACCAGCCTGGCCAACATGGTAAAAATCCGTCTCTACTAAAAATACAAAAAAAAAAAATTAGCTGGGCATGGTGGCGGGTGCCTGTAATCCCGGTTACTCAGGAGGCTGAGGCAGGAGAATCACTGGAACCTGGGAGGCGGAGGTTGCAGTGAGCTGAGATTGCGCCACTGCACTCCAGCCTGGGCGACAAGAGCAAAACTCCGTCTCAACAACAACAACAAAAAAAACAAAAAAACAAAGGGACAGGATTACACTATATTTGGCACTAGACAAAAAAGGGTTCAAATTCAAGTCTTACCATATTAAAGTATTTGCTTTAAAATACTCTGGGCCCAGGGGGTGGGGGAGTCGGGGGGTGAGGGCGGGCACTGTGGCTCACGCCTGTAATCCCAGCACTTTGGGAGGCCGGGGCGGGCGGATCACCTGAGGTCAGGAGTTTAGAACCAACCTGGCCAACATGGTGAAACCCCATCTCTCTACTAAAAATACAAAAACTAGCTGGGCGTGGTGGCGTGCGCCTGTAGTCCCAGCTACTCAGGAGGCTGAGGCAAGAGAACTGCTTCTAGAACCCAGGAAGTGGAGGTTGCAGTGAGCTGAGATAACACCACTGCACTCCAGCTGGGGAGACAGAGTGAGACTTCACTGCAAAAAAAAAAAAAAAAAAAGCTCCAGGAGAAGAAAAGAGATGAGACAAGACTGGCCAAATGTTGGTCATTGTTGTAGCTGGAGTGATGAGTATGGGATTCTCCTCTGTTCTCTTGATGTGTAGGGAAATTTGAAGAATGACTCTGATAAAAATCTAAAAGAGAAACATCGAATCCTAACTGGCTGTGTGACCCTAAAACCTTACTCCGTCTCTTTGAACCTCAGATTTCTCAGGGCTTGGCACATAGCAAGCATTTCATACTCAGAAGCTGGTACTATTACTGTTGTGTTTTGTGGGGGGAGGTTTGTTTGTTTTGTTTGGAGACAGGATCTGGCTTTGTTGCCCTGGCTGGAGTGAAGTGGCGCCATCATAGCTCACTGCAGCCTCGCCCTCCTGGGCTCCAGCGATCCTCCTGCCTCAGTCTCCCGAGTAGCTGGGACCACCTGCGCATGCCGCCCCACCTGGCTGTTGTTTGTATTGCAGCTGGTTTGCTCTGTGACTCAGCACAAGCTGATCGCTTTCTTCTTTGTCCTCCAGAGAAATCACAGTGTCCCAAGCCCAAGGCGGCACGGAGTGGCCCCTGGAAGGACAGCGCCTACAGGCAGTGTCTGTACCTTCAGCTGGAACACGTGGAGCAAGAGCTGCGGCTGGTGGGGCCCCGAGGCTTCTCCCAGCCCCACAGCCATGCCCAGGCCCTCAGGCAGCTGCAGACCCTGAAGGGCGGCCTGGGGGTACAGCCGGGCACCTGGGCCCCTGCACATGCCAGGTAATCCACTTCCCTGGGGGCTGAGTGGGTGCCTGCCTGCCCCAGCCTGGGGCCGTCTGGAAAGGGCATTCTGAACAATCTTGGAAGGATGTCCACCCAGACCTTGCCAGGCAGAAACAATGCAGGATTCCTGCACACATTCAGGGAGGCCGGGTTTGAACAGGTCTGTTTGCTGGAAGGCACTCAGGGCCCTTTGTACCGCATGCTACAGTCACAACGGTGTTCCTGTGGGCTGTTTCCCATCTGTGCACTTCACTCTTGGACCGGCTCCTCAACTTCTCAGGCTTAGTTTCCTGATCTTTAAAATGGGAATGATGACGCCTATCTCTTGATTCAAACTTAAAACAAAATGCATTTTTTAAGATAACCAGTGAACTTTGAATACAGACAGGTTACTAGGTGACATTTAAAAATTACTGTTAATTTAGCTGTGTGAAAACAGCATCGTAATTCAGTAAGAAAATTGCCTTTTTTTTTTTTTTTGAGACAGAGTCTTGCTCTGTCACCCAGGATGGAATGCAATGGCGTGATCTCGGCTCACTGCAACCTCTGCCTCCTGGGTTCAAGTGAGTCTCCTGCCTCAGCCTCCCCGAATAGCTGAGATTACAGGTGCCCACCACCACGCCCAGCTAAATTTTGTATTTGTGGTAGAGATGGGCTTTCACCACGTTGGCCAGGCTGGTCTCGAACTCCTGACCTCAAGTGATCCACCTGCCTCAGCCTCCCAAAGTGCTGGGATTACAGGCGTGAGCCACCACGCCTGGCAAAAATGGCCACTTTTGAGATGCATTCTGAAGTGACTAGGAATTATTTTGTATTATGTCTGGAATTTATGTTGAAATTTTCCAGCCAAAAACAAAAACAAAACAGGGCTGAGGGGCAGATGAAATAAGTGTGACAAGGGGTGATAGTGGTTGCCAGCTAATAAACACCTGGGTATTCACTGTGCTCACTAATTTTTGTATGATGAGAATTTTCTTTCTTTTTTTTGAGACAGAGTCTTGCTCTTGTTGCCCAGGCTGGAGCGCAATGGCACGATCTCGGCTCACTGCAACCTCCACCTCCCGGGTTCAACCAATTCTCCTGCCTCAGCCTCCCGAGTAGCTGGGATTACAGGTGCCCGCCACCACGCCCGGCTAATTTTTGTATTTTTAGTAAAGACGGGGTTTCGCCATGTTGGCCAGGCTGGTCTCGAAATCCTGACCTTGTGGTCCGCCCTCCTTGGCCTCCCAAAGTACTGGGATTACAAGCATGAACCACTGCACCCGGGGGGAGAAAACTTAAAACAAGATTCTATGGTATCTGCCTTCTAGGCTTGCCCTGAGCAATAACAGAGCAAATCTGTGTGTAGCATTTAGTGCGGGGACTTGCCCCTACTAAGCACTGAGTAAATGTAACTGCTTTTACTCCACAGACTATGGCATAGACCTTTGAGATAGGTATAGATTACAGAGAAGGAAACAGAGGATCTGAGAGGTCCAGGAGCTTGGCCAAGGTCATGCTGATCAGAGTAGAGTGGGGTTTGACCTTGAGATTGCCTGGGGGTGTGGCCACCCTAACTATGTCTGTCCACCTCCTTTGCAGCGCTCTTCAGGTGAGCAAACCCCCTCAAGGCCTGCCCTGGTGGTGCATCCTGGTGGGCTGGCTCCTGGTAGCGGCCACCAGTGGCGTGGCGGCCTTCTTCACCATGCTCTACGGCCTGCACTACGGGAGGGCCAGCTCCCTCAGGTGGCTCATCTCCATGGCTGTCTCCTTCGTGGAGAGCATGTTCGTCACCCAGCCCCTGAAGGTCAGGACCCTGCCTCAGGCACCCGCCCTCCTCCCCTCCACCCATCCCTTCCCTACTGCCAGCAGTCTAGTCCCTGGGCTTTTATTCCTTTATTTATATATTCAACAAATGAACCTGGAGCACCCCCTCTGGGCAGGCCCAAGGCAGGAAAAATAGCCCTATCATATTACCCGAGGTTACCCTTGCCCTAGGGTATACATATATATGTATAAATAATACCCTATTTCCTCAATGTTAACATCCATTTGATCTTGAGACAAGACAACAATTTATGTAGCTAGTTATTCATTTTTTTTTTTTTTCTGAGTCTGCTTGCAAGGGAAAAGACAGCAATTTAAAGGAATTTTCCCTTTGGAAAAAACACCAAGTCATTATATGTGTGCCTGAGTTAGAAGCTACACTCCTATTTCTGAGATGTAAAATTACGCAAAAGAACTTGTTAGAGTTGAAGAAATTCTGGCTCGGCATGGTGGCTCAATGCCAGTAATCCTAGTATTTTGGGAGGTTGAGGTGGTAGGATCGCTTGAGTCCAGGAGTTTGAGGCTGCAGTGAGTTGTGATTGCGCCACTGAACTCCAGCCTGGGCGACAGAGCAAGACCCTGCCTCAAAAAAAAAAAAAAAAAAAAAATCCTTGGTCAGGCAGCTCCCATGAGACCAGCTCCTGGTGATCTGTTAGCCTGGGATGGTGGAAAGAAAAAAAGAAAGAAAGAAAGAAATCCTAAATCCAGGTGTAGAGCAGAGGAGGCAAGGGGCACAGTTTCCCTTGGAAGGAGTCGGGCAGTGGGCAATCCCTGGGGAACCCCTAAGGGGAAGAGATACTGGATTGGGGTGTAGGGGAAGCCACCGAAAGGAGGAGATATTTAAAGCAAATCTTGGTTGGGCGCGGTGGCTCACGCCTGTAATCCCAGTACTTTGGGAGGCTGAGGTATGTGGATCACTTGAGGTCAGGAGTTCAAGACCAGCCTAACCAACATGGAGAAACCCTGTCTCTACTAAAAATACAAAGTTAGCCAGGTGTGGTGGTGCATGCCTGTAATCGCAGCTAATCCCAGCTACTCAGGAGGCTGACGCAGGAGAATCACTTGAACCCGGGAGGCAGAGGTTGCAGTGAGCCGAGATTGCGCCATTGCACTCCAGCCTGGGCAATAAGAGCAAAACTCCATCTCAAAAAAAAAAAAAAAGAGAAAAAGATTACAAAATTAGTCGAGCGTGGTGGTGGGTGCCCATAATCCCAGCTACTAGGGAGGCTAAGGCAGGAGAATCACTTAAACCCAGAAGGCGGAGGTTGCAGTGAGCCTAGATCATGCCATTGCATTCCAGCTGGGGCAATAGAGCAAGACTCCATCTCAAAAAAAACAAAGCTCATCTTTACACCTATGGGACTTTGCCAAATCCCCTCTCGTCCCCCATTCTTCCCTGAACAGCCTTTACCATAAGACTCAAAAAGCATCCGACACCTCCCTTCAACACTAGGCTCGCAGGATACTAAGAACAGGGCTGCGTCTTGAGCCTTTCTGTTCCCCAAGTGAACCACAGGATCCTCCTGTGTTTGTGTGGAGCAGGCGCAGAGATCACGTGGCTGAGGCCTTGCAGCTGAGACCCTGCACCTGAGCGCATTACTTAATACTGGAGGAAAGGGAAGGAGCAGGGTGGGGCAGGATCCCTGTGCTGAAAGCCCTGGGGGAGAGCAATTCTCCTTGCGGAGAGATCAGAGACCCCTCAGACAGGTGAGCGGTAGTAGGTGGGAAGGCTCAGGGGAGTTCTAGGACTGGCCAGTCCCCCATCTGGTCTGCGAGCCAAGGCCTTGCGGTCCAGCTTCATGACCACCTCCCATCTCTGCAGAAGGGAGCTGCATTCCCCCAAAACACAGGGCCCTCCCCAACATACAAACGTGGCCCCAAGCCCCACGTGCTCGCAGATGAGGGGTTGAGAGTTACCAGAGTGGGTTCGAGGACCTCCCTGGGTATTTTTCAGGTGCTGGGATTCGCTGCTTTCTTTGCACTGGTCTTGAAGAGAGTGGACGATGAGGAGGATACTGTGGCCCCGCTGCCAGGACATCTGTTGGGCCCAGGTAATGTGCCTCGGTGGCTGGAGGCAGGGTCTGGCCAGCTGCGGCCCTGATGAGGCTCAGTGAGCCCTGCAGAGTGCAGCCTGTTGGGGGTCCTGGGCCTTGGGCCAGCTCCCCAGACCTTTGTTCCTCATCAGCTTTTCACCCCCAGTTTGTGAGCCATCCCCAAAAGAGCCAGGAAAAAAGTGACTCCATTGTCTCCTGAGTATCTGTGTTTGTTCGTTCCCTGGCATTTCTCCATGACACCCAAGTATGACCTGCCAGCTAGAAGAGTTGCCTCAGGGACGAAGCTGTCCACATGGGCGGTCCTTCTCTGTGTAATTCCAAGCAAGCAGCTTTCTTCTCCGAGACTCAGGGCCCTGGGCTTTAGAACAGAAACTAAAACAAGAATCGGTTTACAGGAGGCTGCAAAAAGTGGCCGCAAATTAGAATTTTAGGACAAAGCTCTGCAAACTACAGCTGGGGGGCCACATGTCTCCTGCTGCCTGTTTTTGTAAATAGAGGTTTGTTGAAATACGGCCACACTCACCCCTGCTCTAGGAGGCCACTGGCCAGTCCCCATCCTCCCAGCCTGACTTCTCACTTCCCAACCAAAATTCCCAAGGGTGGTGACAGTAATGACAAAACAAACATGCAAATAAAACTGAATCAACGTGGAATCATTGAGGCAATGGTCTTGCCTTTCAGGGAAAATAAAATAGAAACAAACAAACCAAATGCCATGCACGTGCCTCACAGTGCAATGTGGCTACCTCTTCAGGGCCTGTATTCTTCCATTCCAGGACAGCGTTTTAGATTTGCAGATCTGAGAGGTCCATTAAAATCTTCTCAATTCTCCACAGAGATGCTAGGCTCCAGACCATTAAATATTCATTCAGTCACCCCTTTGGCAAGTCCTCAGGGAGCACTGGCTGCGGGCCAGGCCTTGTGATGGCTTGGGAATATAATTTACATAAAATTCACCCATTGTAAGTGCACAATTTGTTGATTTCAGTAAATGTATAGGGTTATGTAACCATCACTGCAATTCACATTTAGAAGAGCTTCGTCAGCCCAAAAGGTTCTTTGTTGCCCATGTAAAGTCAATCCCCACTTCCAACCCCAGTCCCTGCCAACACAGCACAGGTTGCTGCCTTTGGAATGAACAGCCCATTTGGGGAGATGGCATCAACCAGGTAAATGCACAAGTAGACATATAAGTGTGAATTATGGTAAGAAATAGGGTTGGGGAAGATCAAGAGAGGGCAGGCCTCTCTGCTGCGGTGGTGCCTAACCTCTCTGCTGAGAACGGGGGAAGGGAAGGACTGCACACTCAGCACCTGCAAAGGCCGCGAGGTGGGACAGTGGTGTCGTTTTATTGCAGCCATTTTATAGCAACCATTGACAGTGTGTCTGGAGCATGTTGAGTTGGGGGTGGGGGAGAATGGTTAGAGATAAGGGTAGAGGGGGTGGGCAGCAGGTTGTCAGGGTCTTATAGGAGCTGGGGCAAGGCTGGGATGTGGAAGGGCTTTACATATGAGAATGATGATCTGTTTTATGATTTGTGTGTGTGTGTGTGTGTGTGTAAGAGAGAGATGGAGTCTTGCTCTGTTGCTCAGGCTGGAGTGCAGTGACGTGATCTCGGCTCACTACAACCTCCACTTCCCAGGTTCAAGCGATTTTCCTGCCTCAGCCTCCCAAGTAGCTGGGATTACAGGCACCCACCACCACGCCCGGCTATTTTTTGTATTTTTAGTAAAGACGGGGTTTTGCCATGTTGGCCAGGCTGGTCTCGAACTTCTCACCTCAAGTGATCCGCCCGCCTTGGCCTCCTAAAGTGCTAAGATTACAGGCGTGAGCCACCGTGCCCAGACTGTTTTGAAAGAACAGGAGGCAAGGCCCAGTGGCTCATGCCTGTAGTCCCAGCACTTTGGGAGACTGAGGTGGGCAGATTACTTGAATTCAGGAGTTTGAGACTAGCCTGGGCAACATGGGGAAATCCCTTCTCTACCGAAAATACAAAAAAATAGCCGGGCATGGTGGTGCATGCATGCAAACCCAGCTACTCGAGAGGCTGATGTGGGAGGACTGCCTGAGCCCGAGGAGGTCAAGGCTTCAGTGAGCTGTGATTGCACCTCCGTACTCCAGCCTGGGCAACACAGCAAGACTGCATCTCTACAAAACAAGTAAAATGAAAAACATTTTATTTTTATTTTTTTAATTTTTTTTATTAAAAAAATTTTTTTTTTTTGAGACAGAGACTTGCTCTGTCACCCAGGCTGGAGTGCAGTGGTATGGTCTCGGCTCCCTGTGTAGCAGGACGAGCCGCAGACAAAACTCCTCAGACACCGAGTTAAAGAAGGAAGGGGTTCACTCGGCCGGGAGCATCGGCAAGCCTCCTGTCTCAAGAGCCGTGCTCCCCAAGTAAGCAATTCCTGTCCCTTTTAAGGGCTCACAACTCTAAGGGGGTCCGTGTGAGAGGGTCCTGATCAATTGATCAAATGGGGTACGTGACTGGGGGCTGCATGCACCAGTAATCAGAACGAAACAGAACAGGACAGGGATTTTTACAATGCCTTTCCATGTAATGTCTGGAATCTATAGATAACATAACCGGTTAGGTCAGGGGTCGATCTTTAACTACCAGGCTTAGGTCAGGCAGGCCCAGGCCTGGTTTCAGGTCTGGTTCCTTGGTTTCGGGTCTAGTTCTTAGGCGCCGGGCTACCTGCCTTTAGTTTCGCTTCTCTTTCCTTTTTGAGTATAAAACAATATAAAGCAATATGAGAGGATCCGTCTCTCTTCTCTTACCTGCAACCTCCACCTCCTGGGTTCAAGTGATTCTCCTGTCTCAGCCTCCTGAGTAGCTGGGATTACAGGCGTGCACCACCACGTACGGCTAATTTTTGTATTTTTAGTAGAGATGGGGTTTCACCATGTTGGTCAGGATGGTCTCGAACTCCTGACCTCAGGTGATCCGCCTGCCTCAGCCTCCGAAAGTGCTGGGATTACAGGCTTGAGCCGCCATGACTGGCCTTAAAATGAAAAATAAATAAAAATTTAAAAATTTAATTTAAATTGATGAGGCTGGACACGATGACTCATGCCTGTAATCACAGCACTTTGGGCGGCCGAGGCAGGCAGATCACTTGAGATCAGGAGTTCGAGACCAGACTGGCAAACATGCCGAAACCCTGTCTCTACTAAAAATACAAAAATTAGCCAGGCATGATGGCACGTACCTGTAATCCCAGCTACTCGGGAGGCTGGGGCAGGAGAATTGCTTGAACCCGGGAGGTGGAGGTTGCAGTGACCCGAGATTGTACCACTGCACTCCAGCCTGGGCAACAGAGTGAAAATGTGTCTCAAAAAAAAAAAAAAATTAAAATTGAAGCTAAATTTGAAAAAATGAAGATACTAGGTAACAGACATGAGAGGACTTTGAGATATTTGTCACCCTCATCCTCGAATCCATCAGTTTTGGAGTGTCGGGGAAGGCAGTGCAGGGGCCAGAAAGATTTCAGGGAGGGGAAGACACCTCTGTGCTTTCTCTATGGAGAGTCCTCCAGATGGAGGAGGCGTGGGACTCTAGGCCCTGGGAGAACATGGACAGAGGTGTGGAGGGTAGAGTTGGGAAACGACTCCCAAGGAAGAGGAACGCAGAGCCCATTGCAGCAGGTGAGAGAGGGGCCTATGGTTGCAAACGCAGAGCCTGTCCTCCTCTGCACACGTAGGGGCTGTCCTGGTGTCCTTCCCTCCACAGACCCCTATGCCTTGTTCCGAGCACGAAGAAACAGCAGCAGGGATGTCTACCAGCCACCTCTCACCGCTGCCATTGAGAAGATGAAAACCACCCACCTCAAGGAACAGAAAGCATTTGCCCTCATCAGAGAAATCCTGGGTAGGCATCCTTCCCACTCGCTGGCTCTCAGCACAGCCTGAAACAGACAGACACCCTTACGGTGCTATTTTTGATAAGTCCCGCTCGTCTTTTGGGCCTCAGTTTCTCTGGATATCAGCACACTCCAGCTTCTCCCCTACACTTAAAATCCTTCGGTCGCCTCTCATGACCCTTACGACAAAACTCAAACCGGCTCCTGTGGCTCTACCCGCTTCAAGTGCCCGCTCCCGGCTCCCGTGACCCACGTTGTCCTCACATTGGCTTCTATAGCACCTGCGACCTGCACCCTGTCCCCACCCCAGGCTTCTGCCCAGGCAGTTCCATCTCATCGGCCTGGAGTCTGCTCACTCCTCCTCCCCAGCTTTTCTTCTGCCTAATTCCTCTTATTCTTATTTATTTATTTGTTTATTTTTTTTTTGGAAACAGAGTCTCACTCTGTCACCTAGGCTGGAGTGCAGTGGCACGATCTCGGCTCACTGCAACCTCTGCCTCCGGGGTTCAAGCCGTTCTCTCGCCTCAGCCTCCTGAGCAGCTGGGATTACAAGCGTGCGCCACGATACCCGGCTAAATTTTGTATTTTTAATAGAGACAGGGTTTTACCATGTTGGCCGGGCTGGTCTCGAACTCCTGGCCTCAGGTGATCTGCCTGCTTTGACCTCCCAAAATGCTGGAATTACAGGCATGAGCCACCATGCTCGGCCTTTTTAAAGATTTTTAATTTTTTTTTTTTTTTTTGAGACAGAGTTTTGCTCTTGTTGCCTGAGCTGGAGTGCAATGGCACGATCTCAGCTCAATGCAACCTCCGCCTCCCGGGTTCAGGCAATTCTCCTTCCTCAGCCTCCCAAGTAGCTGGGAGTACAGGCATGCGCCACCATGCCCAGCTAATTTTGTATTTTTTTTGTTAGAGATGGGATTTCTCCATGTTGGTCAGGCTGGTCTCAAACTCCCGACCTCAGGTGATCTACTCGCTTCCGCCTCCCAAAGTGCTGGGATTACAGGCATAAGCCACCACGCCTGGCCTAAGATTTTTAAATTTTTTATTTAATTTTTTATTTTATTTTTTAAGATACAATTTTACTCTGTCATTCCGACTGGAGTGCAGTGGCACAATCCCGGCTCACTGCAACCTCCGCCTCCTGGGTTCAAGCGATTCTCCTGCCTCAGCCTCCGGAGCAGCTGGGACCAGAAACGCACACCACCATGCCCAGATAATTTTTGTTTTTTTGGTAGAGACAGGGTTTTGCCATGATGGTCAGGCAGATCTTGAACTCCTGACCTCAAGTGATCTGCCCTCCTTGGCCTCCTAAAGTGCTGAGATTACATGCGTGAGCCACTGGGCCTGGCCTAATTCCTCATATTCTTTAAATCTCAGCCTAAACACTGTGTCTGCAGCGTGGCTTCCCCGGCCCAGCTGGTCAAAAGCCTTCACACCTCAGGGAGCCTCTGAGTCTGGATTTCCCAGAGCAGATTTGGGTGCAAGTAGCTGATTTGGGAGGTAGTCCTGGAAAGCACTGGTTGGAGGAGAAAGGGCAGCAGAGAGGGAAGGAAGCCAACAGAGGGTACCTGACAGGTGGGTTTTAGGTGGGCCACTGGGATTCAGTCCCACTGTGGACCTTGGAGAGAGCATATAGTGCACGCCCCCAAAGTGTCCTACTCATTGGCATCCATTCAAGTCTTCTGAGGTGGTTGCAGGGAGAGGGGAGAGTCTTGGAATACAGATTCCCAGGCCCAGGAACCAGAGGTTCCGGTTCACTAAGAACCTGATCCCTCATGTTATTGTGATGTCCACCCCCCCACACTAAATATCTGCACCTAAAGGATCCTCTACGTCACACTCACCTGTCTCCAACGAGACAGGTGAGCACCATGAGGGCAGGAACGTGTTTGTCTTCACCACCATACCCTCAGCCATGCAACGTGGCAAATGCCCCATTTTTTAAAATTCTATTTAAGAAATGCTTAATGTAGCAGACACTCTTTTTTTGTTTTTTGTTTTTTTATGTTTTTTTCTGAGATGGAGTCTCTCTCTGTCGCCCAGGCTGGAGTGCAGTGGCACGATCTCGGCTCACTGCAACCTCTGCCTCCTGGGTTAGAGCAATTCTCCTGCCTCAGCCTCCCAGGTAGCTGGGACTACAGGCGTGCACCACCATACCCGGCTAATTTTTGCATTTTTAGTAGAGGGGGGGTTTCACCATGTTGGCCAGGCTGGTCACGAACTTCTGACCTCAGGTGATCTACCCGTCTTGGCCTCCCAAAGTGCTGGTATTACAGGCGTGAGCCACCATGCCCGGCCTGCAGACACTGTTTTATGTGATTTCTAATTTTTTTTTTTTTTTTTTGAGATGGAGTCTTGTTCTGTCACCCAGGCTGAAGTGCTGTGGCATGATCTCAGCTCACTGCAACATCCGCCTCCCAGGTTCAAGCGATTCTTCTGCCTCAGCCTCCTGAGTAGCTGGGATTACAGGCATGCGCCACAATGCCCGGCTCATTTTTGTATTTTTAGTAGAAACAGGGTTTCACCATGTTGGCCAGGCTGGTCTTGAACTCCTGGCGTCAAGTGATCCAAAGTGCTGGGATTACAGGCATAAGCCACCACTCCCGGCCAGTACTTTCTAATATTAACTGATCCCCTCATCACAGAATTGTTATTCCCATTTCATAGATGGGGAGAGTGAGGCATGGAAGGATAGACTCACTTGTGAAGGGCGCCTGGATGAGATGTCGCAGAGCTGGGATTTGGACCCAGGCAGGAGATCCCATGGTCTGTGACTTTACTCCTCTCCGCTGCCTCTATAAAGATTGGTTCCATTGTCACCACAGTGGCGAGGGGCTGGTCTAGGAGGCCTTTCCATTTCCTGACTTGGACTGGGTGGGAGTCGTGGATCCTGCCTGAGCAGGGACTGTGCCTCCCTCCCCAGCATACTTGGGCTTCCTGTGGATGCTACTGCTCGTGGCCTACGGGCAGAGGGACCCCAGCGCCTACCACCTCAACAGACACCTCCAGCACAGCTTCACCAGGGGCTTTTCAGGTGTGCTCGGCTTCCGAGAGTTCTTCAAGTGGGCCAACACCACCCTCGTGAGTAACCTGTATGGTCACCCCCCAGGTAAGTCCTGAAGCCCTGGGGCTGTGTCAGCCTCCTTGTGCCTTCTGGCTAGGAACAGACGTGGGGCACTGTCAGCATCAGCCTCATAAGAAAACCAGGCCAAGTGTGGTGGCTTACACCTGTAATCCTAGTACTTTGGGAGGCTGAGGCGGGAGGATTGCTTGAGGCCAGGAATTCGAGACCAGCCTGGCAACATGGCAAGACCCTGCCTCTTTGAAAAATACAAAAATTAGCTGGATGTGATGCCTCATGCCTATAGTCCCTGCAACTCTGGAGGCTGAGGTGGGAGGATTGCTTAAGCCCGGGAGGCAGAACCTGCAGTGAGCCAAAATTGCACCACTGCACTCCAGCCTGGGAGACAGAGCAAGACTCTGTCTTAAAAAAAAAAAAAAAAAAAAAGAGGCCAGGTGCAGTGGCTTACGCCTATAATCCCAGCACTTTGGGAGGCCGAGGCGGGCGGATCACTTGAGGTCAGGAGTTTGAGGCCAGCCTGGCCAACCTGGTGAAACCCCGTCTCTACTAAAACTACAAAAATTAGCTAGGTGTGTTGTCACGTGCCTGTAAACACAGCTACTTGGGAGGCTGGGGCAGGAGAATTGCTTGAACCTGGGAGGCAGAGGTTACAGTGAGCTAAGATCACGCCATTGCACTCCAGCCTGGGTGAAGAAGTGAGACTCCATGAAAGAAAGAGAGAGAGAGAGAGAGGAAGGAAGGGAGGGAGGGAGGGAGGGAGGGAGGGAAAAGAAAAGAAAACCAGTAAAACCCCAGGCGTGGTGGCTTGCGGCTGTAATCCCAGCACTTTGGGAGGCCAAGACAGGTGGATCACGTGAGGTCAGGAGTTTGAGACCAGCCTGGCCAACGTGAAATCCCATCTCTACTAAAAATACAAAATTAGCTGGGTGTGTTTGCACGTGCCTGTAGTCCCAGCTACTCAGGAGGCTGAGGCAGGAGAATCGCTTGAACCTGAGAAGCGGAGATTGTAGTGAGTCGAGATTGCGCCCTTGCACTCCAGCCTGGGTGACAAGAGTGAAACTGTCAAGAAAGAGAGAGAGAGAGAGAGAAGGAAGGAAGGAAGGAGGGAAGGAGGGAAGGAGGGAGGGAAGGGAAGGAAGGAAGGGAAGGAAGGGAGGAAGGAAGGGAGGAAAGGAAGGAAGGAAGGAAGGAAAGAAAGAGAGAGGAAGGAAGGAGGGAAGGAAGGAGGGAAGGAAGGAAGAGAGAAAACCAATCAATAACCACAGGACCAGATGCTATGAAGGAGGGACTCAGAAGGCTGGGTGTGCACAAGGGGGGACTCTCCACCTTCCCTTCCCCCGATGCAGAGTGGAGAACCTCCTAAGTGAGTGATAACAGAGCTTGAACCAGCTAGGCAAAAACAGTGCACCAGGCAGAATGAACAACACGAGAAAAGCCCAGCCTCTTGCCATGGGATGCGTGTTCTTGGAACCACAGCGTGTTGGGTGTGACTCTCGTGTAGGATGTGAGTTAAGGATCAGTGAGAAGCAAAGCAGGAAAGATGAACGGGCCAGATCATGAAGGATCTCAGGAGCGTGTATCTCATCCTTGAGGAAATGAGGCGCCACTGAATTTCTACATGAGGCTATGGCATAAATCTGTGGTGTAGAAGGATCACTCTGGAAGCATGTGGAAGTTGGAGTAAAGGGTGGGCAAGTTGGCCGGGCGCCGTGGCTCACACCTGTAATTCCAGCACTTTGGGAGGCCGAGGTGAGTGGATCACCCAAGGTCAGGAGTCCGAGACCAGCCTGGCCAACATGGAGAAACCCCATCTCTAATAAAAATACAAAAAATTAGCTGGGCATGGTGGCATGCGCCTGTAATCCCAGCTACTCGGGAGGCGGAGGCAGGACAGTTGCTTGAATCAGGAGGCAAAGGTTGCAGTGAGACAAGATCACGCCATTGCACTCTAGCCTGGGCAACAAGAGCAAAACTCTGTCTCAAAAAAAAAAAAAAGAGGTGGAGGAGGTGGCAAGTTAGGATGCTGAGGACACAGGATGAGGGCTGGTGCAGGGAGGGACCAGGGACAGTGGTGATGGAGAGAACGGGATGGGCACATAAGACATGAAAAAAGTAGGATGGATAGGATGTGGTGACCAGTGGGATGGAGGATTGAGGAGAAAGGGCACAGGCACATCCAGATGGATGACGGGGTGGCAGGTTCCATTCCCTAAGAGAAGTTGTGCGGAAGCACAGTAGATTCCAGCAGGAGAGATGGTGAGGTTATTTGGATAAATGTAGCCTATAGTTGGTGATAAACTTCTCTGGGCTGTCTCTATAATGGGTACGCTGAATTTCACATTAGCCTCAGGCCGGGGAGCTTGGAATGTGTTAAGATTATTTTGATTGCTAGATTTACCCACCTTGTTTTTCTTTTTAGGCTTTATCACTGATGGGAACTCCAAGCTGGTTGGCAGTGCCCAGATTCGTCAAGTGAGGGTCCAGGAAAGCTCTTGCCCTCTTGCCCAGCAGCCGCAGGCATATCTCAACGGATGCCGTGCACCATATTCCCTGGATGCTGAAGACATGGCAGACTATGGGGAAGGCTGGAATGCCACCACCCTCAGTAATGGCAGTAGCTTTCCCCAGGCTTGGCAGTACCAGAGCCAGGACCAACGTCAAGGGTATCCCATCTGGGGCAAACTCACTGTGTACCGGGGAGGAGGCTACGTGGTCCCCTTGGGGACTGATCGCCAAAGCACGTCAAGGTAAGGTTGACTTGATTCATTTGTAGCTGAGTAAAGTCTTTTGCTAGAGTCCACATCTGCTTGGGGAATGTAGTCTTCCAAACAGGGCTGAGCCAAGTTCATTCAGGTCCTTGTGGGAGGGCTTGTAGGATACAGAATCATGCAGGTTGTATTTTCAGGTCCCTGGGAACTAAGCCATCTCAGAATTGGAAGGAAAGTCTCTCTCTAGCATTCACAGCCTGGTTGCTTCTGCTAGAGCCAGGCCAGAGATGGGGAGCTCACTACCACTCAAAGCAGTCCACCCTTAGGCAAGAGGGAATTAGTTAAGGATCTGTCAAGAATTATGCAAAATTTGAGGTTTTACCCTACTTGTAAGCCAACAAGCTAGCCTGTTAACTGTTTCACGGATGCTGGCAGAATACGCAATATTCCTGGGTCAGAGACAAAGGATTTTGTTACAGCAAAAGTCATAGCAGAACATTACACTGGTCTGAGTCAGTTGCCCACAAAGGGCCGTGAAAGATGCCTGCATGTGCCTGCAATACAGAGCCTGGGGGCATTTGATGCTTTTACAGCAGCAGAAAGAAGCCTACTCTTTGTCCAAAGGAAGGCATCACCTCATCCCACAAGGTTGCACACTGCAAATACAGCCCTAAGAAGTGACTTGGCTAAAGCACAGCCACGGCCTTGCATTCCTAGAATACCCAGTAAGAACGTGCAGGGATGCTCAGGGTCCGTGAAGACTGACTCAACATGCCCTTGAGACAAGAGACCTAGATTTGAAACCCTGGCGCTGCTCCTTTTAGCTGTGTAGCCCAAGCAAATCAGCAGACCCGCGTGAACCTCAGTTTCCTCCATTGTATGATCATTGCACCAAGGTGGTTTATGATGGTGTAGCCTGTACTCTGTCTACAAACAGGGTCTCCTGGGGTTAAGGAAAGGCCAGGAATAGTCGATTTCGGAATAAGAGGCATTTTTCCTGCTAATTGGACTGACTGCAGATATTCTCTCTCTGGTGGCTGGGTGCAGTGATCATGCCTGTAATCTCAGCTCTCTGAGAGGCCAAGGCAGAAGGAGCACCTGAGGTCAGGAGTTCGAGACCAGTATGGCCAACATGGAGAAACCCCATCTCTACTAAAAATACAAAAAATTAGTGGTGGGTGCCTGTAATCCCAGCTACTCAGGAGGCTGAGGCAGGAGAATCGCTTGAATACGGGAGGCAGAGGTTGCAGTGAACCAAGGTTGCGCCATTGCACTCCAGCCTGGGCAACAAGAGCGAAACTCTGTCTCAAAAAAAAAAAAAAAACATATTCTCTCTCTATCTGCTGCTATGTACCAAGCAGGATGCAGACCCACTGGGGACACAGCATATTACAGGCCCATCATTATTACTGGAAGTAATAACAACTATCATTACTACACACACACAACACACACACGCACATGCACACACATCCCTCCATGTTCTCTAAATGATCTGAAGGCACTGGTGTTAACACCGTTGTAGAGCCGGGCACAGTGGCTCACACCTATAATTCCAGCACTTTGGGAGGCTGACACAGGGGGATTGCTTGAGCCCAGGAATTTGAGACCAGCCTGGACAACATACTGAGATTCTGCCTCTAAAAAAGATAACAAATTACCTGGGCATGGGGGTACGCACCTGTGGTCCCAGCAACTTGGGAGGCTGAGGTGGGAGGATCACATGAGCCTGGGAGGTGGAGGCTGCAGTGAGGGATGATTGCCATTGCACCCCATTCTGAGCAACAGAGCAATACCCTGTCTCATAAACACAAAAAACCAACAAAAAACCACACCATGGCAGATGAGGAAACCAAGGCCTGGAGAAGTTATTAGCTTGTCCAGGAGGCAGCCAAGATTTGAACCCAGGTCCCTCCACCACCTTCAGGGCATGTGCTCTTTCCACCACACCAGGCTGACAGATCTCCAGGAGCTCATGGGAGCTGCTTGCCTAAGCCCCTGATGTTTTATATGATTCTTATTTATTTATTTATTTATTTATTTATTTTTGAGACAGAGTCTTGCTCTTGTTGCCCAGGCTGGAGTGCAATGGCGTGATCTCAGCTCACTGCCACCTCTGCTTCTGGGCTCAAGTGATTCTCCCGCCTCAACCTCCTGAGTAGCTGGAATTACAGGTGCACGCCACCACACCCAGCTAATTTTTGTATTTTTAGTAGAGGTGGAGTTTCACCATGTTGGCCAGGCTGGTCTTGAACTCCTGACCTCAGGTGATCCGTCCACCTCAGCATGCCAAAGTGCTGGGATTACAAGCGTGAGCCATCAGCCCAGCCTCCTTTTCTTCTTTTTCTTTATTTCTTTTTTTTTTTTTTTCGGAGACAGAGTCTTGCTCTGTTGCCCGGGCTGGAGTGCTTTGATGTGATCTCAGCTCACTGCAACCTCCACCTCCCAGGTTCAAGCAATTCTCCTGCCCCAGCCTCCTGAGTAGCTGAGAATACAGGCGTGTGCCACCACGCCTGGCTAAAGTTTTTGTATTTTTAGTAGAGGCAGTGTTTCACCATGTTAGCCAGGTTGATCTCAAACTCCTGACCTCAGGTGATCTGCCTGCCTCAGCCTCCCAAAGTGATGAGATTACAGGTGTGAGCCACCATGCCTGGCCCTTTTTTCTTCTTTTGAGACAGTCTCACACCGTCACCCAGGCTGGAGTGCAGTGGCATGATCTTGACTCATGGCAACCTCTGCCTCCTGGGTTCAAATGATTCTCCTGTCTCAGCCTCAAGCAATTTTCATGCCTCAGCCTCCTGAGTAGCTGGGATTACAGGCATACACCACTGCAGCTAATTTTTTCTTTTTTATTTTTTTTTTGAGACAGAGTCTCGCTCTGTCACCCAGGTTGAGGTGCAGTGGCGTGATCTCGGCTCACTGTAACCTCTGCCACCCTGGTTCAAACAATTCCCATCTCAGCCTCCTGAGAAGCTGGGATTACAGGCATGCGCCACCACGCCCAGCGAATTTTTGTATTTTTAATAGAGACGGAATTTCACCATGTTGTTCAGGCTGGTCTCGATGTCCTGACCTCAGATAATCCACCCACCTCAGCCTCCCAAAGTGCTGAGATTACAGGCGTGAGCCACCGCACCCGGTCACACCTGGCTAATTTTTGTATTTTTGTATTTTTAGTGGAGACGGGGTTTCACCATGTTGGCCAGGCTGGTTTCAAACTCCTGACCTCAGGTGATCCACCTGCCTCAGCCTCCCAAACTGCTGGGATTACAGATGTGAGCCACCGCACCCGGACTATGATTCTTCTAACACCATGGCTCTCAAACCGTAAAAAGCATCCAAGGCTGGGCGTGGTGGCTCACGCCTGTAATCCCAGCACTTTGGGAGGCCGAGGCGGGCGGATCACGAAGTCAGGAGATCGAGACTATCCTGGCTAACACGGTGAAACCCCGCCTCTACTAAAAATACAAAAAATTAGCCGGGTGCCGTGGCAGGCACCTGTAGTCCCAGCTACTCGGTAGGCTGAGGCAGGAGAATGGCGTGAACCCAGGAGGCAGAGCTTACAGTGAGCCGAGATCGCACCACTGCACTCCAGTCTGGGCGACAGTTCAAGACTCCGTCTCAAAAAAAAAAAAAAAAAAATCCAAATCCTGGCGGGCTCATCAAAACACGCATTCTGGGCTCCCCTGAGAGTGTCTGACTCAGCAGGTCTAGGGCGGGCCTGAAAATCTGTATTTCCAACAAGTTCCCAGGTGATGCTGATGCTGCTGGTGTGGGCACTACACTTTGAGAATCTCTGCTCTGATGGCCAGGAGATGAGGGGTGCCACCATATCACAGCGTGGGCTACAAAATGTGACCACTCCCAGCAGCAGCTCTGTTGGCCTGGTGGCCCAGGGAGCAGAGCAGAAACAGAGGGAGAAGTTGAGACAGGAAGTACTGGCCTCAGTCAAGGGGCTGCCGGGACATGGAGCCCCTGCAGGATAGCAATGACCCAATGCCACTCTTTCCTGCAGAATTCTCCGCTATCTCTTTGACAACACCTGGCTGGACGCCCTGACCAGAGCTGTGTTTGTGGAGTCCACTGTCTACAACGCCAACGTCAACCTGTTCTGCATTGTCACGCTGACGCTAGAGACCAGCGCTCTGGGTGGGCAGCCTCGCCTGGGAACCCTCTGCAGGGCTCCAGAAGACATATACTCCTTCCCCTGGGCTGGGGCTCCTGACCTACCTAGGTGCAGCCACCCCAGGGCCAGAGCTCCAGAGCAAATACTTATTTAGTGAATCTAGGTGTGGATCTTGGTTATCCTTGCAGCCATGAGTCCCTGGGCCCCCAAAGGCAAAGCATTAGGGCCCTCCACCCTAATTCTTCCCATCTTTCTGGCCTAGTCGCCCAAGTTATCGTAAAACAGCCTATTCAGAGTCCAAAGGCAGCTTATCCATTGCCTAATCCCGAGCTTCCCTGTCTGCTGGGGTTGGGGGTGGTGACCTGGCAGTGACGGCGAGGGAGAATGTGATGTAACAGATCATATCACCTAATATATATTTCACCATACATCAGTGCACAGCACAAAGTACGTTTTACAACATAATCCAGCACACATGCAACCAAGATGAAATGTTCACAAATAACATGTACTTTAACTCCATGAGGCCGGGCTCGCCCCCATGATCCCAGCACTTTGGGAGGTCAAGGTGGGAGGACTCCTTGAGCCCAGGAGTCCAAGACCAGCCTGGGCATCATGGTGAGACCTGGTCTCTATAAAATTTAAAAAACAAAAAACTACATGTGATGGGCTCTCATATTTTGTGTTCTATTCTATTTATTCTTCCTCATGCCTCCTTCCCCCTTTAAAATGCTGATCACAGTCTTCTAAAAACCAATCTATAGTCTATTCAGCTGATGGTCAATTTACCTAAAAGCCAACCTCCTCTCCAGTGAATACCAAACTTTTAGAAAATATTAGATTACGTTTTTAATGATAAAAGTAATATAGGCCGGGAATGGTGGCTCACACCTGTAATCCCAGCACTTTGGGAGGCCATTGGCCGGGTGGGGGGGGGTGCAAATCACCAGGTCAGGAGTTCAAGACTAGCCTGGCCAACATGGCGAAACCCCGTCTCTACTAAACATACAAAAATTAGCTGGGCGTGGTGGCGGGCACCTGTAATCCCAGATACTCAGGAGGCTGAGGCAGAAGAATCACTTGAACCCAGGAGGTGGAGGTTGCAGTAAGCCGAGATTGTGCCATTGCACTCCAGCCTGGGGAACAAGAGCAAGACTGCATCTCAAAAAAAAAAAAAAAAAAAAAGGAATATATGTTTGTGTTTTAAAAACAAAATTCAGAACTGTGAAAACTGAAGGGCTTTCAATTTCCATTGTCATTCCGCATTGCTAATAGTTTCTTCCAAATCCTTTTTGGGTTTACCTGTGTATCTTTTTTTATTTTTATTTTTTTTTTGAGACACAGTCCTTCTCTGTCACCCAGGCTGGAGTGCAATGGTGTGATCTCGGCTCACTGCAACCTCTGCCTCCTGGGTTCAAGCAATTCTCCTGCCTCAGCCTCCCGAGTAGCTGGGACTACAGGTGCCTGCCACCACACCTGGCTAACTTTTTGTATTTTTAGTAGAGACGGGGTTTTACCACGTTAGCCAGGATGAGCTCAATCTCCGGACCTTATGATCTGCCCACCTCAGCCTCTCAAAGTGCTGGGATTAGAGGCGTGAGCCCCTGGGCCCGGCCCAAAATGGCTTTAAATGAGCCAAGTGGGAGTCAATTGTCATTATATGGGTGGATGTGCTTTATCTGGAGGTGTCTGTGCCCAAAAGGCCAACATCAAATGCCGAGGGGAGGGGAGAACCTTCCACTGCAGCCCCTCCGCCCCTTCTGTTGCATCCGCTGTCTTCGGTGTCTACCACGTGTCCACGTTCAGTCCTTCGGGTCTGAAATAACTTTGGCTTTTCCTTGGCCACAGCCAGCCCTCAGGGGGTTGAGCTTGAGTCATCTGACCTGATGGCTCCTGTCAGAAGCCATGGCTCTGAGCAACCAGGTGGCCCAGAGTGAGCAGAACGCACTTTGCTCCCCAGGCACCTTTTTTACGCACGCGGCCCTGCAGAGCCTCCGCCTGTACCCCTTCACCGACGGCTGGCACCCCTTCGTGGTAGCGGCAGAGCTCATCTACTTCCTCTTCCTCCTCTACTACATGGTGGTGCAGGTAAGGGGCATGCTCATAGCTCATGAGCAGGGTTTGGGGTGCAGGGGTGCCTGGTGCCTCACCAACACCTCTCCTCTTCCTTGTAAGTGGGATGGGAAAGGGATTTTTTCCTTTTTTTTTTTGAGATGGAGTCTCTGTCACCAGGCTGGAATACAGTGGTGCAATCTCGGCTCACTGCAGCCCCCACCTCCTGGGTTCAAATGATTCTCCTGCCTCAGCATCTTGAGTAGCTGGGACTACAGGCATGCACCACCAAGCCCTGCTAATTTTTGTGTTTTTAGTAGAGATGGGGTTTCACCATGTTGGCCAGGATGGTCTCAAACTCCTGACCTCGTGAACCGCCTGCCTCAGCCTCCCAAAGTGCTGGGATTACAGGCGTGAGCCACCGCACCCGGCCGGGAAAGGGCTTTGCCTTAGGTGTTTGCTGGGAGCAACCTTTGGTCCTTCCATTGGTCCTAGGGCTGATCTAGGCTGCTAGATCAGGGCATGGGAAGGACCCAAGGTTGGTACTCCTCAGGAATTGAGAACTCAAAGTGGGGTCTTTCATGGGTGGGGAAGGGAGAGGAGCATGGGTCCTGTTTCTACTGAACTGAGACCTTCCAAAGAGCCAGGGTAGGGCGATGGTACGGGGAAGTGACCCTACAGCTGGGTGTGGAAGTCCTCTGAACTTAGATTGTGGGGCCTCTTAGCATCTTTTGTTCCCACCCACGGTCACTGGGAGTTAGGCAACATCCCCTTTGCCACCTTTATTGCCATGTTGCATCCAAACGTGCAGATGTTGATGACGCTAAAGGCTGGACGATCATGGGAACACACCGGAAGCTACTCCCCTCCTCCTGACAAAAATGCAAACCAGATTGCCGAAAGGGGGCATCTTGGCCCTCCATCGTCTTCTCCAACACCCTGTTTAAAGCAAGGATGATATTTTTGAGTGCTTACTGCATAGCAGGCATTGTGCTAAGAACGTATGTGTTTTCTCTTTCAACAACAGGAGAAAGGTCCTATGGGCTCTAATTCAGAGTAGGAAACTAAAGTCCAGAGACTTTAAGTCATTTATCCAAGGTCAGAATTTGAACACAGGGAGTCTGACCCCTGACCGTCACACTCGACCCCTATCCACAGCATCAGCCTCATGAAGCAGCGCACTCGCCTGGTCTTGAGCATCACCAGTTCAAGCCCAATGGCCAACAGTCATCAGACAGCAACTTCAATCCATGCACCTGTCCAAGAACCTCACAGCAGATCTGTTCACCACCCGCCTCCACGGTTCACTGCCCTCCTCCAACTGCCTCCACAGTCTGCCTGCAGCTGCTTCAGAAAGCTGCTCTCCAAAACCTACAAATCTCTCGCAAAATGCTGCTTGGGCAGTTTTAAAAATCTCCCCACTCTCCATCCCTTTGTTGTAAAAGTGAACTTAGCCTGCCACCAGCCAAATGGAAGTCCTTCCTTCTTAAGAGTGGGTAGGAGGGGCACAGTGGCTCAAGCCTATAATCCCAGCATTTTGGGAGGCCAGGACGGGCAGATCACTTGAGGTCAGGAGTTGGAGACCAGCCTGGCCAACATTGCAAAACCTCATCTCTACTAAAAATACAAAAATTAGCCGGGCATGGTGGCAGGCGCCTGTAGTCCCACCTACTTGGGAGACTGATGCAATAGAATCACTTGAACCTGGGAGGCAGAGGTTGCAGTGAGCTGAGATCCTGCCACAGCACTCCAGCCTGGATGACAGAGCAAGACTCTGTCTCCAAAAAAAAAAAAAAAAAAAAAATTGCTGGGCGCGGTGGCTCACGCCTGTAATCCCAGCACTTTGGGAGGCCAAGGCAGGTGGATCATGAGATCAGGAGTTCAAGACTAGCCTGGCCAACATGGTGAAAACCCATCTCTACTAAAAATATAAAATTAGCCGGGTGTGGTGGCGCATGCCTGTAATTACAGCTACTCGGGAGGCTGAGGCAGGAGAATCGCTTGAACTGGAGGCAGAGGTTGCAGTGAGCTGAGATTGCGCCACTGCACTCCAGGACTAGGCAACAAGAGCGAAACTCTGTCCCTGGCAAAAAAAAGAAAGAAAAGGAAGGAAGGAAGGAAAGGAAGGAAAGGAAAGAAAGGAAGAAAGAAGAGGAAAAAAGAAGGGGCAGGAGGGGAAACTGGTACAAAAATAGAAGATTCTCTTGAGTGAAAGGGAAAAGATGGGGAGGAAGATGAAGAACACACGCAGGATCGTTCTTTTGAACTTGTGACACCTGTTGGGGAAGTTTACTTAAAACTAAGTCTCGTGCCTATCCAGAAAACCTCTCCACAAGGGCAGAAAAGAAAGAAAACTACCTAACTATCTATTTGTCTGTCTATGTAGAGAGAGGGTCTGGCTCTGTTGCCCTGGCTGGAGTGCAGTAGTGCAGTCCCAGATTACTGCAGCCTCAACCTCCCCAGGGTCAAGTGATCCTCCTACCTCAGCCTCCCGAGTAGCTGAGACTATAGGCATGTGTCACCACATCCAGCTAATTTTTGTACTTTTTGTAGAGATGAGGCTTTGTCTTTTTCTTTCTTTTTTTTTTTTTTTTGAGACGGAGTCTTGCTCTGTTGCCCAGGCTGGAGTACAGTGGTGACTTCTCTGCTCACTGCATCCTCCGCCTCCTGGGTTTAAGAGATTTGCAGCTTATTTTTATATTTGTAGTACAGACAGGGTTTTCACCATGTTGGCCAGGCTGGTCTCGAGCTCCTGACCTCAAGTGATTTGTCTGCCTTGGTCTCCCAAAGTACTGAGATTACAGGCGTCAGCCACCATGCCCAGCCCGTTTTCGTGATTTTGCCCAGGCTGTTCTCTAACTCCTGGGCTCAAGTGATTGTCACGCCTCAGCCTCCCAAAGTGTTGTAGAGGTATGAGTCACCACGCTCAGCAATTTTTAAAATTATTTATTTATTTTATTGTTGTTTTTTTTTTTTTTTAGACAGATTCTTTCTCTGTCACCAAGTTGGAGTGCAATGGCACGATGTCGGCTCACTTTAACCTCCGCCTCCAGGGTTCAAGCGATTCTCCTGCCTCAGCCTCCTGAGTAGCTGGGACTGCAGGCACCTGCCACCACGCCCGGCTAATTTTTGTATTTTTAATAGAGACAGGGTTTCGCCGTGTTGGCCAGGATGGTCTGGATCTCCTGACCTTGTGATCTGCCAGCCACAGCCTCCCAAAGTGCTGGGATTACAGGCGTGAGCCACCGTGCCCAGCCTAAATTATTTATTTTTAATTGTGGGAAATATACGTAACATAAAATTTACCATTTTAACCACTTTTAAGTGTTTAGTGGCATTAGGTCCACTCATATCATTGTGCAAGTGCCACTACCGTCCATCTCCAGAAGGATGAACTCTTTCCATGTTGCAAACTACAGCCAGCTGGGTTCGGTGGCTCACACTTGTAATCCCAGCACTTTGGGAAGCAGAGGCGGGCAGATCACCTGAGGTCAGGAGTTTGAGACTAGCCTGGCCAACAAAATGAAACCCCTTCTCTACTAAAAATACAAAAATTAGCTGGGTGTGGTGGCACACGTCTGTAATCCCAGCTACTCAGGGGGCTGAAGCAGAAGAATTGCTTGAACCCGGGAGGCAGAGGTTGCATTGAGCTGAGATGGGGCCCGCTGCACTCCAGCCTGAGCAACAGAGGGAGACTCCATCTCAAAAAAAAAAAAAAAAAAGAATTTCCTGGGGTTTAAATACCTTCTAGAGGTTTCCATTGGTTAATCGGTGTATGTCCTATGTAAATGAAGAGGTTAAAGTGAAGTTACAAAGTCATTTACTCGGGGTACACCCTATGTGAATGAAGAGGATATTTCCTGTCATAGCTGAAGTGTTTCCATTTGATTTAGTTCTTAGGTTCCCTGCCTCCAGGCCCTATTATCCCGCCTCAATGGGTCTGTGCACAAGGTTGGGGAGAGGCCTGGGCACTCTGTGCATGGGGGCCAGAGCTGGGGAAGCCTCCTGCCAGAGGGCCCTCCGGGATGGGGAGGGAGCAGCCCTGTGGGGCGGGGGCAGTCACGGCCGCAACTTCACGCTCCTTTTCCAGGGCAAGCGCATGAGTAAAGAGACGTGGGGCTATTTCTGCAGCAAGTGGAACCTTCTGGAGCTGGCCATCATCCTGGCCAGCTGGAGCGCCCTGGCGGTGTTTGTGAAGAGGGCTGTCCTGGCCGAAAGGGACCTCCAGCGCTGCCGGAACCACAGGGAGGAGTCAGTGGCTGTCTCCTCAGCCCCCCAGCTCCCCACACTGGCCCCTCTTCCTACAGCTCCGTTTGAGGCCCAGGGGTCAGAAGGAGGTTTTGGAATGCTGTGGACCCTCAAGGGATAAAGGGGCACTCCTAGTAGACATAACTCTAGCTGCCACCTAGATTCAGGTGTGGGGCCAGCCGCAAGTGAGTACGATTGGAGAGGACTCAGACAAAATAGAACATCTTGTGCAAATCTTCCCAAAACATAGGACCATGGGGCATCCTGCTTAGGCTCTCCAAAACCTTGCAAAGGGGAGGCCCTTTGCAAGTATTATGGCCCCAGTAAGCTCACCTCTGCTACCATACACTAAGTGTCCACTATGTGGTAGGCAGGATGTTTTCACCTAGGGAATCATCATCAGGATTGATGAAGGTCAGTGTTATCATCGCCCCATTTAACAAAGACATTGAGGGCAGGGTGTGGTGGCTCATGCCTGTAATCTCAGCACTTCAGGAGGCCGAGGTGGGCAGATCACTTGAGGTTAGGAGATTGAAACCAGCCTGGCCAACACAGTGAAACCCTAACTCTACTAAAAATGGAAAAATTGCTGGACACGGTGGCTCACGCCTGTAATCCCAACACTTTGGGAGGCCAAGGCGGGTGGATCATTTGAGGTCAGGAGTTCGAGACCAGCCTGGCCAATATGGTGAAACCCCATCCCTACTAAAAATACAAAAATTAGCTGGGCGTGATGGCATGCACCTGCAGTCCCAGCTACTCAGGAGGCGGGAGAATCGCTAGAACCCGGGAAGCAAAAGTTGCAGTGAGCCGAGATTGCGCCACTGCCCTCCAGCCTGGGTGACAGAGGGAGACTGGGTCTCAAAAAAACAGACAAAGACACTGAGGCTCAGAGAGGTCACGTGACTTCCCCAAGGCCACACAGCTAAAATGTGGCAGACAAGTAATTTAAGCCTAGCTTGTGTGGCTCCAGGGTCCCCTCCCTTGCTTGGAATCATCGGGTTTCTTGACTCACTCATTCGTTTTATAGATATAGCTAACATGTATTGAGTTATTGCTAAATGTCATACACTTTCATAAAAACACCACATTACAAGCAGTGTCTCATCTCACCTACACCTGAATCCTCCTGAGACCTCTAAGAGATGATATCACCATCCCTTTTTTTGTTTTGTTTTTTGAGACGGACTCTTGCATGATCTCAGCTCACTGCAACCTCTCCCTCCTGGGTTCAAGTCATCCTCCTGCCTCAGCCTCCCCAGTAGCTGGGATTACAAGTACACACCACCACACCCGGTTAATTTTTGTATTTTTAATAGAGACGGGGTTTCACCATGTTGGCCAGGCTGATCTCAAACTCCTGACTTCATGATTCGCCCCCCTCGACTTCCCAAAGTGCTGAGATTACTGGCGTGAGCCACCGCGCCCAGCCTCATCATCCTTTTTTTTTTTTACAAATGAGGAAATCACATGTAATGAGGCTTGGAGAGGTTAAGCTGCATGAAGGGAAAATAAAATCTTGGGACCCCAATCCACTCTGCCAAAAGGAAAAAGAAAAATTAAGCTGAAAGTTGAGTCATGCAAGAAACTGCCTTTCATTTTGTTCGTAAAGAGAGAGTTACAGCTAAAAGGTTGATCTCTGCAGACAGCAGCTCCAGGTTCACCTTATCTTATGTAAAGTGCCCACTTAACTGAGCATGAGACAAATACATCATTGACTATTCCCTTACCTGCTCCTTTTCTCTGGCAACATGTGGATTCAATAGTGTCACCAGACCCTCCCTCTTTCCTCTCTAGACCGCTTTTCTCTTTTAAGTATTGAAGGCTTCGGGCTGGGCATGGTGGCTCATGCCTAATAAAAGAGGGCTTATGGCCTCTTTTATTTATGTTTTGAGACGGGATCTTGCTCTGTCACCCAGGCTGGAGTGCAATGGTGTGATCACAGCTCACGATAGCCTTGATCTCCAGGGCTCATGCGATCCTCTCACCTCAGCCTCCTGTGTAGCTGGGACCACAGGCTCACGCTACCATGCTCAGGTAATTTTCTTTTTTTTTTGAGATGGAGTCTCACTCTGTCGCCCAGGCTGGAGTGCAGTGGCACCATCTTGGGTCACCGCAACCTCCGCCTCCCAGGTTGAAGCGATTCTCCTCCCTCAGTCTCCTGTGTAGCTGGATTACAGGCGCACGCCACTACGCCCGGCTAATTTTTGTATTTTTAGTAGAGATGGGGTTTTACCATGTTGGCCAGGCTGGTCTCGAACTCCTGACCTCGTGATTTGCCCACCTTGGCCTCCCAAAGTGCTGGGATTACAGGCATGAGCCACTGCGCCCGGCCGCTCAGGTAATTTTTAAATTATCTGTAGAGATGAGGTCTTGCTCTGTTGCCCAAGTTGGTTTTGAACTCCTGGTCTCAAGCATTCCTCCTGCCTTGGCTTCCCAAAGCGTTGGGATTACAGGCATGAGCCTCCATGCCCAGCCAGCCCTCCTTTATGAAGGCAGTTAGCCGTATTAAAGCATGGTTCTCAACCTTGGCTACATATAAGAATAACTCCAAGGAGACAGTAAAAATACTGAAGCCAGGCTGGGTGCGGTGGCTTATGCCTGTAATCCCGGCACTTTGGCAGGCTGAGGTGGGCGGTTCACAAGGTCAGGAGTTCAAGACCAGCCTGGCCAACATGATGAAACCCCGTCTCTGCTAAAAATACAAAAATTAGCTGGGCATGGTGAAGCACGCCTACAGTCCCAGTTACTCAGGAGTCTGAGGCAGGAGAATCGCTTGTACCCAGGAGGAGGAGGTTGCAGTAAGCCAAGATTGTGCCACTGCACTCCAGCCTGGGTGACAGAGCCAGACTCCATCTCAAGAAAAAAATAAAAATAAAAGAGGGCTTATGTATTGTTATTTTTTCCACATACATAAGCAATTAAATGGCATGAGACAGTGTTAGGTCTTCTTTTTTGTTTGTTTTGAGACAGAGTTTCACTGTTGTTGCCCAGGCTGGAGTGTAATGGCGCGATCTCCACTCACTGCAACCTCTGCCTCCCGGATTGAAGGGATTCTCCTGCCTCAGCCTCCCGAGTAGCTGAGACTACAGGCGCCTGCCACCCCACCTGGCTAATTTTTTGTATTTTTAGTAGAGATGGGGTTTCACCATGTTGGCCAGGCTGGTTGAAAACTCCAGACCTCAGGTGATCCACTGGCCTTGGCCTCCAAAAGTGCTGGGATTACAAGTGCTAGCCACCGTGCCCAGGCAGCATTAGGTCTTTTAAGAGAGACAGGAGAAAGGAGCTGCTGGAGTCAAAGGCGGAAGCAACAGTTTGTACCAGCAACTCCAGTCTGCTCAAAGGGAAGGAAGATTCTGGAAGGCAGGAGATTTGGGTAAAAGGATGGTTCTCACTGAGGCCTGGCCAGTACCCAAGGTGGCAAACCCAGTCTGTGCTTTGTGTCCCTCGGTGTGGCCCTGTAGAGAGCTGCCCTGAGTGAGTCCAACCTTGGAGGAGAGCACGGGGAAAGCTCTCCAGATCACAGAGCTTCGGGAAGGTAGTGTCACCTTGAACCTGTTTGAAAAGGCTTCTTCTGTAGAATAGCTAGAAGGCAGGCCTCACAAGTTTTTCTTTTTTAAGCAATTTCAATTTTTATTATTTTTTTTATAGAGACAGGAGTCTCACATTGTTCCCCATGCTGATCTCGAACTCCTGGCCTCAAGTGATCCTCCTGCCTCAGCCTCCCAATGTGCTGAGATTGCAGGCATGAGCCACTGCGCCTGGCCTCAAATTTTATTTAGGTTCAGGGGGTACATGTGCAGGTTTGTTACATGAGTATATTGCGTGATGCTGAGGTTTGGGGTGCGAATGACCTCGATACCCAAGTAGTGAGCACAGTACCAGTAGATAGTTTCTCAACCCTTGCCTGCCTCCCTCCAGTCTTGCAGTCCCCAGTGTCTGTTTTTTCCATCTTTATGTCCATAACTAGCTAATGTTTAGCTCCCACTTGTAAGTCAGAACACGCAGTATTTGATTTTCTGTTCCTGTGTTAATTCGCTTAGGATAGTGGCCTCCAGCCGCATCCACGCCGCTGCAGAGGACGTGGTTTTGTTCCTTTTTGTGGCTGCAAAGTTTTTCAGTTAACAAGAAATACCATATGGCGTCATAAAACTTTTATTTATTTTTATTTATTTTTTATTTTTGAGACAGAGTTTTGCTCTTGTCACCTAGGCCAGAGTGCAGTGTCATGATCTCGGCTCACTGCAACCTCTGCCTCCTGGGTTCAAGAGATTCTCTTGCCTCAGCCTCCTAAGTAGCTGGGATTACAGGCATGCGCCACCACACCTGGCCAATTTTTATATTTTTGCTAGAGACAGGGATTCGCCATGTTGGCCAGGCTGGTCTCGAACTCCTGACCTCAGGTGATCTGCCTGCCTTGGCCTCCCAAAGTGCTGGGATTACAGGTGTGAGCCACCACGCCTGGACTATAAAACTTTTAAAAACAGATCAGGAAAAAAAAATGTCTTGAGTCCAACATCCCAGAGAAAACCACATGGTGATTGGTCCTGCTGCCATCTCACTGATGACGATCATAGCTCACTACAGCTTCAAACCCCTGAACTCAAGTGATCCTCCCGCCTCAGCCTCTTGAGTAGCTAGGATTACCAGTGCACACCATGAAGTCCAACTACCATTATCATCTTTGTCACCATCACCATCATCTTCAGCATCATCACCATCATCATCACTGTCATTGTCATTATCACTCTCACACCACAATTCCCAGCATCCTCCTCCTCCTCCTCCCCCTCATCATCATCATCATCATCACCACCTACCTGGGGGAACTGGGATGGCTCTCTTTCCCAGACCTGTTTCTGGACCTGATGGCCTATGAGATGATGATAGAACTAATCCCACATCCCGAAATGCCGATAAATCCAGTCTTGCATCCAGATGAGTTCTGGCTGAACTGCTCAAGGTCTCTGAGACCCAGCCTTTGCATTTTGGTCCCACAGAGGCATCAGCTTCAGTGAGACAGCAGCAGCCGATGCCGCCCTTGGCTACATCATTGCCTTCCTGGTACTCCTGTCCACAGTGAAGCTTTGGCATCTGCTCAGGTTGAATCCCAAAATGAACATGATCACGGCAGCCCTACGCCGTGCCTGGGGCGACATTTCAGGCTTTATGATTGTCATCCTTACCATGCTCCTGGCTTACTCCATCGCGGTAAGTATCTGCTTTGGGAAAAGTTCGGGGAGGGTCTCTGCAGAAACCAAGGCTAATTGGTGGTGGGAAAGTGGACAGTTAGGGTTAGGGAGACCCTGGGAACTCAAGGAAGGTGGTGGCTCTTGTAAGTACAGGGTGTCTTTGCTGTGAGCTCATGCACCAGTCATCTCAAATGGCAAAGGCTGGAGAGCTCAGGTGGATAGGGTGAGGAGGCATAGGCTCTAGTGCTGAAAGGATCCAGGTTTGGGAAGAATTCCTTTCTGGCTCTAGACCCCTCCTGGATGTGCCAGTTATCCTGGCTTCCCAACTGGTCAGAAGGCACAGGGCTAACTCCTAGACACACACAGAGCACTGCTGCTGTGCTGGGGGATGGATGGGGCCACCACGTCCTTGAGTTGGGGCAGAGGTGGGGATGTGAAGGTAGATACATCCACAGGCCATGCCAGTGCTTGTTGTCCAAAACATGACTCATGAGCTTGGGAGGGCCAATGCCACTTCACTCAGCACTTTAAGAGCACATTGACAAGCATGGCCCTGTGTAGAAAAACATAAATGAAAACATTGAATTTTCTTTTTTGTTGTTGAGACGGAGTCTTGTTCTGCTGCCCAGGTTGGAGTGCAGTGGCACGATCTAGGCTCACTGCAACCTTCACCGCCCAGGTTCAAGCGATTCTCTTGCCTCATTCTCCTGAGTAGCTGGGATTGCTGGTGCACAGCACCATGCCTGGCTAATTTTGTATTTGTAGTAGAGACAAGGTTTCACCATGTTGGTCAGGCTGGTCTCGATCTCCTGACTTCAGGTGATCCACCCACCTCGGCCTTCCAAAGTGCTGGGATTACAGGCATGAGCGACCGTGTGTGGCTTTTTTTTTGTTTTTGGAGACAGAGTCTCACTCTGTTGCCCAGGCTGGAGTGCAGTGTCACAATCTCGGCTCACTGCAACCTCTGCCTCCCAGGTTCAAGCGATTCTCCTGTTTCAGCCTCCTGAGTAGCTGGGACTACAGGCATGTGCCACGACACCCGGCCAATTTTTGTATTTTTGGTAAAAACAGTGTTTCATCATGTTGGTCTCAAACTCCTGACCTCAGGTAATCTGCCTACCTTGGCCGCCCAAAGCGCTGGGATTACAGGCGTGAGCCACCGCGCCCAGCCAAAAACATTAAATTTTCAATTCTTTTTTATGATCATGTGAGAAACAAAGCCCCTCTTACATCCTGGCCCCCACCACATCCTGATGTCCTTCTAAATACACCCCCTACTGCCCACCATGTTCCCATGCAAGCCCTGGCCTTCCGTTCATCTCTGGCCTTTAGCACAATCCTGGCCCACTCCCTACCCCAGGGCCTTCCCCATCCTCACCCTGGCTCCATCCAGTCTCTTGCCTTCCTCTCCTCCCTGATCATCCTATCCACCAGCCCATCGCATCCTAGTCCCCACTCCACCCCAACCCTCACCCCACTCTGCCTCCCTGTCACCTCAGGCTTGACCCCTTCCATCCCTAGCCCCACCCGATCTTCCTCTCCCACCCCTGGAAACAGGTGGGGTGCACTGAGGGAGTGATGGGGGTGTGTTCTGGAAAGTTGGAGTCTGTGATTTTGGTGAAAGCTCCCCTCTAAATCCTAATGTGAATTTCTTCAGACTTCCATGCAGTGTCTGGGCTGCAGGGACATTGCAGTGTCCCATGGGACCAAAAGTCATCAACTCAGAGACAGAGCCAGGGGCTGCTGGGCCTCCCTCTGACACTGCAGCCCTGGGAAAGTCTTGGGAGTGAGGGGTTGTGGTGAGGGAAAATGCAGTGAGGGGAGGTCCTCACCCAGGCAGAAGCCCATCATCCATTCAACCCAGTTCCCCAGAGCGAAGGGTTTGGAGCCGCAGAGTGCCCAGACTCATTGTCAGGTATTTGCACCGCATCTGGGGAACACTGCGGTGGCTTAGCAGGTGGCTGCCTGAGCCCCAGAGGCACCCTGGGCACTCCCTCATCCTGGTGGGCACAGAGATAGGCATCATCAACAGGCCATGGACACAATAAAGGTCCTGGACAAGGTCATCCAGGCAGCACTTCCAGAAACTTGACACACACGTGCACATGGATGCACACACGTGCACACCTACACACATGCACACATGCACGCGCATACACGTACACACAAACAAATATACACACACATATGCACACACATAAACACTATACATGGATACACACACATACACATATACACATGCATGTGCACACAAATACACTACACATAGATACACACATATACATACACAAAAGTGCATATGTGCAGATATTGATGCCCACAGGCATACACATGTACACTCTCACACAGACACACGTGTGGCCTCGCATGCACAGACCCACAGAGAGAAACACATGCATGCCACATAGAACCAGTTGTGGACCGGGTGCAGTGGCTCACGCCCATAATCCTATCACTTTGGGAGGCCAAGGTGGGTGGATCACCTGAGATCCGGAGTTCGAGGCCAGCCTGACCAACATGGTGAAACCCTGTCTCTACGAAAAATAGAAAAATTAGCCAGACGTGGTGGTGTGTGCCTGTAGTCCCAGCTACTTGTGAGGCTGAGGGAGGAGAATCGCTTGAACCCAGGAGGCGGAGGCTGCAGTGAGCCCAGATCGAACCATTGTACTCCAGCCTGGGTGACAGAGCAAGACTCCATCTCGCAAAAAAAACAAACAAAAACCTGTTGTGTACACACACCCACTTGCACACCCCTGTAGGTACAGTAGCTTGACCAGCCCAGCCAGGGCAGTGGCTGACACAGACCACCCACTCCACTGTGAAACAGCAGGCTGTTTGGGCCTTGGCAGCCTCCTTCCCTGTTCATGAGAATTCTTTCCATGACAGTCAAACTTGATATTTGGTTGGAAACTCCGTTCCTACAAAACCCTCTTTGATGCGGCGGAGACGATGGTCAGCCTTCAGCTGGGAATCTTCAACTACGAGGAGGTAACGGGGTGAGGGCACGGTTGCTGCCATCTATACGGAGCCTCTGTGAAGATTAGAAAAAGCACTCCCTGTCCACCCCGCCCCGTGCCATCCCTTGGGCCCATGGCCTGGCAAGCACCGGGCAAGTCTGGACAAACAGAAATGTTCCCCCTCCTCTAGGTAGACACCCCTGCTAGAGCCCACAGCTTGCCCTTGGGATCCCTGCTCACAGAGGAACATTGGGTGCTGGCTACTCAGGGGAGGGCTGTACAGGGGTCTCCCAAAGGAAACACCCCCTACCCTGGGCAGAAAGGGCAGCCGTCTTTGGAGGTGGCAGCCGTGGAAAGTGAGGGGCTGCCCGTTCTCTCCTTGCCCAGCTCTCTCAGCCCCAGGCAGAGGGGACCTTCCAGGCTCTAGGCTCTGCCTAACTCTGAGGACCATTTTCCCTCTGAGGGTTCCCAGTAGGGGAAGTGGCTACTGGGACCCAGGACACTGGATGACCCTGGCTTTCTTTCTGACAGGTCCTGGACTATAGCCCAGTGCTTGGCTCCTTCCTCATTGGATCCTGCATTGTTTTTATGACATTTGTGGTGCTGAACCTGTTTATCTCTGTCATCCTGGTGGCCTTCAGTGAGGAGCAAAAATACTATCAGGTGAGTCGCTTTGGCCTATTCCTCATCAGTCATTGAACTATGAAGAGGCTGGAGCGGTGTTAGACTTTAGGGAACTTGAGAGATCATTGTAGCTCAGAGCCCTCATTTAACAGGAGGGGAAACTCAGGCATAGACAGAGGACATTAATTCCCCAAAATCACAAGCAAGTGAGGGGCAGGGCTGGGACCAGAGCTGTGTCTCCTGATTCCCAATGTGAGACTCTGTTCGCGACACCAGTGACCTCCACCCTGAGTGCACCTTAGAATCACCTGGGGCCTTTTGGAAACAACGGCTGCCCAGCCAGAGACCAATACCAACAGAGACCAACACCAACAGAGACCAACACCAACAGAGACTAATACCAACAGAGACCAACACCGACAGAATCTCTGGGAGAATGAGCCAGTCCTTGGTATGTTTGAAATCTCTTTGGGTAACTTTTTTTTTCTTGAGACAGAGTTTTTGCTCTTGTTGCCCAGGCTGGAGTGCAATGGCACAATCTTGGCTCACTGTAACCTCCACCTCCTGGGTTCAAGCGATTCTCCTGCCTCAGCCTCCCAAGTAGCTGGGATTACAGGCATGCGCCACCACACCTGGCTAATTTTTTGTACTTAGTAGAGACGGGGTTTTACCATGTTGGTCAGGCTGGTCTTGAACTCCTGACCTCAGGTGATCCACCAATCTTGGCCTCCCAAAGTGCTGGGGTTACAGACATGAGCTACCACGCCCAGCCATCTCTTTGGGTAATTTTCAGGTTAATGAACAGCCAAGGTTGAAAACACATACTACACTCCAAAACCTCAACCCACGTCGTCATGGCTCGGAGGGCAACAAGCTGGGCACTCGTGATCGACCTCCCACCCATGGAAGAGTCAGCGTGCTGGGCTGCCTGCAGGAAGAGGGATATGAGCACACAGACTGCAGGTTAATAACAGCCACCAGCACCACCCACACAGCGCTCTCTTCACAACCGAAGTTGTGTTTTATTTAATCGTCAAAACAGCTCTCTGAAGTAGGTATAATTATTCACAACGTACAAAGAAGGAAACCAAGGCTCACAGAGATGAAATCATTTACCTAGAACCACAGAGCTAGAAAGTAGGAAAGGTGGGATTTCAACCTGGATCTGTCTGACTTGGATGTATGGTTTTGTTTTGTTTTCTTTTCCTGCCCTTCTGGAGGTATGACTGTGTGAACGGTGACGTATTATGCAGCTCACCCTTCCTGTCCCAGTTGAAAGATTCTTTCAATCTGTATGCCTAAGCCGGGTGTGGTGGCACACACCTGTAGTCCTAGCTACACAGGAGGCTGAGGTGGGAGGATCACCTGAGCCCAGGAGACGAAGCCTGCAGTGAGCTGTGATCATGCCACTGCACTCCAGCCTGGGTGACAAAGCAAGATCCTGTCTCAAAAGAAAAAAAAGAAAAATCTGCACGTCTAACAAAGAAACCTTTGTTAAGACACTCTTCTTTGAATTTTTCCATTTCTATACAAGAGCAGCAATTTGGTATTGTTGTTTTTCTAAATTGCAAAAGATTTCATAAAGGTGACATACTCCATCATGTTGAAGGATCATTGTAAAGAGTTATTTTTCCTGGAAACCAGGAAATTATTGCCCACAGGATTCAAGAATGCTAAGAATGCTGCCCCTCTTCTGTTGCTAAATGGTCTCTGGTACGCTTGTAACGTGTGTCCCGGATCTGTGTTTGGAAAGGAAATACAAATTTTTATTTCACTAAACTCTCACTTAACACAGAACACTTCTGTGACCAAATGTGTGGAGATTTTCTGCACACACCAAGCAATTCTCCAGCAGACACCAACTGGGTATCTTATACCGATTGGGCATCCCTAATCCAAAAATCAGAAATCCAGAATGCTCCAAAATCCAAAATTGTTTGCATGCTCACCTGAGGTGAAACATGGAAAATTCCACACATAAATACTTAATACAAACTTTGTACAGAGAGGATCAGCATGACCCCTGTGCAAGGAGGTCGTGCAAATTCACAAAGTGTTTCATATTTTTAATATAATTTTAAAATAAAAAAATATATACTGGGCTGGGCCCAGTGGCTCACGCCTGCAATCCCAGCACTTTGGGAAGCTGAGACAGGAGAATCACTTGAGGCCAGGAGTTCAAGACCAGCCTGGGCAATATAGAAAGACCCTATCTGTGCAAAAAATACAAAAATTAGCTGGGCCTGGTGGCATGTGCCTCTTCTTCTGGCTACTTGGGAGGATAGCTTGAGCCCAGGATGCAGTAAGCCATGATTGCACCACTGCTCTCTAGCCTGCACGACAGAGCAAGATGCTATCTCTAAAACATAAATAAAAATTAAAAACACATATTGTATGAAATTACCTCCAGGCTATGTGTATAAGGTGTATATAAATATAAATAAATTTCCTGTTTAGTCTTGGGTCCCATTCCCAAGATACCTCATTATGCATTCTCCAAAATCTGAAAAAATCTGAAACACAAAACACTAGTCATCCCAAGCATTTTGGATGAGGGATACTCAATCTGTATAACAACTATTTATATATAGCATTTACATTGTGTTAAGTATTATAAGTACTTACTGGTACTTATAGGCCAGGTGCAGTGGCTCAAACCTGTAATCCCAGCACTTTGGGAGGCTGAGGCGGGCTGATCACCTGAGGTCAGGAGTTCGAGACCAGCCTCAACATGGAGAAACCCCATCTCTACTAAAAATACAAAATTAGCCCGGCGTAGTGGTACATGCCTGTAATCTCAGCTACTCGGGAGGCTGAGGCAGGAGAATTGCTTGAACCTGGGAGGCGGAGGTTGCGGTGAGCTGAGATCGTGCCATTGCACTCCAGCCTGGGCAACAAGAGCAGAAACTCCATCCCAAAAAAAAAGAAAAAAAAAGGTACTTATAGATGATGACTTAAAGTATACAGGAGAATGTGTGTGGGTTATATGTAAATATTATGGCTTTTTTTTTTTTTTTTTTTTTATCAGAGACTTGACCATCCGAGGATTTTCTGGTGACCTGCCTCATCCTGAAGCTATCTAGGGGCCTGCCCTAAGTCACTCATTAGCAAAAACTCAGATGTGATGAAAGGGGGCTCATCATGAATAGCAAAAGACACTCCTATTATTGCCGGGCGCGGTGGCTCACGCCTGTAATCCCAGCACTTTGGGAGGCCGAGGCGGGCGGATCACCTGAGGTCGGGAGTTCGAGACCAGCCTGACCAACATGGAGAAACCCCGTCTCTACTAAAAATACAAAAAAATTAGCTGGGCATGGTGGCACATGCCTGTAATCTCAGCTACTTGGGAGGCTGAGGCAGGAGAATCGCTTGAATGCAGGAGGCGGAGGTTGCAGTGAGCCAAGATCACGCCATTGCACTCCAGCCTGGGCAACAAAAGCAAAACTCTGTCTAAAAAAAAAAAAAAAAAAGACACTCCTATTATTAGTAAATTCTAAGGGTTTCAGGAGCTCTGTGATGGGAACCGAGGTCAAAGATCAACTATGGTTCATATTATACCACAATGCCTTTGTCCTGCAAAAAGATTTGATATTTTAAAAACAATTTTGTAGTGTTGGGGAAATGTTTTCATTTTAGCAAGGAAGCAGAGAGCATTGCTAGGTCTGATGCCCAGGTACTCCAACTGTACCTTAATTTGGAGATGCAATTAAGTAGCCACCTTTAATTAAAGTTACTTTCTCCGAGTGGGTTCCTTCTATCAGAAGATTGAACTTGTCCATTGTAAATAAATTATTTTTTTAACAATGAAGATATATTTCATGTGCCATAAAATTAGCCATTTTAAATCATACAATTAAACGTTTTTTAGTATATTCAGAGAGTTGTGCAAACATCGTCACTAATTCCAGAATATTTTTTTTCTTTCTTTTTTTTTTGAGAGAGCGTCTCGCTCCATCGCCCAGGCTGGAGTGCAGTGGCAGATCTCGGCTAACTGCACCCTCCCCCTCCCGGGTTTAAGTGATTCTCCTGCCTCAGCCTCTTAAGCAGCTGGGACTACAGGAGCACGCCACCATGCCTGGCTAATTTTTTGTATTTTTAGTAGAAGCGGGGTTTCACCATGTTAGCCAGGCTGCTCTGGAAGTTCTGACCTTGTCATTTGCCCACCTCGGTTTTCCAAAGTGTTGGGATTACAGGTATTAGCCACCACACCCGGCCTTCTTTTTTTTTTTTTAATAGAGACGGGGTTTTGCTATGTGGCTCAGGTTGTTCTCAAACTCCTAGGCTCAAGCAATCCACCCACCTTGGCTTCCCGAAGTGCTAGGATTACAGGTGTGAGCCACCACACCCAGCCCTAGAACATTTTCTTTTTCTTTTTTTCTTTTCTTTTCTGTTTTTTGTTTGTTTGTTTTGTTTTTTGTTTTGTTTTGTTTTGTTTTGAGCCAGAGTCTTGCTCTCTCACCCAGGCTGGAGTGCAGTGGCGTGATCTTGGCTCACTGCAACCTCCGCCTCCCGAGTTCAAATGATTCTTTTGCCTCAGCATCCTGAGTAGCTGGGATTACAGGTGCCTGCCACCACACCCAGATAATTTTTGTATTTTTAGTAGGGATGAGTTTTTCCATGTTGGCCAGGGTGGTCTCGAACTCCTGATCTCAGGTGATCTGCCAGCCTCGGCCTCCCAAAGTGCTGGGATTACAGGTGTGAGCCACCGTGCCTGGGCTCAGAACATTTTCAATACCACAAAGAAGCCCCCTACCTATTAATAATCACCTCCCATATCCATGCCTCCAGCCCCTGGCAACCACTAATCTACGTTCTATTTCTTTGGATTTGCCTATTCTGGAAATTCATATTCATATAAATGAGCTCGGACAATATGTGGCCTTTTATGTCTGGCTTATTTCATTTAGTATCATGTCTTCAAGATTCATCCATGTCGTAGCGTGTATCCACGTCATTCCTTTTTACGGCTGAGTCATATTTCATTGTGTGGGTAAAACAACGATGTGCTTATCCATTCCCCAGCTGATGGGTATTTGGGTTGTTTCTGTATTTTGGCTTTAACAAACGATGCTGCTATGAACATTCTGTGGGCAGAATTTCATATGGACATGTGTTTTCGCTTCTCTTGGGCATATACCTGGAAGTGAAATTTCTGGTTTACACAGTAACTGTTTAATTGTTTGAAGACCTGCCACACTGTTTTCTGAAGCAGCTGTACCATTTTAGATCCCCAGCAGCAATGTGCAGGACCTTTGCACATAAATTCTTCTGTTTGTTTGTTTGCTTGCTTGCTTTTGAGAAAGGGGCTTGCTCTGTCACCCAGGCTGGAGTGCAGTGGTGCAATCTCAGCTCACTGGAACCTCGGCCTCCTGGGCTCGAGCCATCCTCCCACCTTAGACCCAGTAGCTGGGACTGCACCACACCTGGCTAATTTTTTTGTATTTTTGGTAGAGATGGGGTTTCCCCATTTTGGCCGGGCTGGTCTCAAATTTCTGGGCTCAAGTGACCTGCCTGCCTCAGCCTCCCACATTGCTGGAATTATAGGTGTGAACCGTCACACCTGGCCTGATTTTTAAACACTCTTCTTTTTTTTTTTGAGATGGAGTTTTGCTCTTGTTGCCAGGCTGGAGTGCAATGGCACGATCTCGGCTCACTGCAACCTCTGCCACCTGAGTTCATGCAATTCTCCTGCTTCAGCCTCCCAAGTAGCTGGGATTACAGGCATGTGCCCACCATGCCCAGCTAATTTTGTATTTTTAGTAGAGATGGGGTTTCACCATGTTGGTCAGGCTGGTCTCAAACTCCTGACCTCAGGTGATCTGCCTACCTTGGCCTCCCAAAGTGCTGGGATTACAGGTGTGAGCCACCACTTTCAGCTGTGATTTTTAAAATTATCTGTAGAGATGGGGTCTCACTATGTTGTCCAGGATGGACTCGAACTCCTAGGATCAAGCAATCGTCTCACCTTGGCCTCCCAAAATCCTGGGATTATAAATATAATAAGCCCCTGTGCTCAGCCTGTACATAAGTTCTTAACAGCCTCTGTTGGGGTGGTAGAGAGCATTTTCTGACGAGTTTACTGAACGTGCCTCATTGGTACCTATAGTCTGCCATTCCTGTTTCCTAGAAGTTGTTCTTTCTTTGCTTTAAGTCACTCTTAAATATGTGTATATGGTTGAGAAGTGTGGGAAAGCCAGAGAGAAACATCTATTTATTTTTTCATTCCCAGAACTTCCTCCCATACCAGGCTAGGCCAGGAGGTAAACAGAGCAAGCAGAAGGAATAATAATAAAGAACCACAAGGCCAGGCCCAGAGGCTCACGCCTCTAATCCTAGCACTTTGGGAGGCTGAGGTGGGTGAATCACCTGAGGTCAGGAGTTCGAGACCAGCCCCGCCAACATGGTGAAACCCTGTCTCTACCAAAGATACAAAAATTAGCTGGGCGTGGTGGTGTGTGCCTATAATCCCAGCTACTCGGGAGGCTGAGGCAGGAGAATAGCTGGAATCCAGGAGGCGGAGGCTGCAGTGAGCCGAGATTGAGCCACTGCACTCCAGCCTCGGCGACAGAGCTAGACTCTGTCTCAGAAAAAAAAAGAACGAAAGAAGGAGCCACCACCAACACTCTGACCTAGAGGAAAAGGGGAGACACTCATCTCAGAAGGGGGCCCATGTGCTGTTTAACTTCAGGCTCAGCCGCCCAGCCGAGGCTTACTCTGCGCTGGCTTGGGAATTTGAAATGTGGCAGTGAAAACTCAGTCATCCTCATCAGAGAGGTGGAGGGAGCCCGCTGAGGATAAAGGATGGAGCACACACCCTTGGCATTCCCAGAGGGAGGCCTTTCTGCCCTAAAACAGCTCTCAACAGTGAAGTAACCTAGGTTGAGACCAAACTGGACAATAAAACTGTGATTTCGGCCAGGGATGATGCGATGGCTCAAGCCTGTAATCATCCCAGCACTTTGGGAGGCCGAGGCAGGTGGATCACTAGATGCCAGGAGTTTGATACCTGCCTGGCCAACATGGTAAAACTCTCTCTCTACTAAAAATACAAAAATTAGCTGAGCGTGGTGGCGGGTGCCTGTAATCCCAACTACTCGGGAGGCTGAGGCGGGAGAATCGCTTGAACTCGGGAGGCGGAAGTTGCAGTGAGCCAAGATTGTGCGACTGCACTCCAGCCTGGGCGACACAGTGAGACTCCATCTCAAACAATAAAATAAAATAAAATAAATAAAAATAAAAACTATGACTTCCCCTTAGAAAGAAAAGCCCCCAAAGAAGATGGTTCTATGGGCATTGCCTGGTTCTTTCTCTTGCAGCTGTCGGAGGAAGGGGAGATCGTAGATTTGCTGCTGATGAAAATACTCAGTTTCCTGGGCATTAAGTCTAAGAGAGAGGAGCCTGGAAGCAGCAGGGAGCAGCCTGGGTCTCTGTCCCAGACTCGCCACTCTCGACCAGCACAAGCTTTGCCCAAGGACTAAGCTGTTCGTCCACACGCCACCATCTACCAGTGGGGACGCCCAGGGCCTCGGGCGTACGCTTACCAGCGACTCTATAGTCTCTCTAGGTCATAGCTTTCATGTCCATTGAAGAATTACCAAGCCCAGCAAGTAAAAAAAATTACAATAACAGAGATATATGTAAAATTGCCAATACTATGAGAGCTTCTTTGTTCAAATGTATTTCCTCTTATTATAAATAAAACAAATATTACATGGAGTTTGGAAAATTTCCTGCACAGACTAATTATTTCGTCTTTTTAGTCCGTTGGGGGTTGCTTTTGAATGATTCTAGTTCAGGGCTTCTCAAACTGTCTGAGAGATGCTAATGGATGCTGTATTAGTTTCCCAGAACAATGTATCACAAACGAAGTGGCTTAAAACGACAGAAATGCATTCTGTCCCAGCTCTGGAGCCTGGAAGTGTGCAATCAAGATGTTGGCAGTGGCCGGGCATGGTGGCTCACGCCTGTAATCCCAGCACTTTGGGAGGCCGAGGCGTGCGGATCACTTGAGGCCAGGAGTTCGAGACCAGCCTGGCCAACAGGGTGAAACCCTGTCTCTACTAAAAATACAAAAATTAACCAGGTGTGGTGGCGGGCGCCTGTAGTCCCAGCTACTCAGGAGGCTGAGGCAGGAGAATCCCTTGAACCCGGGAGGCGGAGGTTGCAGTGAGCCTAGGTGGTGCCACTGTACTCCAGCCCGGGCGACAGAGCATGACTCCGTCTCACAAAAAAAAAAAAGAAAAGAAAGAAAAAAGATGTTGGCAGTGCCATGCTCCCTCTGAGGGCTCTAGGGAAGAATCCTTCTTGCCTCTTCCAGCTTTTGGTGTTGGCCAGCCAGCCTTGGTGTCCCTTGGCTTCTAGATGTGTCACTCCCAGATGGGAAGAAGCTTGCTGGGAGCCTGTGTTCCTTCTCCTTTTCTCAGCACACCAGCCATATTGAATTAGGGGCCCACCCTAGTCCAGGGTGACCTCATCTGAACTAATTATAATACATCTGCAGGGATCCTGTTTCCCAATATGGTCACATCTGAAGAACTGGGACTTAGGACTTTGACATACCTCTTTAGGAGCCACAATTCAAACCAGAACAGGTGTCATTCCTCCAAAAATGTTTCTGGGTCAAATAAATATGGGGAATACTGGTTTATAAAAGTTTTTTTGTTTGTTTGTTTGTTTGTTTGAGACAGGGTCTTGCTCTGTTGCCCAGGCTGGAATGCAGTGGCATGATTTCAGCTCACTGAAACCTCTGCCTCCCAAGATCAAATGATTCTTGTGTCTCAGGCTTCCCAGTATCTGGGACTACAGGCACACAAGAGCATGCCTGGGTAATTTTTGTATTTTTTTGTAGAGACGGGGTTTCACCATGTTGGCCAGGCTGGTCTTGAACTCCTGGCCTCAAGTGATCTGCCTACCTAGGCCTCCCACAGTGCTGGGATTACAGGCATGAGCCACCGCACCCAGTCTACTGTATTGTTATAAGAGGAAAATATGTCTATCAGCTCAAAGAGATGAATGGGCCCCTCTCAAAACACCTGGAAGAAATGACCACCTGGAATTTTCCAGAGCTTATACTCAATGGGCAACGAGATGACCTTTAAAATCTCAAACCAGGAGGTTACAAAGATTACTAGGTAGAAAAAGAAAAAAAATTTTGACTGTCTTCAATGCTTTTTACCAAAAGAAAAACACATGTCATATTTTTTGGTGGAAGGGCCTTTTTGTAGCCCATATGTTGATGTTGATGTGTGATCTTTTTCTTCCCATCACATGAGTTAGTGAAGCTGAGAATAAATATGTTAGGGTGTAAGTGGCACGATGCTGCACTGTCTTGTAATGAAACAACAATAGAAAACAACATCTTGACATTAGAGAAGGTAGCCAAGATCTGTAGTGCAGGGTAGACCAGCGTGATCCAGTCAGCATCCCAAACGAAAGCAAGCGGAGCAGAGCTTAAGAGCAATTGCTGGCCAGGCACGGTGGTTCATGCCTGTAATCCCAGCACTTTGGAAGGCCGAGGTGGGTGGATTACAAGGTCAGGAGTTCGAGACCAGCTTGGCCAACATAGTGAAACCCCATCTCTACTAAACATACAAAAATTAGACGGGCGTGGTGGCACGTGGTCCTGTAGTCCCAGCCACTCGGGAGGCTGAAGCAGGAGAATTGCTTGAACCCGGGAGGCAGAGGTTGCAGTGAGCCAAGATCACGCCACTGCGCTCCAGCTTGGGCGACAGAGCTAGACTTCGTCTCGAAAAAAAAAAAGAAAAAAAGAAGAGTTGCTTTCTAATCAGTGTAGAGGCCAAGGTCTACTACTGCCACCTAGGAGCTACTTAAGCCACAAAAACGCCTCCCCGATCCCACTCCTCGGAAGTGCCTTCACCTCTGAGCCTCATCTATGAAATGAGTGTAACACCTGCCAGAAAGAGGTTTGGAGAGGATTAAAAAGATGTGTGCATAGTGCCAGGCACATAGCAAAGGCTCAATAGATGGGAATGATTTGCTCAAAAGAAAGTGGGCATGACGGCCCTTGCAAGCCACTGCACAGATGTGGTGGCAACCCTAAGTTCATAGCAGGGCAGAAGCTCAGTGCAACAACGTATGGGCTCCCCAAACACACACACACTCCATGGTGTGCACCCTATGGTACTGTTTCCGGTGTTTGAACAAGAACAACTCCATTTTGAATATGGGCTGGGTAAAATGAGGCTGAGACTTGGTGGGCTGCATTCCCAGGAGGTTAGGCATTCTTTTTATTTGTATTTTTTTCTGAAGCAGAGTCTCGCTCTGTCACCCAGGCTGGAGTGCAGTGGCGTGATCTCGACTCACTGCAACCTCTGCCTCCCAGGCTCAAGTGATTCTCGTGCCTCAGCCTCCTGAGTAGCTGGGATTACAGGCACCTGCCACCATGCCTGGCTAAACTTTGGATTTGTAGTAGAGACGGGGGTTTCTCCATGTTGGCCAGGTTGGTCTCGAACTCCTGACCTCAAGTGATTCACCTGCCTCACTTAGTCACAGGATGAGCTAGGGTTGGCACAAGATACAGGTCACAAAGTCCCTGCTGATAAAATAGGATGCGGTAAAGGAGCTGGCCAAAACTCACCAAAACCAAGATGGCGACCTCTGGTAGGTCTCACTGCTCATTATACGCTAATTATAATGCATTAGCATGTTAAAAAAAAAACAACTCCCACCAGCGTCATGACAGTTCACAAATGCAATGGCAACGTCCAGAGAAGTTACCCTATAGTCCAAAAAGCGGAGGAACCGTTAGTTCTAGGAAATCCCTGCCCCTTTTCTGGAGAACTCTTGAATGATCCACCCCTTGTTTAGCATACAATCAAGAAATAACTATAAGTACACTTAGTCGAGAAGCCATACTGCTGCTCTGTCTACGAAGAAGCCATTCTTTTTTTTCTTTACTTCTCTATTAAACGTGCTTTCACTTTATAGACTCTCCCCAAATTCTTTCTTGCATGAGGTCCAAAAACCCTCTCTTGGGGTCTGGATTGGGAGCCCTTTCTGTAACAGTACTAAAGGTGTGTGTGTAGCTTAAGGTGTTTTTCAGAACAGTATTTCTTTGCTGACTCATGGCCACTCCATAAAATCTGTGTTAAAGGTGAGGTTTTTCCCAGAACCTAATTTTTTTCTGACTTCTTGGATTGGGATGATGACTTCGGCTTTTCTCGGAAGGCCTTGGTCACACCGCTGGCCGATGAAACAAGGAATTGTGCACACTGGGTCTCAGCTCTCTGCGTTTTGAATATTTCTGCATTAGTGACTGGCTTGGGTCCAGTCTCCACCAAGAAGCCACTTATGACCCTTGGACAAGTCTTTATTCCTTTTTAAGTAAGCTTCTGGATTCTGCCGGTCCTGTTTGGGGTCCCTGGGGCTCTTTGAGACAGGAACGTTACAGAGCAGTTGAAGGAGAATAGAAACTTCCAGGCTGCAGTTCTGTCTAACAAAAGGAAACTGTTGAAATAGCTGCACAAGCTATGGGCTAAGACCCTGAAAAACCAGGGTGTGGGTCAACCTGGCTAAAACCAACTGGACCCAACGTGGTGTGGCTTTGACCTAGGCTTCACCTAGGACTCATTAACATACTAAGTCACACACCCACCGGCACCACAACAATTCCGGGAACACCCATATTTGGTGTAAAAATGGGTGGCACCACAGTTCTGACAAGTCTCCACCTTATTCCAGAAACCTTTGTGTATATTCCATTTCTCAAAGAAACCCATAAAGATGGAAACCCCAAGCCCCATTGTGTGGCCCTCTTTTGAGTCCGCCCTTTCTTCAGTGTGTACTTTGCAGTAAACCTCTGTACTTTCACGACTTTCCGACTTGTTCTTGAATTCCTTCGTGAGGTGGTGAAACCACCTTTGAAAACTTATGACAGAGGCAGTAAAAGAGATACACATGTGGAAAGGAACCCAGTCTGGGGCTAGGCCCCGCCCCCCTCCTGCGGGCAGCCCAATCATACCCAGGCCCGCCGCGCTAGTCTCCGCCTCTCGGTGCTGCCTCTTCCGGGCCTCAGGTTCTTCCCCATGCCCACGCCCCTCTTTCGCGTCGCCGTATCCGAGGTCGCGCCAGGCCCTGGAGTCCCCAGTCTCCGCGTGCTGGCCAATCAGACCCTGCCTCGCCCCCTCGCCTGGGAGTCTCCGCCCTCCACGCTCTGCCCAGTCAGGCTCTGTCCCGCCCCCGCGGCACCGCCTCCGCGCCTCCATCCAGCCGGCTCCCTCCGGCCGCGAACTGCCCCTCCCCGCCCCGCCTCCCGGCGCGGGTGGCCGAGGCGTAGCGCTGCGACCCCCGCACCCCTGCGAACATGGCGCTGCGAGTGGTGCGGAGCGTGCGGGCCCTGCTCTGCACCCTGCGCGCGGTCCCGTCACCCGCCGCGCCCTGCCCGCCGAGGCCCTGGCAGCTGGGGGTGGGCGCCGTCCGTACGCTGCGCACTGGACCCGCTCTGCTCTCGGGTAAGCGCGGCGGGCACGTGGGCGGCTGCTCCCTCCCCGCCTGGGCTGCTTGTCCCGGGCCCAGCGGGACACGGAGGACGCCGGGGCACCGCTCCTGAGCCACCGGGGCGGAGCGAGCGCGGACCCTGCCCCCTTCTTATTTCTGTTGGGATCCCTGGCTCTGCGGCCGCTTCTCCCCCTTAAGTAGCGGGAGGACCCGCGAGTAGCCTTTGCCCTAGGGATTGCATGCAGCCGGGAGGGGAGGCCTGCGGGACACCGAGGCGGGGGTGGCCCGGCGGGTCCGGCGGGCAGGTCGGCCGCTTGCTGCAGAAGCCAGGCACGTGTCGCTTAAGCGTCTCGGTGGCCTTAAGTTTATCTCCCATCTGCGTGCATCGTTGAGACCCCAAATGGGGAGGCCTTTAGTTTACTAAATGGACCGTTACTGAGAACTCCGAAGTAAAATTAAAACAGAAGCGCTTATTAAAATTAAAGCACCAGGCAGGGCGCGTTGGCTCATGCCGGAGGGCGGATCACGAGGTCAGGAGATCGAGACTATCCTGGCTAACACGGTGAAATCCCATCTCTACTAAAAGTACAAAAAATTAGCCAGGCGTGGCGGCATGCGCATGTAATCCCAGCTACTCGGGAGGCTGAGGCAGGAGAATCGCTTGAACCTGGGAGGCAGAGGTTGCAGTGAGCCGAGATCGCGCCACTGCACTCCAGCCTGGGCGACAGAGCAAAACTCCACCTCAAAAAAAAAAAAAAAAAAAAAAATTAAAGCGCCAGATCTAGATTTTTTTACTAGATAAAACAATCATAACTTTGAAGATTCAGCTATTTCCCCAAAACAAGTAAGATAAAGTCTTCTGGACTCAACAGAAGTTCTGCTAAAGTTTGTATTGGATCATTCATGTGTGTGCTTGCTGAAATGAGCCCTAACTCAAACGGACTTGAAATAACTGGGAAACCTGCCCATGAATGTTTCGGCCATTTGTGCTACTTCAGCACAATTATTGCAGGGGAAAAACAATTTTCTTTTTTTTTTTTTTTCTTTTTATTGAGACGGAGCCTCGCTCTGTCGCCCAGGCTGGAGTGCAGCGGCGTGATCTCGGCTCACTGCAAGCGCCACCTCCCAGATTCAAGCGATTCTCTTGCCTCAGCCTCCCGAGTAGCTGGGTTCACTGGCGCCCGTCACCACCTCCAGCTGAGTTTTGTATTTTTAGTAGAGACAGGGTTTCGCCACGTTAGGCTGGTCTCAAACTCCTGACCTCAAGTGATCCACCCGCCTCAGCCTCCCAAAGTGCTGAGATTACAGTCGTGCGTCACCGCGCCAGGCCAACAATTTTCTTTACGCCCAAATGTTTGATACACTGACTGCTCCTCTGCTTCGATTGCGTAGATCAGTGATGGCTCTTGTCTCATTAGCTCATTGTTTTAGAAACCTGTTTGGAGCTGGAATGGTTGATAAATTTATTCCAAAATTTGTAGCATAAAGATTTACTTATGCTGTCTTGCTAATAGTCTGTCCGCTCTGTTTCTGATAGGGATCCCTACATCACTAATTTGAATACAAAGGTAAAGCATTTCTCAGATAAGAATTTAGTTTCAAGTCTGTGGTTTTCGTTCCTTTTTTTTTTCTTCTTTTTTGAGATGGAGTCTCGCTCTGTCGCCCAGGCTGGCATCCAGTGGCAGGATCTTGGCTCACTGCAACCTTCGCTTCCCGGGTTCAAACACTTCTCCTGCCTCAGCCTGTGGAGTAGCTGGACGACAAGAGCACACCTCCATCTCAAAAAAAAAAGAGAAGAAAAATTGACTAATACTAATATAAAATATTTTATCTGACTAGTGACATTGAAAAAGGAAAATGCAAAATTTTCATAAATTGCTCACAACTCCTAATTTTCCGAGGCCAAAAACCACCTTTTTCAAGGCCCAGTTAGAAAGTAATTATTGTCCAGGCACGGTGGCTCATGCCTTTAATCCCAGCACTTTGGGAGGCTGAGGCGGGCGGATCACCTGAGGTCAGGAGTTCAAGACCAGCCTGGCCAACATGGTGAAACCCTGTCTCTACCAAAAATACAAAAAATTAGTCGGGCGTGGTGGCACGTGCTTGTAATCCCAGCTCCTTGGGAGGATGAGGCCGAATCACTTGAACCCGGGAGGCAGAGGTTGCAGCGAGCCTAGATTGCACCACTACACTCCAGCTTGGGCGACAGAGTGAGACTCTGTCTCAAAAAAAGAAAGTAATTATTTACCTAATCTATCCACTTCTTCCTGTCGGGCCAAGGGTTAAAGGAGAATTGTACTAATCATTGCCTTTAGCCTAAACAGCATGCTTAGTAAAATAAAGACTTAGGTCTTTGAATCACTGCAACCTCTGCCTCCCAGGTTCAAGTGATTCTCCTGCCTCAGCCTCCAGGGTAGCTGGGATTATAGGTGCCCGCCACCATACCCGGCCAATTTTTTGTATTTTAGTAGAGACGGGGTTTCACCATGTTGGCCAGGGTGGTCTTGAACTCCTGATCTCAGGTGATCTGCCTGCCTCGGCCTCCCAAAGTGCTGGGATTACAGGCGAGAGCCACTGCTGTTGGCCAGGACTGAGGGGTAACATTACCTGTAATGTTGCCGTCTCCCTCTAAACTTGGGGCCAACAATTTTCTTTACACCCAAATGTTTGAGACACTAACTGCTCCTTGTTAAGGAGAATTGTACTAATTACAATTAGTAATTGCTCGGTTGCTAAAATGAGGGTCACAGCAGCCTTACTCCTAAAATTATCTTCACAGGTAGGCAAGATGGCAAGGTCAAAGAAGGTAGTCTCAGGTGGTGTTTATAGTTGTCCAGTGCTTACTTTGAAAAGGTGTTTTAGCTTCAAACTGCTCATAATTGGCATATAACCGGCGATTTGTAGCAGAGTGAGAGAATTAAGTGTTAAAGACAAATAACTATATACTATCTATTTTCCTCAGAATCCTCTTAATAAACTTTAAAAAATCACGTCATTCTGCAACTTTTTTTTTTTTTTTTTGGAGATGAAGTTTCGCTAGTCGCCCAGGCAATGGTGCAATCTCGGCTCACTGGAATCTCCGCCTCCCAGGTTCAAGTGATTCTCCTGCCTCAGCCTCCCAAGTAGCTAGGATTATAGGCGTGTACCACTACACCTGGCTAATTTTTGTATTTTTAGTAGGGACTTGGTTTCACCATGCTGGCCAGGCTGGTCTTGACCTCCTTACGTCAGGTGATCCGCCTGCCTTGGCCTCCCAAAGTGCTGGGATTGCAGGCATGAGCCACTGTGCCCGGCCTGCAACATGATAATTTAAGGGGAAAAATATATATATTTTTCTCCCAAAGTGTTGAGATTACAGGCATGAGCCACCACGCCCAGGGATTTTTTTTGTTTGTTTTTTTTGAGACTGAGTCTTGCTCTGTTGCTTAGGCTGGAGTGCAGTGGCGTGATCTCAGCTCACTGCAACCTCTGCCTCCTGGGTTCAAGCAATTCTCATGCCTCAGCTTCCCAAGTCGCTGGCATTACAGGAGTGTGCCACCACACCTGGCTAATTTTTGTATTTTTTTAGTAGAGATGTGGTTTCACTATGCTGGCCAGGCTGGTCTCAAACCCCGGACCTCAGGTGATCCACCCGCCTCGGCCTCCCAAAGTGCTGGGATTACACGCATGAGTCACTGTGCCTGGCCTGCGACATGATAATTTAAGGAAAAAAAAAATTATTTCATTCCTTCAGCTTTTGAGTGCTTGCTATGTGGCAAGCACTGTATTTAAAATTGGGAAAACAAATGAAAATAAGATAAACCTTGCTGTTTCTTGGTGGGTACACAGCCTACTTCCTGGGGAGACTGACAGATGATCTCTAGTATGTTCAGCACCGTGTGTGTGCTGGGGGATAGTGGTACAGGGTGCCGTAAGAGCATGTTGGCTGGCCTAAGAACCTAGACTTGGTTAGACAAGCCTTTGGGCAGGAACGGACTTCTGAATCTAGACCGGAAGTAGTTAGTAAAGATGGTAGGGAGAGTCTTTCAGTCAAAACACAGTGTACACATCTTAAACTTTCTTACCTGAACGTCAGAGTGACCTGAAACATTCAGTTCTTTGAAGTGGAATGAAGCAAAATAAATTTCTTAGTGACACATTTTTTGACTTCTTCCACTGAAGGGGTATGAACTTTAGAAAGTTTCATAATTAAGGGGAAAAGAAAGCAATATTGAATTATATACTTGGCTAGGCACGGTGGCTCACACACTATTATCCCAGCACTGTGAGAGGTTGAGGTGGGAGGATCATGAGCTCAGGAATTTGAGACCAGTCTGGACAACATAGACCCCCCCATCTCTACAAAAATAAAAAATAAAAATAATAATTATACACTCTACTTACGTTGTGCTGCGTATCAGAGCTGTAACCAAAGCAATTGAATGCTGTTTTAAGTACTACTATCCTTTGGGTAAGGGGTAAAATGAGCCAGTGAGGCCTCTTTAAAACAGTATTTGAGTTAACCATTTTTCTATGAACTTACGTTGCATTGTTTTTAGAAAAATACTTGGTGTCAGAATATGAACTGTATTTAATATAGCATATGCTTTTTAAAAAATATTATTCTCTAAGGCAAGTACTTTTAACTTTATATCCTAAATAACTCTTTTTACTCTTGAACATTGGCCGGTCCTTCTTTCAGGATTCCCTGAATCGTTTGACCGTATCTTTAGAGAAGTGCTCAGTAAGTCGAGGGCTGAACCTGTCCAGTGAGTGGTGAGCAGAGCTTGATTCTCCACCAACCCATGGCTTAGCTCTGAGAAGACTGTTGAGTTGTGATCTTAATTTTCTTCTTTAAGCGATGGTAGTGCTATCTTCAAGGTTAGGCTTGAATTTGATTAAAGTAGAATTTTAAGAACTTAGTCAAATTATAGTTGTTCCAGGAGGTCAGTTTCATTCCTGTAAAATTTTACTTTGTAACCCAAGCTGCACTGAAGCTCTCTTAGGTCAACTCTGCCTAAAGAGGCACCTGATTATTACTGTTATTTTTTTTTTTAGGTTAAATCATTTCTTATATGAGCCATCTTTATGCTGCCTCCCTAAACCTCATCACCCCAAATTTGTCTTCAGAGGCACAGATTTTTTTTTCTGCAAGACAGACCAGTAATAGTTAAGTATACATTTGAAATATGCTCCAAAATTTTCTTTTGTGATTTAGGCTAAGTAATGTTAAAGCAGATAATCCAATCTCCAAAAGATGCACAAGGTGTTCAGATGAAGCCATCTTTGCTTAAATGGTACTGCTGTTTAAATGCGTCATCTCTATACATGATCTTCATTCTTTCCTGAGCCATGCACTATTTAAAGGTAGTGTCAACAGGTCAAACAGAAATTCTGGGAAAGTCTTTTGAAAGCAATGGTAATGAAAAGTGCTTCTTAAGAAGTAATGCTACTGCTTTTCTGAAATGTTGGTCTTCTGTTTTAGTGCGTAAATTCACAGAGAAACACGAATGGGTAACAACAGAAAATGGCATTGGAACAGTGGGAATCAGCAATTTTGCACAGGTATTGGATTATATTGAAATATTTGTCCCAGTGTGCTCTTGCATGATTTGCTTTATCTCTACCTTTTTAAAAGTGTTTAGGCTGCGTGAGGTGGCTCATGCCTGTAATCCCAACACTTTGGGAGGCTGAGGCAGGAGGATTGCTTGAGGCCAGGAGTTCAAGACCAGCCTGGTCAACAAAGTGAGACCCCGTCTCTACCAAAAGTTAAAAAAAAAAATTAGCCTGGCATGGTTGCTCATGCCTGTGGTCCCAGCTACTCAGGAGGCTAAGGCAGGAGGGTCGCTGGAGCCCAGGAGGTTGAGGCTGCAGTGAACCATGATCATGTCACTGCAAAATACAAAAATTAGCTGGTCTTGGTGGTGCACACCTGTAATCCCAGCTCGTCAGGAGGCTGAGACAGAAGAATCACTTGAACCTGGGAGGCAGAAGTTGCAGTAAGCCGAGATTGCACCACTACACTCTAGCCTGGGTGACAGAGTGAGACTCCATCTCCAAAAAAAAAAAGAAAGAAAGAAAGTAAGAAAACCAACCAGAGTTGAATTAAGTAAAACATAATTTAGTTAGGGCATTATGTGGTGTTTTAAGAGATGTTGCAAGCTTAACACTGAAAGTAGGAAACATGTCCTATTCAAGAAGGAAATGTGTGTGTTTTGTACTGGGCAATTAAGGAAAGAGGAAAAAGAAGAGCAGGGTGTTGCCACCATTTTGTGGGTCCAGTGATACACACGTGACCAGGAGGACGGGAAGAAAGAAAACCTCAATAGGCACAGATGACACAAAGGGAAGGCTTTTATTCAGCCCATCTTTTCTCTGTAAATTCCCCTCAATTCCATATGGCGATACTGTTTAAGAGAAAATGAGAAGCCAAATCCTAGCGTGTTCAGTGATTTTCAACTGGATGTATGTATTGGGTGAGGCGGGGAAGGGGGGATGTTAACTGATGGGAATGCACTCGTGTCACTTAATGATGGAGCTATGTTCTGATAACTGCCTCCTCGGGGATTGCGTCCTTCTGTGAGCCTCCTAGGGTGCCCTTACACACACCTAGATGGTACAGCCTATTACACACCTTGGCTGTATGGTACAGCCTTTGCTCCTGGGCTACAAACCTGTACAGCATGTTACTGTACTGAATACTGTAGGCAATCGTAACACACTTGGCCTATCAAAACACAGAAAAGGTACAGTAAAAATATGGCATAGGTTGAGCATCTCTAATCCCTGAAATACTCCAAAAATCTGAAACTTTTTGAGCACCAACGTGACTCTTAAAGAAAATGCTCATTGGAGCGTTTTGGATTCCAGAATCTTGGATGAGGAGTGCTCATGTATTAAGTATAATGCGAGTATTCCAAAATCTGAAATCCAAAACACTTCTGCTCCCAAGCATTTTGGACAAGTGATACTAACTATATTATAATTTCATGGGACCACTGTCATATATGTGGTCTGTTGTTGACCAAAATGCCATTAGGCGGCACGTGACTGTACAAAATTCCTCAGACATGTAAGATGCTTGTGTGTTGATAATCACAATTATATCTTCCTTGGCATCTCTGTATACCTACTATGAGGCCCAGTGTTGGATAGTTTTTGAGATGTTGTGTAAGATGTCGTCCTTACCTCCTAGAGTTTATTTGTGAGGGGAATTACCTACATGAGAATGACTTGCAAACATTACATGATGGCATCGGAACGGTGGGGTTGTAATTCACTTACCTGATGGAGAGACCACTTCTTTCTGGAGTCAGGGACTTCAGGGAGTACAAGGTGTGAGGACTATGATTTGTAGAATCAGTGAGCAGGATTTCAGCAAATGCTTTGGGGGCAATGGTGTACATAAAACTACAGAGGTGGAAGAACACCAAATATGTTCATGCCCAGAAGAGCTAGCAGTGTTTGCCGGGCGCAGTGGCTCACACCTGTAATCCTAGCACTTTGGAAGGCCGAGGCAAGTTGATTATCTGAGGTCAAAAGTTCAAGACCAGCTGGCCAACATGGTGAAACTGCATCTCTAGCAAAAAATTTTAAAAAATTAACCAGGCATGGTGGTGGGCACCTGTAATCCCAGCTACTTGGGAGGCTGAGGCAGGAGAATCGCTTGAACCTGGGAGGCAGAGGTTGCAGTGAGCTGAGATCAGGCCACTGCACTCCAGCCTGGGCAACAAGAGAGAAACTCTGTCTCAAAACCAAATAAAACAAAGAGCTAGCAGTCTTGTGTGGGGCAGGAGGCTTGTGTTAGGTTGCTAAAGCCTGTGAGCCAGATCTGGCTGGCGGCTGGTCTCTTGCAGCTCCTGAGTTGAGAATAGTTTTTTAAAATCATTTTATTTTACTTAGTTTTGGAGAACAGGGTCTTGCTATATTGCCAAGGCAGGTCTCAAACTCCTGGGCTCAAGCTATCCTCCCACCTCTGCCTCCCTAAGAGCTGGGATTACAGGCATGAGCCACCGCACCCAGCCATTTATTTTTATTCTTGACATGGAGTCTTGCTCTGTCGCCAAGGCTGGAGTATACAGGTGCAATCTCAACTCACTGCAACCTCTGCCTCCCAGATTTAAGTGATTCTCCTGCCTCAGCCTCCTGAGTAGCTGGGATTGCAAGTGCCTGCCACCACACCCAGCTAATTTTTGTATTTTTATTAGAGACTGGGTTTCACCATGTCAACCAGGCTGGTCTCGAACTTCTGACCTCATGTGATAACACCCACTTTGGGCCTTTCAAAGTGCTGGGATTACAGGCGTGAACTACCACACCTGACTGAGAGTAGTTTTTACATGTTTAAAGGATTTTAAGGAAAACTCAAGAATGTAGCCCCTCCAGTATAAAATATATACTAAATCTTCATTATAGGGGATTCAGTGTTTGGCTTATTCTGTTTACTGGAGGGTTTAGTTATAACTTCTTAGAGATTTTTGGTTTTGTCTTGTTTTATTTAGGAAGCGTTGGGAGATGTTGTTTATTGTAGTCTCCCTGAAGTTGGGACAAAATTGAACAAACAAGGTGAGTGTTCTTAGGATCTTAGAATGATCCATGCCATGAATTTTGTTTACATTGAATAGTAATTTGTTTGTACCCTGGATTAATTAGAGTGCTTTTTTTTTTTTGGAGACAGTCTTGCTTTGTCACCCAGGCTGGAGTGCAGTGGCACCATCTCGGCCCACTGTAACCTCTGCCTCCTGGGTTAAAGCGATTCTTGTGTCTCAGGCACGTGCCACCACGCCCAGCTAATTTTTGTATTGTAGAGACAGAGTTTCCCCATGTTGGCAAGGCTGGTCTCGAACTCCTGACCTCGAGTGATCCGCCCGCCTTGGCCTCCCAAAATGCTGAGATTACAAGTGTGAGCCACCGTGCCCAGCCAATTAGAGTGCTTTTGACCCAAGTATTAGGTTGGTGTAAAAGTAATTGCTACTCAGAGGCTGAGACAGGAGAATTGCTGGAACTTGGGAGGCGGAGGTTGCAGTGAGCCGAGATCCCATCACTGTACTCCAGCCTGGGCAACAGAGCAAGACTCCGTTTTAAAAAAAAGAGAGAAAAAAAGTCTATTAATATCGATATGTTAGATAATATCCTTAAACTAATGAATACCCTTTTAAGACATTCTGCTAAAGGTAGTTTTTTAACTTGATGTAAAATCTACATACAGTGAAATGCATGGACCAGAAGTGTACAATTCAGTGAGTTTTAACAAATGTATACACTTAAATAAACCTTCCTAGTCAAATAGATGACCTCTTCTCTCGTTTCTACACCATAGGTTTATTTTGCCTATTCTTTATATGAAAGGAATCACACAGTGTGTGTTACGTTTGGCTGCTTTTGGGATTTACCAAGCTTCTTGAATCTGTAGATTGAATTTTTTTTCGATTAAATTTGGAGACTTCTTATTTTAGTCATGATTTCTTTCTCTTCCCACTTCATTCCTTTTTCCTTCTCTGATTTGAGACATGTTCGTCATATCACTTGATATTGTCCTATAGGGTCCCTAAGACTGTTAACTTTTCAGCCTTTTTTAAACTGTTCTTTTTTTTTTCTTCTTATTTTTTTGAGACGGAGTCTTGCTCTGTTGCCCAGGCTGGAATGCGATGGTGCGACATTGGCTCACTGCAACCTCCGCCTCCTAGGTTCAAGCAATTCTCCTTTTTCAGCCACCCAAGTAGCTGGGAGTACAGGCATGCACAACCACACCAGGCTAATTTTTTAAATTAATTAATTTATTTATTTCGAGGTTTTGGTAGAGGCGGGGTTTCACCATGTTGGCCAGGCTGGTCTTGAACTCGTGACCTCAAGTGATCTACCCGCCTTGGCTTCCCAAAGTGTTGGGATTACAAGCATGAGCCGCCGTTCCTGGCCAGTAGTTCAGAGTTCATAATTGTGTTTTTTTTGTTTTTTTTTTTTTTTTTTTTTTTTTTTTTTTTTTTTTTTTTTTTTTTTTTTTTTTGAGACGGAGTCTCGCTCTGTCGCCCAGGCCGGACTGCGGACTGCAGTGGCGCAATCTCGGCTCACTGCAAGCTCCGCTTCCCGGGTTCACGCCATTCTCCTGCCTCAGCCTCCCGAGTAGCTGGGACTACAGGCGCCCGCCACCGCGCCCGGCTAATTTTTTGTATTTTTAGTAGAGACGGGGTTTCACCTTGTTAGCCAGGATGGTCTCGATCTCCTGACCTCATGATCCACCCGCCTCGGCCTCCCAAAGTGCTGGGATTACAGGCGTGAGCCACCGCGCCCGGCCGTTTTTTTTGTTTTTGAGACGGAGTCTCACACTGTCACCAAGGCTGGACTGCAATGGCATGGTCTCGGCTCACTGCAACCTCCACCTCCCGGGTTCAAGTGATTCTCCTGCCTCAGTCTCCCAAGTAGCTGGGATTATAGGCGCCCACCACCACGCCCGGCTAATTTTTTTGTATTTTAGTAGAGACCATGTTGGCTAGGCTGGTTTCAAACTACTGACCTCAGGTGATCTTCCTGCCTTGGTCTTCCAAAGTGCTGGAATTACAGGCATGAGCCACCACGCCTGGCCCAGAGCTTATAATTGTTATCTGATACAGGGTACTTCACTGTCACTGGAACATTCTAAAGTTTTCATTTTGTTTTTTTCTGAGCCACAGCTAAGTTGCAAGAACATGGAGTTTTACTGAACCTACACACATCTGGCATTCAGGCACATCACCATTTGTTATTTACTGTGTCCAGGACACACAGATAGGTCCACTTTATTGAGACAATATATACCCTTCTCGTGGTTATTATAGCCTGACAAAACTTATGGTTTTATTTTTAATTAAAGAAATGTAGGCCAGGCACGGTGGCTCACGGTTATAATCCCAGCACTTTGGGAGGCTGAGGCGGGTTGATCACGAGGTCAGGAGTTCAAGACCAGCTTGGCCAACACAGTGAAACGCTGTCTCTACTAAAAATACAAAAATTAGCTGGGCGTGGTGGTGCGCGCCTGTAATCCTAGCTACTTGGGAGGCTGAGGCAGGAGAATGGCTTGAACCCGGGAGGCAGAGGTGGCAGTGAGCCTAGAACACACCATTGTACTGTAGCCTGGTGACAGAGCGAGACTCCGTCTCAAAAAAAAAAAAAAAAAAGAGCCAGGTGCAGTGGCTTATGCCTATAATCCCAGCACTTTGGGAGGCCGAGGCGGGCGGATCACGGCATCAGGAGATTGAGACCATCCTAGCTAACACAGTGAAACCCCGTCTCTACTACAAATACAAAAAATTAGACGGGCGTGGTGGCAGGTGGGCGCCTGTAGTCCCAGCTACTCGGGAGGCTGAGGCAGGAGAATGGCATGAACCCTTGGGAGGTGGAGCTTGCAGTGACGTGAGATTGCGCCACTGCACTCCAGCCTGGGCAACAGAGCGAGACTCCATCTCAAAAAAAAAAAAAAAAGAAATTTGGAATTTTAAAATCATAGCTGTATGACAGGAATCTACTTTTTCGTATTTTATGTTTTCAAGTAACTGACTTTTAACATTTCATGTTTTCTTTAATTTTTTTTCCACTTAGATGAGTTTGGTGCTTTGGAAAGTGTGAAAGCTGCTAGTGAACTCTATTCTCCTTTATCAGGAGAAGTAACTGAAATTAATGAAGCTCTTGCAGAAAATCCAGGACTTGTAAACAAATCTTGTTATGAAGATGGTAAGCTGTTGCTAGAAATTTCTCAAGGAATTACTACTACAGTAAATATTTTATCTAGAATTTAAAGCAAGTTTAGCTGATTGTGACTTCATCTTTTTCTACTTCTTGGTACTAAATAGAGATGTTCTGCTTTAAAAGAAAAACAGAGGTTAGTTGAATACTTAAAGTTATGTTTAAGATTTCTGGCTAGGCGCAGTGGCTCGCGCCTGTGATCCCAGCACTTTGGGAGGCCAAGGTGGGTGGATTGCTTTAGTCCAGGAGTTGGAGACCAGCCTGGGCAACATGGTGAAACTCTGTCTCTATAGAAATACAAAAATTAGCTGGCTGTGGTGGAATGTGCCTGTAGTCTCAGTTACTAGGGAGGCTGAGGTGGGAGAATTGCTTGAACCTGGGAGGTCAAGGCTGCAGTCTATAGTGAGCCAAGATCGCACCACTCCACTCCAGCCTGAGTGACAGAGCGAGACCTTCTCAAAAAAAGAAAAAAAAATCTCTGATGATAAAAGCATTACCTTATTTTGCAGTTTCTTGATATCAGTTGTAGATTCTTTGGTTTTGGTGTAAACATCTGCAAAGTATTTACTTTTTCAGACATAAAGCAGCCACTCATATTGTGTGACATGGGAGGTAAAAAAATATATATTTTGCATTAATTTTTGGTTTTCTCACATTTTCACCCTTATAATCTAATCAGGTAAGCTAACAGCAATTTTCTCTATTTTGTAGATGAATAGAGGCTCCAAAGGATTTATCTGTCAGGGTCTCATGGCTGATAAATGGCAAAGCTAGGATTAGGTTGTAGTTCTCTTTTGTCTGTCACCTAGCCCTTCTAATTACTACTGCTTTCTAATCCCGTTAACCTCAGTAGTTAGTGTTCCATTTGTTAAAGACATACCTGGTCTTGTGTATTTGGATCATATATTTAAGGACTTATTTTTATTATTTTTTTGAGACAGAGTCTCCCTCTGTCGCCCAGGCTGGAGTGCAGTGGCGTGATCTCGGTGCACTGCAACCTCCCCTTCTCGGGTTCAAGCACTTCTTCTGCCTCAGCTTCCCAGTAGCTGGGATCAAGGGCAACTGCCACCACGCCCAGCTAATTTTTGTGGTTTTGGTAGAGATGGGGTTCCACTATGTTGGCCAGGCTGGTCTAGAGCTCCTAGCCTCAAGTGATTTGCTTGCCTTCGCTTCCCAAAGTACTGGGATTACAGGCATGAGCCACCGTGCCCGGCCCTTAAAGATTTAAATGTCATTTTCTGATGCTTATTACAACCTAAGAGTTCTTAATTTATTATGGTGGAATCTATTCTAGCCATAATTATTTTCATTTGTTATATACAAGTATTTTAATTCTTAAGGCTAAAATTTAAAGTTCTATGAACAAATAATGTATGGTTTTTGTAAAGAATACAAGATTGAGGCGCTCAGAAATTTATTTTACGTTTTGGATGAATTTGACTTTTTAAAAAGTTAATGTGGAATATAAGGTTGTCTTTTGGTTGCAGGTTGGCTGATCAAGATGACACTGAGTAACCCTTCAGAACTAGATGAACTTATGAGTGAAGAAGCATATGAGAAATACATAAAATCTATTGAGGAGTGAAAATGGAACTCCTAAATAAACTAGTATGAAATAACGCAAGCCAGCAGAGTTGTCTTAAATTAGTGGTGGATAGAAGACTTAGAATAGAAACTTTTAGTATTACCGATGGGGAAAAAAAAACTACTGTTAACACTGCTAATGAAAGAAAATGCCCTTTAACTTTCTAATGATTATAGATAAATATAATATGCGTCTTTTTCACAATATCCTATGATTTTTAGACTAGGCTCTAGTGTTCAGAATTCATGAAATTATCCATGGTAAAAACTAGTTATAAAAATTACATAATTCAAAGATAACATTGTTATTCTTAAGCCTTATATAATATTGTAACTTGCATGTATCCATACCTGGATTTGGGATGAAATACTTAATGATCTTTCCATTGGAAATAACTGGAAGTGAAGAGGTTTTGTTGCTTGTACAGTGTCAGATGAGGAACACCACTATCTTAATTTTGCGATACACTGCATTTGCTGGTGCTATTTTTATACAGTGAAGCAACAGCTTTGCAGCAAAATAATAAAATACTTCTTCGTTAATCATGTTTGTTTTGATGTTAATATTTCATTTAGTAACTCTGCTAGTATTTGTGAAAGTGCTAACTTTAACTTACGGAAAGTTACTTTTTAAAAGGAAATTTAAGCCAGAACAATGCAAAGCTCCAAGAAAATGTTTTCTTTAGTCACAAATCTGGTTTTTCTTAAGCCAAGATCTGTCACCTTTAACATAATAAAAAATAAATCACCAACTTTGATTTTCTATCATGCGAGGTCTGAAGAAAGAAGAGGAAAGACAGAGGAAGGTGGAAGTTTTGATCAGTATAGCACATGGTGTTTTTAAGTTGTTAAACCACGTTCAGGTTTCCACTTAAGTCATGGGAATAAAAGTGGACAAGGACTGAAGCTTTATGAGCTCAGATAATGGACTCTGATAGTATTCTTTGCAGCTTAAGCATATTTAGAGTGCCAAAAGTTATTTCCAAGTAGCTAATACACAGCATACGCTAACCAACTGTAATATGCTGATAATATTGGGGTGGGGGGTCTATATGCACATGCAAATATATATATACATACACACAGAGCAAGAGGAGATAAACTCCTGTATCATTTTCTCAGTTACTAGAGGAAAAGAGAAGTATTCATATAGTACCACCTTCTGGTGGTGAATAAACAGCAAAAATAAGGACTTAGCAAAAGTAGGTAGGTAAATAACATACAAATCTTTCCTGCTCCTCAGCTGAAGAAACTTCATTCCAAGCCTCTGCCAGTAGCCATATCACTGCTGAACTATATCTTTGTACCCTTAAATCTTAAGTATTGGCCAGGTGTGGTGGCTCACGCCTGTAATCCTACCACTTTGGGAGGCTAAGGTGGGTGGATCTCTTGAGCCCAGGAGTTTGAGACCAGCCTGGGCAACATGGTGAAACCCCGTCTCTACAAAAATATAAAAATTAGCCTGGCATGGTGGCATGTGCCTCTGGTCCCAGCTATTTGGGAGTCAGGTAGAATCACTTTGTGTCTGGGAGGTCAAGGCTGCAGTGAGCCAAGATCACACCACTGTACTCCAGCCTGAGTGACAGTGAGAACGCATCTCAAAAAAAAAAAAGTATCCAAGGTATCCTGGATGATTGTCTATATTGCGTAATTGTCAATCATGTTAATTGATCTGTCTGCTTTGAAAATAGATGGGGATGAGTAATAATTACATAGATTTACCCTTTAGTTTTGAAAGTTCTCTAGACACATCGATTACTACCATCATTTCACAGGTATGAAAGGTGATAGGATAAGAAATTTGTTAAATAGTTGGGTGGTCGTGGTAATGATTTTCATATTTCCTGGTCTACTCTTAATCAGTCCCTTAGCAAATTTTACTATAAAAATATTTAAATGGGACAGGCGCGGTGGCTCACGCTTGTAATCCCAGCACTTTGGGAGGCCGAGGCAGGCGGATCACGAGGTCAGGAGATCGAGACCATCCTGGCTAACACGGTGAAACCCCGTCTCTACTCAAAATACAAAAAAATTAGCCGGGCATGGTGGCGGGCGCCTGTAGTCCCAGGTACTTGGGAGGCTGAGGCAGAAGAATGGCATGAACCCCACATGCGGAGCCTGCAGTGAGCCAAGATGATGCCATGCACTCCAGCCTGGGCAACAGAGCGAGACTCCGTCTCAAAAAAAAAAAAAAAAATTTTTAATGGGAATCTCAGGGAAGAGGGGGAGGTTGAATGTTCTAAATAAAGGTGGGAAGCAAAAGTGGCCATTCTAGAGTATGAAAGTCCGTGAGTGGTTATAGTCTCTGAAGAAGGTGGGCAGTTTTTTATTTTTCCCTTTTCCTGCCAAAGACACACATAACTTGCTCTGTAACAACCCCTCTTTTTTCAAAGAGCAGAACATTTGGCAACTTGCTCTTCCACTATTTAGAACACAGAGCCAAATCCACTGTCATTGATGTCACAGTGCTGCCAAAAATACAGGCTTTGAATGGCCCTCCAAATTGACTGAATCCAGGGAATTTAATTTTCATGACCTCATATTCCTTTTGAATGGTTTTGGCATTAGTAGAGCAGATTAATAGAAGTTTTGAAGAAAGCTTTCTAGTAACTAAAACTTGAGAAACTGAATAGGTTACCCTGCAAGTGTTAAATTTTTTTTCTGCTATCACCTCCCAGGTAGTTTTGTCGTTAGCTTTAGGTTTTGTTTTGTTTTTTGTTTTGTTTGAGACGGAGTCTCGCTCTTTTGCCCAGGCCCTCCACCTCCCGGATTCAGGCAATTCTCCTGCCTCAGCCTCCAGGGTAGCTGGGAATACAGGCACCCGGACCACGACCATGCCCAGCTAATTTTTGTATTTTTAGTAAAGATGGGGTTTCGACATGTTGGCCAGGCTGGTCTCAAACTCCTGACCTCAGATGATCCACCCGCCTCGGCCTCCCAAAGTGCTGGGATTACAGGTGTGAGCCACCGCGCCTGGCCAGTTTTAGGTTTTAATAAACCACTAGGGAGCTCTGCATGGGCATACTACTATGAAAATGAGGCTGGCCATTCAGATCAGTTCCTCAGCAAATCAGAATTTCTGAATTTTTTCAATTTCTTTTCTTTTTCTTTTTTTTTTTTTTTTTTTTTTTTTGAGATGGAGTCTGGCTCTGTCGCCCAGGCTGGAGTGCAGTGGCGCGATCTCGGCTCACTGCAAGCTCCGCCTCCCGGGTTCACGCCATTCTCCTGCCTCAGCCTCCCGAGTAGCTGGGACTACAGGCGCCTGCCACCTCGCCCGGCTAATTTTTTGCATTTTTAGTAGAGACGGCCTTTCACTGAGTTAGCCAGGATGGTCTCGATCTCCTGACCTCGTGATCCATCCGCCTCGGCCTCCCAAAGTGCTGGGATTACAGGCGTGAGCCACCGCGCCCAGCTGCTGAATTTTTCCAATTTCTATAGTTTTTCTGGGGCTACTAAAAAGAGCACAGTTTAAAAAATTATGCTAACTACAAGCGTGTCTTTTTTACTGTGTTCTTTCAGACCAAATCACACCTTCCTTCCCATACTTAAAGAGGTGCCTTTCTTTACACCAGGATTAAATTCCTCTTTCTTCCCTGCAACAGGCCTTTCCTGCCGCCCAGGCTGGAGTGCAATGGTGCGATCTTGGCTCACTGCAACCTCCACCTCACGGGTTCAGGTGATTCTCCCACCTCAGCCTCCTGAGTAGCTGGGATTACAGGCGTCCATCACCACACCCGGCTAATTTTTGTATTAGGGTTTTGAAATGGGGTTTCGCCATGTTGGCTGGGCTGGTCTTGAACTTCTGACCTCAAGTGATTGACCCGCCTCAGCCTCCCAAAGTGCTGGGATTACAGGTGTGAGCCACCGCACCCACCCATCTCCCTTTAATTTTAAAAAATAGATATGGGGTCTTGTGACACTTCCCAAGCTGGTCTCAAGTGATTCTCCTGCCTTAGCCTCTCCTGTGAGTAACTGGTATTACAGACGCAAGCCACCACTCCTGGCTTTTTTTCTTTAAAATACATTTTATGTGTTAGAGGAAGTTTACAGTCACAGCAAAATTGAGGAGAAGGTACAGTTCTGTACGCTTCCATTCTCCGTTTTTGCAAAGTGGGATCTTACTATAAGTAGAGTTTCTGGTATCTTGACTCAATTCCTATGTTGACTTTTTATAAACATAACTAGCCAAACCCTTGTCCCTTCATGTTTCCACTCAATCATGCTATCGGGCTTTTACCTGCTAAATGCAGGAATAGTTAGTGTGAAGGAAGTCAGGTTCTAGATCCTCCAACTTCCCCATGTACTTGCCGTTAGGTTATTTAATTAATATTCATTTAGCAAATCTTAGTTAAGACTTTTGGTATACTTCCCAGAAACTTTTTTCTAATATGCAAGGTCTTGCACTGTTTCCCAGGCTGGAGTGCAGTGACACAATCATAGCTTACTGCAACCTTCAACTCCTGGGCTCAAGGGAGCCTCCTGCCTCAGCTGGGATTCCAGGTGTGAGCCACGGTGCCCAGCTGTTTTCAATAGATCTGAAGGAAGACCAAAACAAATTGTCAACTGATAAAACATTTAAATGTTTTTGGTTAATACTTACTAGCTTGAGATACAATAAAACCCCTTTTATTTGCATCTTCCTATTTATGTGAACAAGGTACCTAAGCTTACACGTATGAAAAAAGTTGGAATAGAATTATAGCTGAATCCGTCTCATTGGAGCAATCACAGTGCTAGAGAACTTAGATACCAAAATTTTTTTTGAGACTTGAGTTTTGCTCTCCAGGCTGGAGTGCAGTGGTGCCATCACAGCTCACTGCAACCTCCGCCACCCGGGTTCGAGCCAGTCTCCTGCCTCAGTTTCCCAAATAGCTGAGATTACAGGCGCCCGCCACCACACCCGGCGAATTTTTGTATTTTTAGTAGAGACACGGTTTCGCCATGTTGACCAGGCTAGTTTCGAACTCCTGATCTCAGGTGATACACCCACCTCGGCCTCCCAAGTGCTGGGATTACAGGCGTGAGCCACCGCGCCTGGCCTAGATACCGGTTTTCTACAGCAGAAATAGTCACACTTTCTAAAGCAGAAGGGCTTTGGAGTCAGACCCGAGCTGGAGTGGGGGATGCTTTGCGATCTCTCTTCAGCAAGCTGTTGTTTTAGGGACGTGGGGCCACCTTCCTTTATTTGTATAAAAGATGCCACTGCCCACTTAAGAGCTGTGCTGCTCCGGGCCAGCAGTTCAGCGAGTGCCCGTCGGCCTGGTGCTGTCGGTCACGTAAGTGGGCTCTTTGAGGCTCACAACGCGTCCTCCCTGGACGTTCTGGGCCTGTTAAGTTTGTGTCCGTGGGAAACGCTCACGGCGGTTCCCCAGAGGGCCGAGGGAGAAAAGTGAGGACGTTTCTGGCCGCCTGGCATCTGCTAAATATCCTAGCAGGCACAAGGGCTCCCCAACGGGACTCGCCGACCCGAGAGCCCGGGTGGGCCTCAAGCCCCGCCATCTGAGACCCTCCGTCGCTGGCCCTTCCGGCGGCAGCGCCCGGAGCGGATAGGAGATGCCACGAACCGCCTCGCCAGTGCTAGGCTTTGTTGGGCTACGTCACTTCCGCCGCGGTCCCGCCCCCAGCGTGGTCGTAACCCAAGGCAACGGCCCATCCGGCAGCGACCTGAGTAGCTCTTGCCAGTAGGCCGGGACTAGCTGTCTCGGGGCCTTCCATCCGCTTGGCCCCACAGGTAGGTGTGAGCGGCCATTTCTCCACCCCTGGGGCAAGGCCCGGGACCACTCCAAAGGCGACAGAGCGAGAGTCCCTGCCTCGTTCGAAAGGAAGCGAGAGGGAGCGAAAGGCAGAGGCACTATGTGCCGGGGCTTCCCCAGAGCGGGCGGGGTCTGGGGAGGGGCGGGGCCTGAGGAGGATCCGTTGGGAGCGGAACCCTTTAAGGGTGGGTAGACGGAGGACGGGGAGGAATTCGAACGGGCAATCCAGAACGCTTTTCTGAATGGGATAGTTTGAAAGAAGGGCAGGCGTCTTTGTGGCACGGTAGGAACTGGCGGAGGAAGGGGAAGAGCTAGATGAGGAAAAAAGGCTTATGGCATAAAGGGAGGAGCCTGATAGAGAAAGGGGTGTGGCCTGCAGGAAGGGGCGGGGCTAGATGAAGAGGTGGAGCCGAGCGTGATGCGCCTGGGCTTTAGGGGTGGCAGGTGGAGCGCGTGTGTTTGATGACTTGCGCTTTGCTGTGGACTGTAAGCTGTGTGAGAGTAGAGAAGACGGATGCTGCTTTAGCTTTTTATTCTCAGTGCTAGGTACTTAGTGAATTCATTAATGTGAGTTGAAAAAGGGGAAGAGTTTGAGACTGAGATTGGAATAGATGTGGTCTGATCGGGAGGGATGGTGTAGAAACTGCGCTCCTTGGCATCATTCTGTGAAATACTTGAGGTTCCTGTGACCTGTAGGCATATAATAAGCAGAAGGCACATATAATTAACAAGGAGGATAAAATTTATACTCTTGGAAATATGAACAAATTGTGCAAGTTGGGTGGCGCGGGTGCTTAACTTTCAGACAAAGGTTCAGCTCCTTCCAGTGTGTTTCTAAATGCGACTCCCAACTCATTTTCCTGTAGAAACTGTGTCACAAATGATCAGGATGCCCAGGTCAGTCTTCAGGACCTATTTAACTGGTTCATGTAAGTGAAGATTGGTCCTGTATTAAGAAACTTAACTTCTGCCATGGCTAACAATATTTCTAATGATTATTCCTTCATTCAGCATAGGTTGTTAAGGAGCCGACCCACAGGAACGTTCATTCAAATTCCAAATGAGGCTGCCAGAAACTCATCTTTCCCTGGTTGGAATTTAAGATTCCTTTAAACCTATAGCTTGTAGGAAGATGAGGGTGTGTGGCACAGTGGAGAGCCAATGAGAAGTTGAGGCAAGGTGATAAGGAGTTTTGAGAGATTACCATCTATCTGCTTTTGACATAAACAGCTTGCGTTTGACTTAATACCCTGGGCCTTGGTTTCTCCTGGTCCTTCAACATTCCCCTGCCCTTAATGGATTAGGAATCTGTCAACCAGGTATAGGAAGCTACGGTAAGATATTTGTAATCTGACTATATAGACAGACTGGCAAACATGTGGCACACTCTATTTTCTGGCAGACATAATTAATCAACCCCAGAAATTTTTCCTGCTATAGTCAGGTCATAAGATCCTTCTCAATACAACACTCTAGGTAGCCACTAGTTTGGAGTTGACAATTCAGAATTTTCTTTGTTTTGTTTTGAGACAGTCTCACCCTGTTACCCAGGTTGGAGTGTAGTGGTGCAATCTCGGCTTACTGCAACCTCTGCCTCTCGGGTTCAAGCGATTCTCCTGCCTCTGCCTTCCAAGTGGCTGGGACTACAGGCGTGAGCCACCATGCCTGGCTAATTTTTGTATTTTCGGTAAAGATGGGGTTTCATCATATTGGCCAGCCTGGTCTTGAACTCCTGACATCAAGTGATCCACCGGCCTCGGCCTCCCAAAGTGCTGGGATTATTGGTGTGAGCTACCGTGCTTGGCCAGAATGTATTCTTTATCCCTGATCTAGGCAATAGGTGTTAAAAAAAAAAGAGAGAGAGAGAGAGACATCAACTTCTATAACTCTTGGTAGGTTCCTCTAAAAAAAAAGACTATCTAAATGGATGGATCTGGATTCCTGTAGAAAAGATTTAGAAACATAGGCCAGGTCATTGTATAGGGAGTAAGATGAAGGTGAATTTGCAGCTAGTTGAATAATTAGCAAATGTCCAAGTGAAAGGGATACCCAGAGGGCATTATCCTTTACCCATCCTTCTCAACGTCTTTATCCGTGATGTAGATGGAGATACAGAAGGCATCCTCATCAAATTAATGGAGTCATCAAGCAAGAAGGAATGGTCAAACTGTGGGAAGTCAGAGTTAGGTTGCGAACTGTCTACGCAGGTTTAATAATGGTCCAAAAACAAAAGGGGAAATTTTACAAGGATCTGATGCATTTGGAGTCTACATCTAAGTAAAACAAAAAGAATAAAGAAAAAGAAAAGAAAATCAACAGCATGGTTACAGAGTAAAGAAGACAGGAATTTTTAGCCATTCATGTGAAAAAAAAAAAAATCTGGAAGTTGTAGTTCACCTCAAGCTCAGTGTTAATCAAGATTGAGTTATAGGGTTGGGTGTGGTGGCTCATGCCTGTAATCCCAACACTTTGGGAGGCTGAGGCGGGCGGATCACGAGGTCAAGAGATCGAGACCATCCTAGCCAACATGGTGAAACCCTGTCTCTACTAAAAATACAAAAATTAGCTGGGCGTGATGGCGCGCATCTGTAGTCCCAGCTACTCAGGAGGCTGAGGCAGGAGAATCTCATGAACCCAAGAGGCAGAGGTTGCAGGGAGCTGAGATCATACCACTGTACTCCAGCCTGGCAACAGAGCGAGACTCTGTCTAAAAAAAAAAGAAAGAAAAAAGATTGAGTTACACTTTTAAAAAAATATAGTAACTTTGTTTAATTAATAGATGTAGATTTCAGATCAAAAGGAGTCAGATTTCAAAGCAGACACTTCTAGTCAGACCACTTTTGAGGTATTGCTTTCAGTTCCAGGCACCACATTTTAAGAGACAGGTAATTTTGCATTCTTAAGATGATGAGGAACTTGAGATTTGTATCTGACAAAATGATAGCTGTCTTCAGATGTTTTCAGATTTGCATTTGAGAAGAATACCAAGAACTGAGGAACAAAATTTGCAGGCTTGCGGATGACTTAATTTGAGATCATTCGAATCTTTAGAGCTTCCAATGGAAAGAAAAAACATTCCTGTAAAGTTACGAGCACTCAGTCGTTGAAAGTACTTAAGCAGAAGTATTTAAGCTGAATTATTATTGTATTAGTTTTCTGTTGATGCTTTGTTCTCTGTTTAAGATCTCCTAAGTCATCCAGTCTAGACTCTTATTGGAAGAACCCACTTCCAAGATCATTCAGACTGTTGGCTGAATTCAGTTTCTTGAAGTTGTAGAACTGAGATCCCTGTTTAATTCCTCACTGTAAACCAGGGTCTTTTCTCAGCTCCTAAATGCCATCCACATTCCTTGGGATGTGACCCCCACTTCATCAAAGCCAGCAACAATGCATTGAATTCCTCTTGTGCTTTGTATCTCTGACTTCTGCTGCTGCTAGCTAAGACAAGTTTGTTTTAGAAGACTACGTCATTTGATTAGGGCCACCCAGATTATCTAAAATAATATCCTATCTTCAGGTCAACTGGTTAATAACCATAATTACATCTGCAAAGTCCCTTTTACCATGTAATATAACATATTTGTGGATGTTATATTTCATCCTATTCATCCAGGGATTAGGGTGGGAAATCTTGAGGGGAGAGAATTTGTAGAATTCTGCCTACCACGTTATCTTTCAGGAACATTCTAGAAGAGCTTATTGCAGCAGGTATTTTTACCCATTTTTCTCTCCATGACCATAAATTAACCTTATATGCTATTAATTCTGCCTCTAATCAGAGTTGTATCTTAGAATTAAGCATATTTTTAGTCTTCCAAAGACATGGAGCTTGTGTTCCTGAGACTTTCAATCTCTAATAGGCACTTTTTAGCCTGAATTTATGGTACATACCAATCTGGCTTTACACAGGGTAATAACTACAGACATCTGTTCCCTTCTATAGTGGTAAAATACTTTATGTTTTATATTTTCCTATTGTGAAACAGCAACTGTATTTTCCTGTTTTACCTGAAACTAATCCTTTTCTGCTAGCATCATGTGACTTCCTATAAGGTAGCTATAATTTAGAGGACTAAATAGCTAGTTCCCTTTAGTATGTAACTCTTCATCCAGTTATTTTTTAAAGTATGTTATAATTGGCCGGGCACTTTGGGAGGCTGAGGCGGACGGATCACTTGACATCAGGAGTTGGAGACCAGCCTGGCCAACATGCCAAAACCCTGTTTCTACAAAAAAATACAAAAATTAGCCAGGCATGGTGGCGCACGCCTGTAATCCCAGCTACTCAGGAGACTGAGGCTTGAGAATTGCTTGAACCTGGGAGTCAGAGGTTGCAGTGAGCCGAGATCATGCAATTGCACTCCAGCCTGGGCAAGAGAGTGAGACTCTGTCTCAAAAACATAAAAATAAAAATAAAAAAATAAAAACTAGGGTGGGCACGGTGGCTCACGCCTATAATCCCAGCACTTTGGGAGGCTGAGACTGGCGGATCACCTGAGGTCGGGAATTTGAAACCAGCCTGACCAACATGAAGAAACTCCATCTCTACTAAAAATACAAAATTAGCCTGGCATGATGGCGCATGCCTATAATCCCAGCTACTTGGGAGGCTGAGGCAGGAGAATCACTTGAACCCAGAGGCAGAAGTTGCAGTGAGCTAAGATCGCACCATTGCACTCCAGCCTGGGCAACAAGAGTGAAACTCCATCTCAAAAAAATTAATAATAAAAAGTATGTTATAGCTAGTTTCTTTTTTCTTTTTTATTCTTTTTTTTTTTTTTTTTTGCATCAGGTATAATCATTACACGAACAACCCCTCAGAGTCAGAGTCCCACCTGGCCTTGTAATCTCAGCTCTGACACAATCTCAGTAACTGTACTTACCTGTATAGGACAGACTGGTGTAGCAACAAGCAGTTCCTCAGATCTCATGGCTGGAGTCATTAAGTTTTTTCTCATCCATGCATAGTCTGATGAGGGTTTATGGGGACATTTCTCAAAGCTGTGAGTCAAAATCTAGGCTTCTTCCATTCTGTGGTGCCGCTAACTCAACATCTGACCCCCAGGGTCATTGTGGGAGGAGAAGAGAGAACTGAAGGAGGACGTTACCTATTCACTGCCTCACCCAGGAAGTGACACACATTAGTTCCACTCACAGTCTGTTGACCAGGCTAGTCACAAGTCTCTAACCCAACTGCAACAGAGGCTGCAAAGTAGGCAAAGACAGTGGCTCTTTGGGCAGCAGTAGCTGTCTCTCACAGTGATCCCGGAACGTTCCTCACCTTCCTGCATTTTTTTTCTCATTTATAAGATGGTACCACTAATGAGTTATTCTCTTAGAGACTCGGTATATGTACCAGTTATGTTATGCATTGACTTTTTAATTTTTTTTTATTTTTGGGGTTATTTACTTATTTATTGATTTAGAGACAAGATCTCCCTCCGGGGCCCATGGGATCCCCCACTTCAGCCTCCCTAGTAGCTCTGACCACAGGCACACACCACCACGCCTGGCCATTAAAAAAAATTTTCTAGTGATGGGGTATCTCTGTGTTGCCCTGGCTGTTGTCAAATTCTTGAGCTCAAGTGATCCTCCTGCCTCAACCTCCCAAAGTGCTGAGATTACAGGCGTGAGCCACTGCAGCAGCCTGCACTGACTTTTCTTTTCCCAGCATTTGTGTCTTAATTGAAACCAGTGTTTCTTTGTCTTGGAAGTGTTCATTTCCAATATAGTGACTTCTCTTCCCCTGCAGCGATTAGATTTTCTTCTCTGGCATTTAGCCTTGATCACAGATAGTTGGTCGCTCTTATTGGTTAGTGATAACCTGCCACGTTTGACTGGGCCACTTGGAGCTTCCCCATGACACTGGGAGTAGAGCTTTGGCATTCTGAATACACTGATCTCTAGTGAGGAGCAGTCATATCAGGAACCAGGTAGGAATGTTCTTTTCATTCTTAGTGGGGCTGTACAGAGTCTCACGAGGTCAGAACAAATATAACTCACCATATCGCCGCTGTCTGATTGGCACTGGATTCCCAGGAACAAGTATGTCCACACCATATAGTGAAAAGAAGTACACATGGACTCTGGAGTCGGAAAACCATGGCGTGGTGGTTCAAGACATGAAAATTATTTGATAATTCTCCCATACAGAAGAAGAGTCTGTGCCCCTTCCTCTTGAATGTGGGCTGACCCCAAAGGCTGATAAACCAGTTGAGTCCAGCAGTGAAACTATACATGACTATAAGTTATTATATAGAAGTGAAACTATAGAGTGACTTATAAGATCATAAAGCTACTCGGGAGGCTGAGGTAGGAGAATGGCTTGAACCTCGGAGGCGGAGGTTGCAGTGAGCCGAGACCATGCCATTGCACTCCAGCATGGGCAACAAGAGCAAAACTGCGTCTCAAAAATAAATAAGTAAGTGAAAATAAAAAACAGGAAACCCCCAAATAAAAGCTGCCCAGTTTTAAGATTTATATTTATAATCTATGATCCATTGTAAAGTGTTTTTGCATATAGACGGTTAATTGTTGCAACACCATTAGTTGAAAAGACAGTCCTTTCTGTATTTAATTATTTGTGTGCCTTTGTTTAAAAAAAACTATTGGCCATGTTTGGGGGGGTGTATTTCTGGATTCCTTATTCTGGCGCATTGACCTATGTGTCTCTTCATTCACTAATACCATACTGCTTTGATTACTGTAGCTTTATGGTAATTCTTAAAACTGGGTAGTGTGATTTCTCCACTTAATTCTAACTTTTCAAAATGTTTCAGCTATTCTAGTTCCTTTGCCTTTCCCAATAAATTCTAAAACTTGCTTGTCAATGTAAAGAATCCTGCTCTAGATTCCTATTTATATCATCTCAGTATTCATCAGTGCAGTCTTACAACTTCTTCTTTAACCTTTCAATCTATTTTTGGGACTTTGTGTTTTCATATAAACTTTAGAATCCAAAAATTTGAAAAAGGTTTGTTTTTTTTTTTGAGATGGAGTCTCACTCTGTCGCCTAGACTGGAGTGCAGTGGCGTGATCTCGGCTCACTGCAAGCTCCGCCTCTTGGGTTCAAGCAGTTCTCTGCCTCAGTCTCCTGAATAGCTGGGATTGTAGGCGGCCATCACCATGCCCAGCTAATTTTTTTTGTATTTTTAGTAGAGATGGGGTTTTACCGTCTTGGCCAGGTTGGTATTGAACTCCTGACGTCGTGATCCACCTGCCTTGGCCTCCCAAAGTGCTGGGATTACAGGCGTGAGCCACCATGCCTGGTGAAAAAGGTTTTAAGAACAGCATTATAATGTTTTAAGTCCAGTCTTATCTTCCTAAAATCTAGGACTTCCCATTCCCAGGAAATGGTCCAAGGAGTCTGGATTCTATTTTCAGTGATGATAAATGTCCACATTTTAGGTAGTGACATTCACAGTAGATATGGGTTATTTTCTTTGTATTTCACCTCTAATGATACCAGATTAATGTGGTACCAAAACAGTATGATCAGTCACCAAAATCTGGCTTCTTACTCCTCCTGGAGATATAGAAGGAAGTATTAGCCCCGCTTCTCCTTAAAGTGAGGCAATGTCTGTGATTTGCTCCAGGCTAATGACATGTGAACTGAAGTCAAATGAGTGACTTCCAGAAAGAACCATCTAAGAGCCATGTTTGCCATCACACTCTGCATCACAGTTGGCTGTGGTTTCCAACGACGCAGGCAGCCTCTGTCAGTTCATGTTCAGGAGTGAGGACAATGTGGAACAGAGTCCCAGACATCATACAATGAACCTGCAGCATGAGTTAGAAAGAAGCCTGTGTTTTTTTAACCACTGGAAAAGAGATAGGGCTGCTTGTTACTGCAGCCTATCCTTGCCTGTCTTGACTAATGCTAGGTAGTCGAGACTGACGGACAGTACTCCTCCTAATTCAAGTGTACCCACTGCAGCCTTCTTCAAAAAGAGCCTGGCAGCTTGAGTCCTATCTGGGGCAAAAAAGACATAAACCAAAAATAAGCAGACACAAAATCAGAATTCTATTTTTTTATAAGTCCATTTCTAACCTCATTTTCATTAAAATAAAGTAGCCACGTTATTACCTTCTTTATCAAAACAATATGAAGGGCCAGGCACGGTGGCTTACGTTTATAATCCCAGCACTTTGGGAGGCCGAGGCGGGTGATCACCTGAGGTCAGGAGTTCATGACCAGCTTGGCCAACATGGTGAAACCCTGTCTCTACTAAAAATACAAAAAAAATTAGCCGGGCGTGGTGGCATGCGCCTGGAATCCCAGCTACTTGGGAGGCTGAGGCACAAGAATCACTTGAACCCAGGAGGCGGAGGTTGCAGTGAGCTGGAATCATGGCACTGCACTCCAGCATGGGTGACAGAGCGAGACTTGGTCTAAAAAATATATATATATGTTACAAAGAAAGGCTGGGCTCATGCCTGTAATCCCAGCACTTTGGGAAGCCAAAATGAGAGGATCACTTGAGGCCAGGAGTTTGAGACCAGCCTGGTCAATATAGTGAGACCCCATCTCAAAAAAAAAAAAAAAAAATACAAAGAAATACAAAGGCCCTTTCTGTACCATATGGCATAGTCATTTCTTCTGCTATCCCTTCACTTCTTTTCAGCTACCAGGACTTTGGAAATTTCTTTATGTTCTTGGTCGGGTGGTCTCTTTCCACATAGGTTTTTCTTTGGGCAGTGTTACTTATTTGTAAATAGGAGATACGTTCATTGTTCTCAGTTTACACTGATTTCTCCCCCGCTTTCCCAATTTTAACTTTTATACAACACACAACAGAAAACATGTCCTTTTGCTGTATTCGACTGGTATGCCTCTACTGTTGACTGTGATAGCTTAACCGTTGTCTTTGTTCATTTCAGGAGCAAGACACTTCATACTCTATAGATTGGTTAGGGTGTTAAAGCTACATTAACTTTGCCGGACGTATAACAAAGGAGCATTTGATAGTCTTGTACTTCTCAGTTCATTAACAAATTACATGATCTCAATATAGTGTCACAGATCCAAATAGTAATGTCTATTCTTTTCTGCATTTACACCTGTTCCTTTGGCCATTCAATAAATTCAATGAGAAGCCCTTGTGTACTGTGACTTAAGAATAATTGGACAAATATTTCTGGAGTTCCTCTAAATCACTTTTATAAAACTTGTTATCTGATGTTATATCTTTTTTGTAGATCTGTGTGTTTTTTTCTTTCAATAAGTCCTTGTTCAAGGTCTTTACTGCAACTTAAAATTACACAAACCTTGTTATCTGTTCATTGATACATTTATTTCTTTGGGAGGCTGAGATGGGTGGATCACCTGAGGTCAGGAGTTCAAGACCAGCCTGGCCAGCATGGTAAAACTCCGTTTCTACTAAAAATACAAAAATTAGCCCTGCATGGTAGCGCACGCCTGTAATCCCAGCTACTCGGGAGGCTGAGGCAGGAGAATCGCTTGAACCCAGGAGGCGGAGGTTGCAGTGATCCGAGATCACACCATTGTACTCCAACCTGGGCAACAGAGCGAGTGTCTCAAAACAAAAAAACAAACCAAAACAAACAAACAAAAAACAACATTTATTTCAGTTTGCTTAAGGTCAAAATTCATTGTACCCTGGCTTCTATCATTATTCCACATTTCATTTCTTGGAGCTCTCCGATAACATCATGGCTTTAAAAGTTTTATTACAGGAAGTTTCATGCTTACATAAAAATATAATAGTACAGTTAATCCCCATGTCCTCATACCCATCTACAACAAACAGAACTTAAGGGCACTTTGGTTTCACTATTCCCTCCCTAACCTCAACCTCACATTATTTTGAAGCAAAACATGTTATTGGTAAAAGAAAATAAACCACTTTACATTTCTTTGGCTGATCATTTCCTTTTTGTATCTGTCTTTAAATGCTACTAGAAAAGGTATTTTCTGGATTATGGTAAATTTCCATAGGCTATATTTTTTAGGCTCTCATTCACCATCTTTCTTTCGTTTCCAAATATCTTAAGTTCTTTGATCAGTTTTTCTTTGGGTTTATTCTTGTTTATCCAAACATGCACTTTGGGGGCTTGGATCAGAGTCAACTATTTCTTTTGTACATGTTGGTTCTAATCACTTTAATAGCTTGTGTAATAGAGTTTAATACCTTCTGGCCTACATATTTGAGCTTTCCCGCTTTATACTCTAAATCCAATTTTAGAGTTGCATCTGCAAATGCGTCTCCATGGCAACATCTTCACTGTGATCTTTGTGTTTTCTTGATGTGGTGGAAAACGTTTGTATGGACTTTGATGTATGCTTTATCCTGGTGATTCTCAAACTGAATCAGGTTGTAAAGTTCAATGGAAGCCAAGAAATGGGATGGCATGAGCTCTTGGTTTACGTCAAATGTGTAAGTCAGGCATAATTTTACTACCAGAAAATATTATATGAATATAGATGTCTGCATTCCAACATAAAAGTAAAACTGCATACAGATTGCAAGGAATCACATATCCACTCTTTTCTTTGATCTATTGATTCTTGGCCATTACTGTGTGTCATCTGCTAACGTGAGCTGGAAGACAAGAATGGGTAATAAAACTCGACAGTTACAAAAAAATTAGCCAGGCGTGGTGGCAGGCGCCTGTAGTCTTAGCTACCTGGGAGGTTGAGGCAGGAGAATTGCTTGAACCCGGGAGGCAGAGGTTGCAGTGAGTTGAGATCACACCACTGCACTCCAGCCTGGGCGACGGAGCGAGACAGACAACAACTTGATAGTATGTTTAGAGAAGGGAAACTTAAAATACAACTTTCCTATCCACTAACTGAATTTCTTTTTAATTAGGAAAAGACCCCAATATTCTCTTTTAGTAGCGGAGCGTGTTGATCCTGCCTGAAGTACACCAGTGTTCCGAAGGTGCATCTGGTGATCTGGTATGCAGTAATCTGACCTTCTGATTAATAATACTGTGTTAATTGACTCAGGGATGATTCTTAGTTTTGAGTCACAAGGAATCAATACAGTTCCTTGTGAACCCTCATTACATAAGTAAAGTGCTTATAAAAATGTAGTGTTGGCCAGGCACGGTGACTCACGCCCGTAATCCCAGCTACTCGGGAGGCTGAGGCAGGAGAATTGCTTGAACCTGGGAAGCGGAGGTACAACTTCCAACTTAAAATTTTACAAAATTTACTCCAGTAAATTTTGTCAGTGAGCTAAGATCGCACCACTGCACTCCAGCATGGGCAACAGAGTGAGACTCTGTCTCAAAAACAAAACAAAACAAAACAAAACAAAACAAAACAAAATAAAAAAACTAAGCCTATGTGAAAAAGCCAAATTGGTAATTCAACAGATTTGTCATAAGAAGTACCGATCTCTTCCTAAACAAAAAATGAAAAAAACTAGTTTTCTGGCATGGGTCACGTCTGGCTGAGAGAAAGCAAGGAGTGGGTGTCCCCTGTGCCTCCTGTCTTATCACAAGCAAGGAACTTCTTGAGAAGACACTGGGTGCTTATCAGCACTCAAGCCAGAGCTTTGGTGGTCACTGCTCAGGTATTCTAGTTAATTTCTGCAGCCTGTGGGGTCCACAGGAGGAACCCCTATCTGTAGGAAGGTATCATGCTTTTGCTTTTTTTTTTTTTTTTTTTTTGAGACGGATTCTTACTCTGTCGCCCAGGCTGGAGTGCAGTGGCACGATCTTGGCTCACTGCAACCTCTGCCTCCCAAGTTCAAGCTATTCTCCTGCCACAGCCTCCTGAGTAGCCGGGACTACAGGTGTGCACCACCACACCTGGCTAACTTTTTTGTATTTTTAGTAGAGATAGGGTTTCACCATGTTGGTCAGGCTGGTCTCAACACCTAACCTCAAATGATCCACCCAGCTCGGCATCCCAAAGTACTGGGATTACAGGCGTGAGCCATCGCATGCAGCCGCTTTAGCCCTTTTTATAGATGAGCAAACAGACCCAGAAAAGTAAGTCATCGCTCAAGGGACACAGCCGGTAAATAGGACTGGAACTGTTCAGCTCTTTGGCTCTGATCAGGATTACAACTTTGCAGACCCTTTGTCTAGATTCTAAATGCCAAGTGCATTTTCCAGAAAAACATCCATTAATGGTAGATAGGGTTATCACCATCACCTACTGTTTTACTTTGCTAGGGGCGTCATGACAATGTACGACAGACTGAGTGGCTTAAACAACAGAAATGTATTACCTCATAGGTCTGGATTCTCAAAGTCCAAAATCAAAGTTTTGGCAGGGTTTGTTCCTTCTGAGGGTTGTGAGAGGAGGCTCTGTTCCAGGCTGCTGTCTTTGGCTTGTAGATGGCCATCTTCTCCCTATGTCTCTTCATATCTTCTTTTTTTTTTTTTTTTTGAGACAGAGTCTTGCTCTGTTGCCCAGGCTGGAGTGCAATAGCGTGATCTTGGCTCACTGCAACCTCCACCTCCCGGATTCAAGTGATTCTCCTGCCTCAGCCTCCCAAGTAGCTGGGATTACAGGTGCGCAGCACCACACCCAGCTAATTTTGTATTTTTGGTAGAGATGGGGTTTCGCCATGTTGGCCAGGCTGTCCTCGAACTCCTGACCTCAGGTGATCCATCAGCCTCAGCATCCCAACGTGCTGAGAATACAAGTGTGAGCCATCACTCCTGGCTGCCTTATCTTTCATAGTGCCAGTGGTTGGCAGTGGATAGTTGCGTAATATTTGTTCTCAGTCTATTCCTGAATGTTTCTTTCTTTCTTTTCTTTTTTTTTTTTGAGATGTAATCTCACTCTCTAACCCAGGCTGGAGTGCAGTGGCCAATCTCAGCTCACTGAAACCTCTGCTTCCTGGGTTCAAGTGATTCTCCTGCCTCAGCCTCCCGAGTAGCTGGGATTACAGGTGCCCGCCTTATTTTTAGTAGAGACTGGCTTTCACCATGTTGGCCAGACTGGTCACAAACTCCTGACCTCAAGTGATCCGCCTGACTTGGCCTCTCAAAGTAATTCCTGGAATTACAGGCATGAGCCACCGCGGCCGGCCATATTCCTGAATGTGTCTTGAAGATATTTCACCTGAGTATTGCATTGCTTTTTTTAAAAAAAAATTAATATTAAAAACGAAGTTCCATTCATGTTTTTAAACAGCAAGAAGATGTTAAAAACTTTAAGCAAGCATCACAGTAATGGATCTCTGTCAGAAAAATGAGACTGACTTAGAAAATGCTGAAAATAATGAAATTCAGTTCACAGAAGAAACAGAACCAACCTATACTTGTCCAGATGGAAAAAGTGAAAAAAATCATGTTTATTGTCTTCTCGATGTCAGTGACATTACGCTTGAACAAGATGAAAAAGCCAAAGAGTTTATTATTGGAACTGGATGGGAAGAGGCAGTGAGTATCTTTCTGAGTCACAGCTTTTCTGTCTCTCGCACATCAGTGTTTTGGTGCAAGCCTCTTTTTCCCAAAAATAGTTAATATTACCAAAAAATGTGGAATCAATGACATGTAGAAACCCTGGAATTGAGGTAAAATATTACTGATGATAAGAGCAGCACCTACTGTGGGTATTTATGGCCACTTAGTATGTGGACAGCACAGTACTAAGTACTTTGGATACATTAATTCATCTAACCTCTCAATAGCCATATGGGGCAAGTTTTCTTCCCAGCCTCGCTTTGTGGATGAGTATACTGAGTCACTTGGAAGATAAAGTTACATGCTCGAGATCACCCAGCCAATAAGTGGCCAAGGCAGGGCTTGAATCCAGGTCTCCTGGACTCTAGAACCCTGAGCTCCTTAGCAGCTGTGCTGAACTCCCTGAGAGAACTGAGGCTTCTTTCCTAATGGCTCTACTCAGAACTCTGTGGGTTTTTTTTTTTTTTTTTTTTTTCCCTGAGATGGAGTCTCTTTCTGTCGCCCAGGCTGGAGTGCAGTGGCGCGATCTTGGCTCACTGCAACCTCTGCCTCCTGAGTTCAAGCGATTCTCCTGCCTCAGCCTCCTGAGTAGCTGGGATTATAGGTGCCCACCATGCCCAGCTAATTTTTGTATTTTTAGTAGAGACGGGGTTTCACCATATTGGCCAGGCTGGTGTCAAACTCTTGACCTTAGGTGATCTGCCCACCTCAGCCTCCCAAAGTGCTGGGATTACAGGCCTGAGCCACTGCGCCTGGTCTGCAGGCTTACTCTTAAACAATTCATAGAATCAACAATAGAATCCTATATTTAAAACTATAAGAAAACTAAAAAAAAAAAAAAAGCATAAAACTATGAGAAAACTTGGTCTAATCCAGTGATTAAACATAGGATTACCAGATAAATACCTAATTTATCAGTATAAGTATGTCCAAAATGTGGTCCTATATTTTTACTGGCAACCCTTTTTTAATGGTGATCTCTGTGGCAAGATCAGCCAGAGGACTCTGGGCGTGTATGGGGAGTAGGTATCCCTGGGTACGCAGGGCTCCTCTGCATTCCAGGACCTGCCTCTGCTCCTCGGTCTCCCTCCAGCCTCTCCAAGCAACAGTGTTCCCCAGGTAAGGGAAGCAGAGACTGGCGGTGCCCGAAATCCTTGTTGGTGGGACAAGTATGAACGGTTTTCATTTTATTTTAATGGCTTCAAATTTAAATGTGCATTTGAAAAGAAATATAGTCAGCACATCAAAGTGGCCATTTACAAATACTGTTGCTTAGTGTTTTAGTATTAACAAATGCTCTTGCTAGTATTTAGGATTAACAAATACTATTACAAATACTGTTATTGCTTTATAGCGGTGAAAGTAGGTATTACACTTTTTCATGCTTTGCAACTTTGAAGGATTTTTTTTTTAAGTGAATGAATTTTAAGAAAATTATTAGTGGGGGAAGGGGTAGTAAAAAAATAAATAAAAATAAGAATATTGTTTCACATAAGACTGCCAAAATGGGAATGTGGCCAAAATTGGGGCAAGGACAGTTTGGGCCCCTCAGCTGGAGGAGTAACATGCCGCTTTATTTGCAGGTCCAAGGGTGGGGAAGGACTTCTCCAGCTGCCTGCATCTGGCCGAGGAAGATACCAAAAAAGGCGAGGGTAGGGGAAGGTGCCTGCAGCGACTGCTTGGTGTGTGTTAACCTCTCCCACTGGAGCCTCCAGACCAAGCCTCCTACTGAGGGGGGCCCAGAGAAGGATCAGAGCAGCCCCTCCCAGACTCAGGCAGCCCCCCAGGGCCCCAGCACTGCTTCCAGGGCAATTAGCGACATCTGCTTTCCCACCTACTTTCGAGCAGAGAAAAAAAGTCTGCAAATCAAGGAGTTTATTTGGTGCAACAAAGACTGGGCCATCCCCGGCACTAATAGGGGCAAGGCCTCTGGGAATCCCAGTGGAGGGGCCCACAGAGGGCTGTCCATCCCAGGCCCCCTGACTTCCAGGGCCCTCCTAGTTCTGCCTCCCCTGAAGGCTTCACTTTCAAATGCTTTGGATGTTCTGGGTAAGAAGAGTAAGAACTCTTTCTTGCAGTCAGAAGAGAAGGTGCTGGATGTGGAAAAGGATGGGTGTGTGGCTTATGCATATGGCTTGAAAACAGCAGATGGGAAAGGTGAAAAAAGAGCCAGTGAGCTGGCCAAACACCCTATGGTCAACGACACGCCATCCTCCCCTTCCCCAGCGGCCCAGATATCCCTGCTGACCGATCCGGAGCAGCGCTGCCTGCATTGGTCCCTCCTGTCTGAGAAAAACCTGGCGTGCCCTCCAGACCCCAGCAACGTTCGCTACCTTGCTGCCTTGCAGCTTCTGCAGAAACGGGGAGTGCAAAGCTACAAATCCAAATTCAAAGCCAAGGAGCCAAGATCTCCTGTGATCACCCGAAAGCATGTTCTCCCAAAGGCCAAGCAGGAAAACAGGCCCCAAATGCTGGAGACCAAAGTTTTCCCAAGACCTGTCTTGCCGTCTCTCACAGTGAGCAGAGTTATCATTCCTGTCTCTACCCACAGGATCCTCTGAGCGGTTGCGGTAGAACCCCTGGGAATAAGCACCGTTTGAGATGCAGCCATCCTTTCTCTTTCTTCTCTCTCATTTCCCACCCACCCCCCACTCTCTCTTTCTCTCCTCCCCGTCAGTCTGTCTTTACTCTTCTTTTCCTCCATTTTTTTTTTGTAGTACAACTGAAGAAAACTGAACCTCAGTGGATTGTTGGGATTTATTTTCTAAAACACCATATTCATGTGTTAACGTGCTTCTGCTACTTAGCCATTCACAAAATGCCAATTGGTCTTGCCAGCCCCAGCCTCTGCCTGCTTCATGTCCACTCCCAGCAGAAGCCACGCAGAAAGTGGGGAATCCAAAGGGCCTCCTTCCCTCCATGCTGGCCGCACGTCAGCCCAGAGCCATCTGGCAGGTGTCCTTTCTGCCCCACCCCCGTGCCTCAAACTAAGTATACTGGGCTGGTTTAGACCAAACTGCCTGCTGATTTTTTGAACGAAGCAGGTGTCTATGTGCTGCCTCATTTGCTGTTGCAACAAAGATCTGAAGAATTGCTTTAATAAAAAACTCCAGGCCGGGCACAGTGGCTTACGCCTCTAATCTCAGCACTTTGGGAGGCCAAGGCAGGTGGATCACCTGAGGTTGGGAGTTCGAGACCAGCCTGACCAACATGGAGAAACCCTGTCTCTACTAAAGTAATACAAAATTAGCCGGGCATGGTGGCGCATGCCTGTAATCCCGGCTACTCAGAAGGCTGAGGCAGGAGAATCGCTTGAACCCGGGAGGCAGAGTTTGTGGTGAGCCGAGATCGTGCCATTGTACTCCAGCCTGGGCAATAAGAGCGAAACTCCGCCTCAAAAGAAAGAAAAGAAAACTCCAGCTTGTGTCCAGGACGTCCAAGGCATTGGAGACCCTGTGCGTCCAGGGTGTCACACCCTCAGATTGTTTCCATGTATATACACTATCGTCTCCTGCATTTTCAGGGTGCCATGTCCTCAGATTGTACCCTCATACTAATCTCTGTGTCTGGAAGTTTTAGCTACAGTGCTACAAAATCCAGCCTGGGAAGCAGGTTAAGAATAATTACTTTTTGGGGCCGGGCGCCGTGGCTCACACCTGTAATCCCAGCACTTTGGGAGGCTGAGGCGGGCGGATCATGAGGTCAGGAGATCGAGACCATCCTGGCTAACACGGTGAAACCCTATCTCTACTAAAAATACAAAAAATTAGCCGGGCGTGGTGGCGGGCTTCTGTAGTCCCAGCTACTCAGGAGGCTGAGGCAGGAGAATGGCGTGAACCCAGGAGGCGGAGCTTGCAGTGAGCGGAGATCGTGCCACTGCTCTCCAGCCTGGGCGACAGAGTGAGACCCCGTCTCAAAAAAAAAAAAAATCTTTTTGGGAAAAAAATAAAAAGATCACTGTGATTATCATCCCACATGCTTCCTCTGGCATTACTTTGCATCTAATGTTTGGAAACCCTCAACCCCAGACACTTTTGGAAAGGGGCTGTTATTTTCTCCCTCTGTCCTTCCTCCACCCTCATTTTACCCCAACTCATATTCCCACCGTTCTATCTAAATTAAATGACATTTGTAAATGATTTATATTTTAAATGCCAAGTGATGTTGCTTTGTAGACACATGTTCTGATGAACCGTTCTGTGATATGAGTAATCATTAAGCTGCTTTGTAATTACATAGTTTGAATTTGCTTAAGGTAGGTTGGACTTGAAGTCTGGATTTCCTGTCTCCAAACGATGGAGTAGACAGAATATATGACTATATTTGTAAATACCTGCTTCCATAGTGGTCTTTGTAATGTCTTGTCTGTTTGCCTAGGGTTTTTTTTTTTTTTTTTTTTTTGAGACAGAGTCTCGCTCTGTCACCCAGGCTAGAATGCAGTGGCATGATCTTGGCTCACTGTAACCTCCGCCTCCTGGGTTCAAGCGATTCTCATGCCCCAGCCTCCCAAGTAGCTTGTATTACAGGTGCCCACCACCACACTCAGCTCATTTTTGTATTATTAGTAGAGACTGGGTTTCCGGAGGTTGCAGTGAGCCGAGATGACGCCATTGCACTCCAGCCTGGGCAACAGAACAAGACTCTGTCTCAAAAAAATAAATAAATAAGAATCCAAGTCCTCTTCCCAGACATTATCTCTTTTAATCCTGCATGTATGCATGGGAATCAGGGATCATTTTCCTCTTCTAACCCAAGGAGAAATTGTTCAGCAGAGGGTTGGGTTTGGTCAGGACAGCATTAAGGTTTGTAGCCTGGGTTTCTGAAGGCTCAAACTATATTTCACAGGTCGGGGACGTTTGAAGTACTAGGTGGAAAATATCACATAAGGCAGGAAGGAGGGCTCAAGAATGTCATTTCTTCCTTTAAGATAGGAACAATTTTCAGATACAGGATGTGGTGAAGATGACCAGGTAATGTATGTTGAACTCCAACAGAGATCTGTGTTTTTCCTGAATGTATTGAGTGGATCAAATATAACAAGCTGGATAATTTCCCTCTAATGAATAACTGACTGTTTAAAATTGTATGGAAGTCCTTTGGCCTGCAAGCTGGCATTTGGATATTTGATGATGGGTCTTTACTCTTTAATGGGTTCTCAGAACTTAACTTTGCAACTTGTCAACTAAGGTGCTCCTTGCTTGGGTCCAATCCATCTTAATTCCCTGGCCTTTTTCCTCATCTGGTTTTGCCTGTATTTCCACTGTACCAGTCTAAACACCATCACTGTGCAGCTTAAGGCATGACTCTTGTACTGAATTTGTGCATACGGAGGTGTTCCAGGAAAAAACTTTTCAAGTTCAATCTCCTAGATCAAAAAGCATCTGTATATTTTCTTGGACACAGTCTCAGGATAAATCCAGTGTTCACTGCAATAAGTAAAAATAAGAACCATCTTCCTTTTTCCTAAGAGCTGAGAACCATCAGGATGTATATTTTTTAGTACCCCAGCTTTGCCACTGAGCATTTCTGCCTTTGCCTATAAAATGAGCGAGTAATGTCTGAAATTTCCCTAGTTCTGTCATTTTAATGCATTTAACTTGCCTGCAAACATTATTATTATAGAGACGCAAAATAGTGAACAGTTATTTCTGTTTCAGGTTTTGTTTTGTTTTGTTTTGTTTTGTTTTGTTTGAGATGGAGTTTCGCTCTTCTTGTCCAAGCTGGAGTGCAATGGCACAATCTTGGCTCACTGCAACCTCCGCCTCCCGGGTTCAAGTGATTCTTCTGCCTCAGCCCCCTGAGTAGCTGGGGTTACAGGTGTGTGCCACTGTGCCCAGCTAATTTTTGCATTTTTAGTAGAGAGGGGGTTTCACCGTGGTAGCCAGGATGGTCTCGATCTCCTGACCTCATGATCCGCCCGCCTTGGCCTCCCAAAGTGCTGCGCTTAGAGGCGTGAGCCACCACACCCGGCCTGTTTCAGGTTTTGATCAGTCTTGCTCTGGATCCTGGCCTTTCTAATGTGAAAAACAACAACAACAACAACAACCTAAATGAACTTCAGTTTATACGTTTCAAAAGATGATGATGGTAAAAACCCTAAAGAAATTTTAGTTTTTTTTTTTAACCTAAGACTGTGGGCACTTAACCTTCTCTACCAACACATACTTTTTTTTTTTTTTTTTTGAGACAGAGTCTTCCTCTGTGGGCCAGGCTGGCATGATCTCAACTCACTACAAACTCTGCCTCCCGGGTTCAAGCAATTCTCCTGCCTCAGACTCACGAGTAGGTGGGATTACAGGTGTGCACAACCATGCCCAGCTAATTTTTGTATTTTTAGTAGAGACAGGGTTTCACCATGTAGGCCAGGCTAGTCTCAAACTCCTGACCTCAAATGATGCGCCCGCCTTGGCCTCCCAAAGTGCTGGGATTACAAGCGTGAGCCACCATGCCCTGCCCCAATACGTTCTAAACAATATACATAACTTCTTAGAGGATTGAATGGCCCAGGTGGGTGCTGTATTTACAGCAATGCTCAAAGCCACCCCATCACCTGGCCTATCTTTAGGACAGGGCTTTTCAACCTGGGCACTATTTGGGGCTGGATCATTCTTTGTGATGGGCCTGTATGTGCATTGTGGGATGTGTAGCAGCATCCCTGGCCTTGACATATTAGATGCCAATACCATCCCCAGTCATGACAACGAAAAATGTATCCAGACTTTCCCAAATGCCCCTTTAGGGCAAAATCACCCTAGCTGAGAACCGCTGGTTTAGGGAATTAGTAATCTGGAGCCCACCGCCTTTGCTGCAGCTTCTCTGACAGCTTTACTTATAGATCAAGCAGGTGCCTTGGTGCAGGTGTGAAGGGAGCTGGGGGAACGCCCAGCTTGCCACATCCCAGAAGGCATATGTGCTCTCCATTTTGCGCTGGTCCTCTAGGGTCTCATGGTGGCACCTGCCTAGGTCCTTTCTAGAAAGAAGCAAAGAAGCAGCCATAAGTCTGCTTTTTTTTTTTTTTTTTTTTTTGAGACGGAGTCTTGTTCTGTTACCCAGGCTGGAGTGCTGTGGCGCGATCTTGGCTCACTGCAACCTCCCTCTCCCGGATTCAAGTGATTCTCCTGCCTCAGCCTCCCGAGTAGCTGGGATTACAGGTGCCTGCCACCATGCCCAGCCAATTTTTGTATTTTTAGTAAAGATGGGGTTTCACCAGGTTGGCTAGGCTGGTCTTGAACTCCTGACCTCAAGTGATCCACCCATCTCAGCCTCCCAAAGTGCTAGGATTACAGGTGTGAGCCACCGCACCCTGCGAAGTCTGCTTTTCTCTGAGAAGAGTCTCTCAGAGTAACAGGAGGGCCCATTCAGTCAGTGACAGGAAGAGTTGTGGGCATTCTCTCTTCCCATCTTCAGGAGAATGTGCATTACTGGTTTGGCAAGGTTTTCGAGATAAGTCGAAGATGTTAAATTAGTGTATTTACATTTACTGCCATTATTCAGAATTCTCTGATGTTTAATACTCACTTTTCCACACTCACTGCTTGGGCTGAACAGGCGTAAATATGAAAAGGCAGCCAATACTTTGTGGGATACACCTTAGCAAGCACTGGCAATCTGTGCTTCATATGTATATATCAAAGTGGCTTTTCTCTCCCGTTTAGCTTAAACTACAAATCTTCCTCCCCATGTATCTTTTAAAATGAAACAGTTGGCTGGGCATTGTGGCTCGTGCCTGTAATCCCAGGACTTTGGGAGGCTGAGGTGGGTGGATCACTTGAGGTCAGGAGTTCGAGATCAGCCTGGCCAATATGGCGAAACCCCGTCTCTACTAAAAATACAAAAATTAGCCAGTTATGGTGGCACATGCCTATAATCCCAGCTACTTGGGATTAGGCAGGAGAGTCGCTTGAACCCGGGGAGGCAGAGGTTGCAGTGAGCTGAGATTCCAACACTGCACTCCAGCTTGGGTGACAGAGCGACAGTCCGTCTCAAAACAATAATAAAAAAAGAAGTTTCTCTACTTATTTTATTTTTTGAGGCAGAGTTTCACCTGTTACCCAGGCTGGAGTGCAGTGGTACCATCACAGCTCACTGCAGCCTTAGCCTGCAGGGTTTAAGCGATCCTCCTACCATAGCCTCCCTAGTAGCTGGCTGTACAGGCACACACCACCATGCTCAGCTAATTTTTTTTTTTTTTTGAAGAGACGGGTTTTGCCATGTTGCCCAGGTTGGTCTCGAACTCTTGGACTCAAGTGATCCGCCTGCCTTGGCCTCCCAAAGTGCTGGGATGACAGGCATGAGCCCCCATGCCCAACTAGTTTTACCACTTATTAAAACTTGAGGAGAGCTAGCTTGAAAATGTAATATAGTTTTTTATTTTCAGCACCACACAGGGTTATGACAGTTCACTAAGCCTTTATTTTTTTTTCCTTTTTATCTGCCCAAGAATAACCATGATCACTAAACCTCTAAATGTGAAAGAACTGTTAGTGATTTCATTTGTTCCAATCTGCATGTCCTCTGAAGATAAATCCGATATGGAATTTGGGATAAATACCACTGGCCTTATTACTATTCATGAGTCTATTTTAATTTCTTTGGCTGTTCAACGAAATCCTCATGACTGACTTCTCTAAATTTCAGGAAAGTAGGATGTCAGAGGAATACTTGGCATTATGGTAGTTATTTAGAGAACTTTAACTCTGAAGAGTTCTTACTAGTTAAGCACATATCTTGTAACAGAATAGTGACTTCAGTGATTTAAAAATATACGACCTGTTGGCCAGGCACGGTGGCTCACACCTGTAATCCCAGCACATTGGGAGCCCGAGGTGGGTGAATCACTTGAGGTCAGGAGTTCGAGACCAGCCTGGCCAACATGGCAAAACCCTGCCTCTACTAAAAATAGAAAAATTAGGGGGCGTGGTGGTGCGTGCCTGTAATCCCAGCTACTCAGGCGGCGGAGGCATAAGAAGGTCTTGAACCCTGGAGGTGGAGTTTGCAGTGAGCCGAGATCACGCCACTGCATACCAGCCTGGGCAGTAGAGTGAGACACTGTCTCAAAAAATAATAAGATATATCACATGTGGCCGGGTGCAGTGGCTCATACCTGTAATCCCAGCACTTTGGGACGCCAAGATGGGTGGATTGCTTGAGGTCAGGAGTTCGGGTCCAGCCTGGCCAACATGTATATACATATATATATATCACGTTACCAAAAAAGGTGCAGAAAAATTGATACCAGCTTGCAATTCATTAATAGTATTAACTCTAAAATATAACAAAACCAAAATTATTTCCATGAGCTGAAATAAGACAATATAGAGTAAATAATTCCTAAAGCATAATTTGCCAAAGTTTGGTTGACTTCCCAAAATTAAAATCTTAATTTCGGTGGGCTCACGTTTTAAAAAGAAAAAAGTTTTTTATTTTTGTTGTTTTTTTTTGTTGTTGTTGTTGTTGTTTGCTTGTTGGTTTTTAGAGACTAGTTTCATCTACCAAGGAAAAAGTTATTGAGGGCAGTCTTCATGGTTGAATATCCTTTTGTCATAATTCAGATGCATTGACTTCTGCCACATTTTCATTGCAGCATGGGCTCTACATTTTCTGAAGTCATTAAATTTCTCGTTACAGCACAGGAAAAAGAAGATAAAGTAGGAGAGGGATCAGTTTCACATTCAGTCCTAAGCAGCAACACGGTTGAGATGTAATCATAAAAGCAAATATTTCACCCAGGACATGGAAAAGCGGCGGATCACCAGAAAGCAGAGAGTCAAACGCTGCAAGCAGAAGCAGTAAGAAGACGCCACGTTTGGAGCAAGGTCTTATTTACACCTGCCATGGTCATCGGCTCGCTCTTTTAGGTCTCCCCAACCCGGCCCCCAAAAAGAGGTTATATGCAGAGGTAATATAATATATGTACTTTTGAAAATAACAAAGTCACCGTGGAGATAATTTCAAAACAATTTATTTTCATTTTCAGATACATTGGACTATTTCACTGATGTTAAAAAGAGTATGACTTGTTTAAATTTTTTGTTGTTTCTTTTTTGCAGCCTAATGTTCTGTAATAGTAACTTGCTTCCAAGTAAAGTATGAAAAGTTAGTGGAGGGGCCATGGCTGTGGTCTCTGATAGGTCAAACTATACTATTTTGGAATGCGTGGAGTTAGAACAAAGTTTTTATTTTGTTATTAATTAGTAAAGCAATAAATAAAATTGTCTTACTAATATTTATGAGTTTTTGTTTTGTTATTTATTAGTAAGGCAGTAAAACATTTAGTGTTTTTTCTGGAGTTTGTTGAAGAAACTGAATATTGATAGTGTTCCAGCTATGGCATAGCCAGTGCTGCTTTTACTGATTCATATAGCTTGGGCCTTGCTCCTTTCAAGCAAGCTGATTTTTAAATGCAGTGCCCCTGTGAACGTCAAGAACACCGACAACCTGAGAGCCGTCCCTGTTTGTTTTCTAGCCTGCGTCTCTGGATATGTAAACTAAAATATCAATGTATCTGCTAATAAATACCGTTCCAACAACTGAGAGAATCCTTTGGATTTAAACATTGAAAAACAATGTAGTCATCTTCTTGGCCTTAAAACATTTTACTGGCTAACACCTTGCTAAACAAACTAGATTAAAATTCATGGCTAGACGCAGTGGCTCACATCTGTAATCCCAGCACTTTGGGAGGCCGACGTGGGTGGATCACCTGAGGCCAGGAGTTCAAGACCAGCCTGGCAAACATGGTAAAACCCCGTCTCTACTAAAAATACAAAAAATTAGCTGGGCGTGGTGGTGCGTGCCTGCAGTCCCAGCTACTCGGGAGGCTGAGGCAGGAGAATTGCTTGAACCCAGAACGTGGAGGTTGCAGTGAGCTGAGATTGCACCACTGCACTCCAGCCTGGGCGACAGAGCGAGACTCCATCTCAAAAATAAGTACATGCATACATACATAAAATTCATGTCATTTAACAAATTAGAGCCTTTTAAAAGTTGAGAGTATGAAGGCATATATGTTGTCCCCTCCTAGTTGTCAAATCTAATTAATGCCATTTAAACATGCTTTGGAGGACAACACACATAGATACACTGTGAGAGACAAGGAAAATAAAACTGTGTGGTACCCCAAAGGCTGCGTCCCTAAGCCCCCCAAAGTGATATAACCCTTCTCTTTCTTTTTAAAAATTATTTTCTTTTAATTTTCTTTTTTTTTTTTTAATTTAGAACTCACAGTCTAGTAAACATTTTAGACTTGGGGTGTGGGGGCTACATTTGCATGTTTGTTACATGGTTATATTGTGTGATGCTGAGGTTTGGACTTCTACTGATCTCATCACTCATATAGTGAACACAGTACCCAATGGGTAGTTTTTCAACCCTTATTCCCCTTCCCACCTCCCCACTTTTAGAGTTCCCAGTGTCTGTTCTCATCTTTATGTCTGCATGTACCCAGTGTTTAGCTCCCACTTACAAATAAGAACATGCGGTATTTGGTTTTCCGTTTTTGTGTTAATTTGCTTAGGGTAATGGCATCCAGCTGCATCCATGCTGCTGCAAAGGATATGATTTTGTTCTTTTTTATGGTTGCATAGTATTCCATCGTGTATATGTACCACATTTTAGAAATACAGGCTGGGCACGGTGACTCATGCCTGTAATTCCAGTCCTTTGGGCAGCCGAGGTGGGTGGATCGTTTGAGGTCAGGAGTTCAAGACCAGCCTGGCCAACATGGTGAAACCCTGTCTCTACTAAAAATACAAACATTAGCCAAGCATGGTGGTAGACGCCTGTAATTCTAGCTACTTGGGGGGTTGAGGCAGGAGAATCACTTGAACCCAGGAGGCGGAGATTGCTGCACTCCAGCCTGGGTGATGGAGTGAGACTCATCTCAAAAACAAAACAAAACAAAAAAAGAAATCCATTCCACCATTGATGGGCACCTAGGTTGATTCCATGTCTTTGCTATTGTGAATTGTGCTGCGATAAACATATGAGTGCATCTGTCTTTTTGGTAGAACGATATGTTTTCCTTTGGTAGGCCCACTAATGGGATTGCTAGGTTGAATTCTATTTTCAGTTCATTGAGAAATCTCCAAACTGCTTCCCACAGGGGCTGAACTAATTTCCATTCCCCATAACAGTGTATAAGCGTTCCCTTTTCTGTGCAAAGTTGCCAACATCTGTTATTTTTTGACATTTTAGTAATAGCCATTGTGGTTAAAAGAAACAAAAAACTCGAAATGAGTTTAATTGTAAATTTGTTAAGATTTATTTTGTGGGCTAACATGTGATCTGTCCTGGAAAGTGTTTCATGTGTTACTGAGAAAAATGTGTATTCTGCAGTGTTTTGGAGGAATATTCTGTCAATGTCTGTTAGGTCCAATTGGTCTATTGTGCAGTTTAATGTTTTGTTGTTGATTTTCTGGATGATTGGTCCATTACCAAAGGTGAAGTGCTGAAATCCCCTATTATTGTTGTATTACAGTCTATTTCTCCCTATAGATCTAATAATATTTGCTTTATATATTTGGGTGTTCTGGTGTTGGTTGCATATATATTTACAATTGTTATATTAATTGTTATATAATGACTTTCTCTCTTTTTGCAGTTTTGACTTAAAGTCTGTGTTATCTGATACAAGTATAGCTACTCGTGTTCTCCTTTGGTTTCCATTTGCATGGGATAACTTTCTCCATCCCTCCACATTAGTTTTTGTGTGACCTTGCATGTTAAGCGAGTCTCTTGCAGGCAGCATATAGTTGGATGGTGTTGCAGGTTTTATTTTCTAAATCCATTCAGCCACTCTATATCTTTAACTGGAGAATTTAATCTATTTACATTCAAGGTTGTTATTATTATATTATTATTATTATTTTTTTTTTTTTTTGAGGAGGAGTCTCGCTCTGTTGCCAGGCTGGAGTGCGGTGGCACAATCCTGGCTCACTGCAACCTCCACCTCCCAGGTTCAAGCAATTCTCCTGCCTCAGCCTCCTGAGTAGCTGAGATTACAGGCACGTGCCACCACGCCTGGCTAATTTTTGTATTTTTAGTAGAGACGGGGTTTCACCATGTTGGCCAGGATGGTCTTGATCTCTTGACCTTGTGATCCACCCACCTTGGCCTCCCAAAGTGCTGGGATTAGAGGTGTGAGCCACCATGCCCGGCCCAAGGTTATTATTGATAGGCAAAGACTTACTCCTGCTATTTTAAAAATTATTTTCTGGTTTATATATCCTTTGTTCTTCTCTTCCTCTTTTGTTGTTTAGGTGGTTTTCTGCAGTGCTAAACTTTGATTCCTTTCTCTTTCTCATTTGTGTATTTGAGGTAATTTTTCTTTCTGTGGTTACTAAGGTACTTACATGAAAAATCTTATAATAGACTTTTTAAAGCTGATAACAACTTTGGTCCCGCACAGATACTCACACAAAAAATTTTTGTCCTTCCTCCACAATTTAAAATTTTGTCTTAAGTTACATCATTTTGTGTATTCCTTAACAGTGTATTATACCTGTAGTTATTCATAGCGGAGATCTGAAAGACATATGCCACCATTAGAGTAATGGTGTATTCTGAATTTGATTATGAGTTTACCTCTACCAGTGAGTTTTATACTGTCATATGTTTTCATATGACACACAAAATGATGAAAGTAATTATCATCCTTTTGCTTTTGGTTGAAGTACTTCCATAGCATTTCTTGTAAGGCCAGTCTAGTGGTGATGAATTCCTTCAGCTTTTGTTGTCTGAAATATACTTTATTTCACTTTCATTCAGGGTATAACATTCTTGGGTGGCAGTTTTTGTTTTTGTTTTTTTTTCTTTCAGAACATTGACTATATCATCCCATTCTTTCCTGGGCTTCAAGGTTTCTTCTGAGAAATCTGTTGATAGTGTAATGGAGATTCCCTTATATATGATTTGATGCTTTTCTCTTGCTGTTTTTAAAACTCTGTGTCTTTGAATTTTTACAGTTTGATTACAATGTGCCTCTGAGAGGACCTCTTTGGGTTGAATCTATTTGGGATTCTTTGAGTGCCATGGATCTGGATGTCCATATATCTCTTCCAGGACTTTGGAAGTTTTCAGCTATTATTTCATTAAATAAGCTTTCTGTGCCTTTCTCCATCTCCCTCCGAAAATCTCATAATGTGAGTATCTGTTCTCTTAATGATGTCCCCATAAGTCCTGTCAACTTTCTTCACTCTTTTTCATTCTCTCTTTATTCCCTTTGAATGTGTTATTTCAAAAGAGCTGTCTTCAAATTCAGAAATTCTTTTTATTTTCTGGCTGGGTGCGGTGGCTCACACCTGTAATCCCAGCACTTTGGGAGGCTGAGGCAGGCAGATCACCTGAGGTCAGGAGTTCAGGACCAGACTAGCCAACATGATGAAACCTCCTCTCTACTAAAAATACAAAAATTAGCCAGGCGTGGTGGCAAACACCTGTAATCCAAGATACTCAGGAGGCTGAGGCACGAGAACCGCTTGAACCCAGGAGGTGGAAGTTGCAGTGCAGCAAGATGGCACCACTGCACTCCAGCCTCGGTGACAGAGGGAGACTCTGTCTCAAAAAAAAAATGGAAAATTTTTTTTTTTCTGCTTGATCTAGTCTGCTGTTGAAGCCCTCAATTGTATTTTTTATTTCATTCATTAAATTCTTCAGATCAGATTTCTGTTCTTTTTTAAAAATATCTGTCTCTCTTGAATTTCTCATTCAGATCAAGAATTATTTTGCTTATCTGTATTCTCTTGTGTCTTGCTGAGCTTCCTCAAGATCATTATTTTGAATTTCTTTTCAAGAAATTCATAAATTTCTATCTAACTTTGGGGTCAGTTATTGGAGAATTATCATGTTTCTTTGGTGGTGTCATATTTGTTTGCTTTTTCATGTTTCTTGTGTTCCTATGTTGATTTCTTTGCAGCTGATGGATCAGCTGCCTTTTCCAGTTCTATGCAGTGGCTTTCATAGGGAAAGGCTTTAATGTGCAGATGGGGCCTAAGTATCAGTTGAGTAAGGCACACTGGCTTTGGTTCTGTATGGGTACAGTAGTAGTGTGGTCTTCATGCAGGTTCTTCAGCTGTAATCAATGTCAGCAATGCCTGCAAGTGCCTCAGTGGCCTAGGCTGCAGTAGACTGTGTGGCTGGCATCCTGGGTTGAGTATGGCTCCTTTGTGGATGGAGTATCGGCTTTTTACATGCTGAGGGGATGCAGGGCTGGTCCACTGGCTTGAGCTTGGCTTCCCCACTGAGCAACACTTCCTGTTCCTTTGGAGGCAGGGCACTGCATGGGCCTGGGTGCTAGGGTCATGGCTGTTCTGCTAGGCCTAGGTTCTGAGTAGTTGAGTTCAGGACTGTGCTGCCGCGAGGATGGTTAAGATGGAGCAGCTCTTGGGCAGCTTGTTCCCAAGGAGTAGGGAGCTGTAGCCCCTCAGCTGGGGGATGCTGCACTGCTGTGTGTGAGATGGTGTAGTGATAGCAGAACCTCAGGAATGGAGAGATGCAGTGGTTACTGTCCCCTAGAGCAGTGGGTCCAGGTTGAAAATGGTGCCATGCTGTAGTAGCTTGGGTCACAATGTCGGCTTTTTCTCTGCAGTAATGCAGTCATGTGAATTCGAGGATGCTTTCTAAACTGGGCTCAGGGCTTGAGAGAACTGCAGGATTCTCCAGCAGAAAAGACTACAGGTGTCTGTGGTGGTAATGGGACCTGCTGGCGACCTTCTGCCTTCCTTTTCCCCCAGGCAGAAATCCATCTTGGTTCTGAGCTCATCCTGACTGGGGAGACGGGGTGGCAGAGCAGGGTATTTCACTCCCTTCTCTCTCTGGCCGTCCTGAGTCTCTGTGTGCCACAGGTTCTCTACCACTCCCCTGATATACTCCAGCATTTTTTCTTTTTTTTTTTTTTTTTTTGAGACAGAGTCTCACTTTGCCATCCAGGGTGGAGTACAGTGGTGCAGGCTTGGCTCACTGCAACCTCTGCCTCCCAGGTTCAAGCGATTCTCCTGCCTCAGCCTCCTGAGTAGCTAGGATTACAGGCATGCACCATCACGCCCAGCTAATTATTGCATTTTTAGTAGAGATGGGGTTTCACCATGTTGGCCAGGCCAGTCTCGAACTTCTGACCTCAGGTGATCCACCCGCCTCAGCCTCCCAAAGTGCTGGGATTACAGGCACGAGCCACCATGCCAGGCCTCATTTTCTTTTAGATACTCTAGTCAAAATGTATTCTATTTGTTGTTTTGGTCCTTTTCTGTGGGGGCAACAAGCATTAGGGACCTCTAGTCAGCCATCTGGCTGGTATTACCTGGAGTGTCTTTTCTAGGAAAATTGTCTGTTAGCATATTTTCATGAACAAAAGAAAAAACAATGAAAATAACTGGGTATTATTAAATAAAATCATTTTATCATATGGCTTTCAAAAGACAATGAGTGAAAACTTAAGGCAATACAATAAGTCATATTTATGAGTACGTTCAAGAATTCACAAAAAAGGGTACAATTCTGGCTTCTCTTTAATCATTAAATTTCAGTTTTTACAAATAATTCAGGTTCAGGTTTTGAGGGGGAAACAGTTCTTGTATTATTACATGCTCATTTTTCTTCTGTAAATGACTCTATTGGCTAGATTTACAAACATTGTCACAGAAACAAATTTTTTAAGCCATAGATCACTGCATTTATATTTACAAAAAAGCCATAAACATGCATTTCTCCTTTATTAGGACTTAAATAGATGCTTGAATATTAAGGCAGTGATGATTCTAAAACATAATGAAATTCTAAGTTAAGGCTTTATGTTTCTTTTGAAACCCACACTCATAGGCAACTGTGACCAAACCAAACTCTTACCTACTAGGTTGAGCTCATCTGCCCGGGATATGTTATTTATCCATTACCAACACTTCTTTTGTGTCAAATGTATGGGATAGGAATTAGTAGCAAAACCATCAATTTACTTTAATGAATCATTAGTCCCCTTACTAGGTTTTGAGGATTTAGCTTTCAGTAATACAGGCATGTGCCACAGAAAGGAGCATGTCGTGTGTGTGTGTGTGTGTGTGTGTGTGTGTCAATGTGGAGAACTTACAGGCTGCACTGATTCCTACTTGACTGGAACTTAGCCAACAATTAAGAATCCAGGATCTCCTAAATACAGAAAATCCCCAAAGCATACTTGATCATGCTCCTACCTCAAAACACACAAAGCATTCTTGATTATTGAAGCAATAGGTCTTCACCTTGTTTTCTTTGAAGACTGGTATTATTCACTTAAGAAAAAAAACCAAAATGCAGAATACCATATTTTAGATGAATCTATCCTATAATTGCTAGCCTCAAGGCACAAGTAATATCCTTGCTAGATACTTTTTCTTATTCAAAGAAAAGATAAAGAATGGTGAATGGAAGGAAATTCACTTTAAAATAATTGTAGATTGCACTCCTGCCCTATCAAGCTTAGTAGAAGTGCAAAGTATTGAAACCTAATGGGGGATGCCCTTTTCCCACTTTTTTTCTTGTTTAATTTTAGAGTGACAAAACTCAGATCCAGCTTGTGGATGCACTTGGGGAAACAGCTCCAGAGCCCCCAACTCTGGCCTACTGTGGAGACCAGAAAGGATCTTCATAGGACACACCCCAAGATGAAGTCATAGGCATGTTTCCATAACTCCCTGTTCCCAAGGTTTGGATAACCTACGCTCATTTAGCAGGAACACTACACTACGTGCTTGTTGCTGGCGACTTTTTTTTTTTTTGAGATAGGGTCTTGCCCTGTTACCCAGGTTGGAGTACAGTGCCAAGACCATGGCTCATGGCAGCCCCAATCTCCTCGAGTGATCCTCTCACCTCAGCCTTCCAAGTAGCTGGGATCACAGGCGCATGCCACTGTGCCTGGCTAATTAAAAAAAAAAAAAAATTCCAGAGACACGGTCTTCTTACGTTGCCCAAGCTGGTGTTGAACTCCTGGGCTCAAGTGATCGTCCTGCTTTGGCCTCCCAAAGTGCTGGGATTACAGGGGTAAGCCACCACACCTGGCCCGCTGCTGCTTCCCTAGCCGATAATTTTACATCAATAAACCTCTTGTGTGTAAAGTGCTGTACACTTGTATGCTGGTATCAATAGTAGTTCATGTAGCGAAGAGGTGGCAATGATTACATGAAAACTGCTTCAAAGCTAAAGACAGTTGTAGTTTTCCTTGGTGTCTTTAAATCAGAAAAGAGGTGTCAAAGCTGACGAAGGTCCAGGCAGCAGGAGTCTTAAGAGCATGGAAGCACTACTGCTTAAATCCTACGGTGGCAGCATCCGGTTTCTTTAGTGATTAGTAACAGGAATCAGGAATTTCTAACAAGCAGTGCCAAAGATATTTTAGGTGCAGTTTAAGTATATTACACTTTGACTAAAATGTTTTGAAGATTTGAGAAGTTTGTACCCTTGAACCTGGTAAGCTGGGCTTCAGCTAAATGGCTATATAGGTTTTATAGATATGAAATACATTTTTTTTTTTAACATGAAAAGACTAGCTGTGAAAAGGCAAATGTAGGCAACACAAAAACAATTTAGATCAACATCTCAAACTTTATAATACACTCACATTTATACGCAAATTTCTGTTTACAAGTACAAAAGGCAAAGAAACACAAAGAAGCTAAGCAACTGCATCATCAGCCACATTCAATCGAATTAATACTGTTGTCCCCAGTCCGTAGTTTTAATCCAGAGGAAATGGTAGATGCCATTTCACACATGGACTCCACCGTTAGTTTTAGAAGTTGGAGACTGTGTGTGGTTCCGCAGAAGTCTGGGTTTCTACAGAGCTGAACTGAGACTCCATCGTGTTCCAGGCCAGATCAGCCAGAAGAAAGTCATCCATTGCTGTCTGAGTTTCGTTGCTGGTGAAGAACAAGCTCCCCAGGGTTTCAAACCCAGAACTCATGGTCTGTGTTTCTGTACTGTTCAACTGAACTTTGCTTTCTAGAGCAGGTATATTTTTAGCAGTGGAGACTCCTTCAGTTTGGGTCTCTGTGTCAGATGAATCAGTACTCACGGAAAAGCTGGAGTGTTTCAGAATACTTCCCAGAGGCAGATGAGGGCTACTGTCTAAGAAAAAGTTTAAGTCTGTCTGTGTCTGTGTGTCAAACATCTCAAGGCCTAAGAAGTTAGAATTTCCCCTACACCCATAGGACTGAGCAGAGGTATCTGCGAGTAAGAAGTCCGTTTGAGTCTCTATGTCCAGTGACTCCAAGACTGGCTCGGTGGTCATGGTGCTAAGTTCACTCTCTTCAGTTTGAGTCTGGATATTTGAGGCCGAAAAGAACTCTTCGATATCAAAATCGATTCCGGGGTTCTGGGCTGGGCCAGATGGGAGCTGGGTGTCAGGTCCAGGATTTGTGTCAGACAAAAGACTACGATGATCCAATGTCTGAGCAGGCAGATTACTTGACAAGATGTTTTCCAAATCACTTAATAAATCTATGGTTTGGGTCTGATTATCTGTCATGTTCTGTGAAGGAAGCATACTATTCTGTGCACTGAAATTTATAATTGGTGCAGATTTCTCAATATCTTGATTTAAAGTCTTAGGCTCATTCTGAGGTAACAAACTATGAGTTACTGTCTCTGCTACTAAACTGTTGCTTATAATGTTACCTGTAGCAACATTATATGATGAATGAACACTCTCAAAAATGTCTCCGCACATTCCAGCTTGGTCCATCTGTACATGGTCATCCGTTGGACTTTCTATCCCACTGGTTTGAGTTTCTCTGGAGACCCCACCTGACTGGAAACAGGTGTCCATAAATGCATCAGTCTGAGCAGCTATAGATGAAGTTACCTTAGAGCTGGGCAAAAATGTCTGAGTGTGAACACTAATGGGAAGAGACACTTGAGAATCAAACGACAAATCAGTTTGAGAACAAGACGACACAGAGGAATCAGCAGTGGCCCACTGTGCAGAAGGTATAAAGTTTTGTGAGGCATAAGACAGATCTGTCTGCACGTTGATTGAAGAAATGCTATTCTTTTGACACGTGTTCCCTAGTTCTTGTAAAGGATTAGATGGACTTTTACCAAAGTTCACTTGAACACCAGTACTTATTGGCTCACCAGCAATAGGATTAGCAATTTTGAAAAGAGGTAGGCTCTCCTTAAGAGAGCAAGCCTCTGAATCTAGGCCGAGGATCAGGGTTCCTACTGACAAGGGCATTAAGTGCACAGCCCCTGTGGCAGAGCCCTGATCAACACCTAACACCACAGGCTGGGCTGAGGAGTCGGCTGTAGGCACAAAGACAGGCATGACAGAAAACTGCATCACGGGTAGTTTAACCAAAGCCACTTTGGGCTTTGGTAAAAGCAACTTCTGAGGATATCTCGGTGGTGTTGTAAGAGTCTGCTTGTCAGTGTTAGAGCCACAAGAGTCTTCAAAAGATGGTTCTAGCTTTATTTCTGAAGCTTCTAGTTCTTGAGTGTCTGGTCTAGGGATTGGTTGGTTGTTCAATGATTCAATGGTCTTGTTGGATAACTTCTGGTTTTGTGCACAGTTTTCCATTTTCCTTTTCTTACTAGGTGGGTCCCTGAAAACAATGACAGAGCAAAAAGAAAACCTTAAAATACAACTTTCTTCGACCATGACACTCTATCCTCACTTACAAATGCCATTTCCCCCATCTATAGCAGAGGTCATGTTCAACCCAGACAAGATAAATCCATTCTTTCGCAACTCTGGGAGTTGGTCCTATTATAGCAGGTGAACTTTGAGAAACATGCAAACAGAGAAGGAGGAAACATACCTTTTGTTAAGCTCTAAGTACTAGAACTCAACTCAGATCTTTAAGCCAAAAGAAGCTAAAAGACTTACATAATGCAAGTTTTATCATTTCTAAGGCAGGAAGCTATCACACTAAATGAAAATTTGACCTTTAAATGAAGTACAGTTTCATGATAAAACTTATTTGTTGGCAGTTTGGTTCCCTCTGATAGAAAATTCTGGAAGCTGAGATTTTCAAATGGAAATAACAAGGGACTCTCAAAGAGGGCTGGCAGAAAAAAATAGGGGGAACAATTGGGTCAAGATTTCAGGCCCAGACATGTGTCATTTGCAAGACCTGCTTCCATTTTCAAAAGCTTCCTTCTTCCACGTCACACATTTTCTAAGATTCCTTTTTCCTCCCCACACCACTGGCTCTCCAGGATGTTTCATCTGAAATGCTTCCCATAGCTACTGACTTCTGTGCCATCATTTCTTTCCCTTCACCTGTGTTCTGCAGGTATCTCGTGCCCAGTTCGGTAGATGTGAGACTGCAGTGCTGTTCTACTGGCGTAGGGACAGCCGCATGTGCACCGGAAGGTCTTGCCACAGTCCTCTGCATGTCTTTTCAGGTCCCATTCTGTACCGTACGAATTGCTGCACTTACTACATTTGTGCTTCTTCTCAGCATGCATTTTCATAAAGTGCTAGGAGGAACGCAGAAGGGACTAAGGTGAAAAACAGCAACTGGTCAAAACATTTCAGAAACCATCATACACCCAAATTAATAATGATTTTACACTATTAATATAAATAACATAAAATACAGCAGTCCAAGTCAAAAGAATGTAAAAGCAGGAACATCGCAGTTAATTATATATATGCCTCTTCTTGTTGCTTTTGCTTTGTGAAAAGTGAGGAGATTGTTTTGGAAACATCTATGGTCTCCAGCATTTACACTCTGATCTGTAAGTGCTGCAGGCAGGAAAAAAATGTCTTTACAATGCTCTTCTCAGGACGCCCTCCAGCAGACCCTCAGGGGAACATTTCAGATGCCAATCTCTTCCAGTTCTGAATCACCTCTTGTCCCAGTCACTGGGGCCCTCCCTCCTCTTAAGATTGCGGCTTCCAAAACTCTTCTTTTCCTGGATTCTGCAGGTTCTTATTCCCCTGGGAGAACAGTTCCTTTGTGCCTTTGCGCTGGGCCCTTGGAGGTATGCAGACTCACACAGGAGATCTGCGAGCAAACATTTTCTCATTCTTTGCTGAACTGGTTTACTCTCTCTCTCTGTATTTTAACTCAGTTCTAGACATATTCCCTCCAGACCGTGCCGCTTTTCCCTCCACTTGTGTAACAGCATACTCAGGTTTATACCAACTGGGAGACACGCAGGCATCTCCCCTCACAAGCAGCTGTCTACTCAATTCTGTAGTTATGTCTGCTAAGTAATCAGAATGCACAATAGGTTTTTAGCATCTGTATCTCATCCTCAGAGTAGAGAGTACCTGTTTTACGAGAGAAAACTGAGAAAACGGTCTCTCAGGGCCTCTGGGGCAGCCTTCAATTGGACAGCAGTAGAATTTCGGTCCAGTTTTCAAATCTTTTCTTATTGTTGGATTGACTATGCCATCCTGCAAAAGGAAAATTACTTTAAATTATTATTTCAAAAAAACAACACAACAGGCTGGAGTGGAAACGGAATGACTGAAAACGAGCACATTTTGTGAAATACTTTTAATTAAGAGTTTTTCCATCTAGTGTCAGCAGTAAGAGAAAAAGAGTATGAGTAGATTAAACGAAATGTGGTGAGAATACTAAGCAAGACTCTAAAATTCTGCATTCATTTGACCATTACTGAATTCCTCTTAGTCAATTTACATTCCAGGGAGATGCCCCCCTTGTATGTTCCTAGGCTGTGAAATGCTCCAGAAAACCACGGATTAGGATCACTACAAGATTCCTGCTCATTTCAAACACATCGTCAGTGAAGCTCGGTAATCCTTTCATTATCTTTTCCAACCTCCCTCATGCTCCCCTGTAGTGTGTGCTCTCATCATTGAATGCCTTTTACTATCTCCTGTCCTCTTCTAAGTGCCCCTTCGTTCAAGTCCTCCTATTTATGTGGATTTTGTCATTAGCCTCAATCTAATTTCTAGACCTTCAGTCTCTTTTTCACTCATACTTTATCAGATTCACCTTTCTCAAGTATAGCTTCGATCATGTCATTACCTCCCTCAAACGTTTTCAGCAGCACCCCCGTACTGTTCAAGTCCCAACTTTTTGAGCCTGGGATACTCAAAGTCCCTTACTCCATAGCTTCAAACTACTTTTTCTTCTCTCATTACTTCATTACACCGAAGAGAACGCCTTCTAATGCCCCCCACACCTTTACATGGGCAGAGATTTATTTGTATCTTCTGTTGCCTTTGGGAATGTTTTGAACAGAATAAATGTTCAATAAAAACTGGTAGCATTATACTGAATCTCTTCAGGTAGCCATCTAAGCCAAAACTATCATGCCTGGGTAAGAGACCACTGAAGACAGTCTAAGTGGATGTTAATAACCTCACTGTCATGGCAACAAGCTGACACTGTCCATGCTCCTGTTTTCTGAGAGCCAACACCCCACCACTCACCAGCACAGCAGCCTCCTCCCACCCCCACCCACTGCTTCTGGGGCCTTCTTCCCATTTCTGTCCTCAGAGAATAAGCTCAAGGGTAGGATGGCTCAGATGAGAAATGGCAATGGCACGATAAAATGGAAGTGCAGTGAGAAAGTGGTGTTTTCATTCTGAAGTTCTATATACTTTCAAGAATAAAATGCACTGGACTTTTTGTACTGTATCTTTTGTGCGCATAACTGAAAAGAGAACCTATGAGAGGAAACAATCCAGTAACAAGACAGAAAGAAAATATACAAGAGGAAAAGTAAGACACAGTTGAAGAGTAGAGGGTGAAAAGAAACGATTGTAAGAACTGTAGCAAAAACTAGGAAAAACTGTCTGTCTAGCTACTCTAGCACCACCTGACTGCCTTCCGAGAAAGCATCCAAGAAGGAAACGGTTTGCTTTGTCATCTTATTCTAAATTTAAAATTAGAAATCTTTGTACAGTATAGTCTATAGAGTAACTTGGAACCTTTCCTTTCCTTAAAAAATTTCTGGCAAATCATTAAAAACAAACCTCTGGACTAAAAATAACACAAAATCCTCTAAGCCATGTTTTACAATATAAATGTTGCTTGATAAGAGGTTCTTTAAGTGCCTGCCTGTCCCCTCCACTGCTTTCACACACAAGGAACAAAAGAATCTCTAGGAATAAAAAAATGTACATTTACTTCTGCTCTTCCTGCCCCTGAATCCTCATGGCTTTCATTTCTCCATGAATCCCACCATACACAAGGCTGGGCTAGATTTCTGGATTTCCTTACAGGATATGGAATATGGCCATATACCTTAGGCACCCACATCAAACCAGAAGGCGGCACATACTCTACAGTTTGCAATCCAATTCCTCATTCTCACCCATCCTCGTTGCTCATCATTTATGTTAAGAAGGGAAGATTTGGTTGGGGGTGGGGTGTTTTGGGAAGAAAGATTAGAATAAAATAAGAACCAACAGCAACTAGTGGGGAGGGGAAGAAAATATAATCTAGAAAATATATAAACAATGAAAGAAATTATGCAAGCAGCTGTAACTAAGACCGAAAATTTCCACTGACTATAAGAAAACCTGCCAATAAGATACTCAGGGCAGAAAGTGGATGGAGTCTCTGGTCAACACAGCTCTTAAAACCTAAGATAGCTTCCCAGCCAGCCTTCCTCCCGGTTCCTTGTCCTTACCCCTACCTTCTTCCAGTACTTTGAAAACAGGTATCAACATTGATGTTTGAGGCCTGGCGCAGTGGCTCACTCTTGTAATCCCAGTACTTTGGGAGGCTGAAGCGGGCGGATCACTTGAGGTCAGGAGTTCAAGACCAGCCCGACCAACATGGCGAAACCCTGTTTCTACTAATAAAACAAAAATTAGTCGGGCGTGGTGGAGCATGCCTGTAGTCCCAACTACTCGGGAGGCTGAGGCAAGAGAACTGCTTGAACCCGAGAAGCGGAAGTTGCAGTGAGCCGAGATCATGCCACTGCACTCCAGTCTGGGCGACAGAGTGAGACTGTCTCAAACAAACAAACAAAAAGAACAATGTTTGAGGCAGGGCATGGTGGCAGGAGCCTATAGTCTCAGCTACTGGGGAGGCTAAAGCAGGAGGATCACTTGAGCTCAAGAGCCTGACAGCAACCTGGGTTAACAGAGCAAGACCCTGAAAAGCCTTCTATGTAGTAACCAGACAAGGTACAGATCTCCATACTGGGCACCATCATATAGATGGCTATTGCATCACACAGACAACCTTCATTAAAGGAAGACACCAAGACAGGAGCTGCTCAGGGGCCACTGGGCACTGCGGTTAGAAAGCCAGGACAAGACAGGAAAGTCAGTCTGCTTGTCAAGAAAAAAATGATGGATCTGGTGAGGTATAATTCCTGCTAAAAAAAAGTTTGCCCTGGCTGGGCACAGTGGCTCACACCTGTAATCCCAGCCCTTTAGGAGGCTGAGGCGGGTGGATCACTTGAGGTCAGGAGTTCGAGACCAGCCTGGCCAACATGGTGAAACCCCACCTCTACTAAAAATACAAAAATTAGCTGGGCGTGGTGGTATGCACCTGTAATCCCAGCTACTAGGGAGGCTGAGGCAGGAGACTCGCTTGAACCTGGGAGGCAGAGGTTGCAGTGATCCAAGATGGCGCCACTGCACTCCAGCCTGGGCGACAGAGTGAGACTCTGTCTCAAACAAAACAAAAAAAACCCAACATAATTAGAAACAAACCTACTGTATACTAACCAGTCCTGAAAGGCAAATGGTATCTTTATGTTCAACAGATGTTTACCAGGGTCTTTAAAGAGCTAGAGCTCCTAACAACAACTCCACAGAAAGGAACAACAGAAACTATTAAGAAATAGTTCATCCACCTAAGTTATGATTAAATAAAGGATTTAGGTCGGTCGCGGTGGCTCACACCTGGAATCCCAGCACTTTAAGAGGCTGAGGTGGGTGGATCACCTGAGGGTCAGGAGTTCGAGACCAAGCTGGCCATCATGGTGCAACCTGTCTTTACTAAAAATACAAAAAAAAATTAGCAGGGTGTGGTGGCAGGTGCCTGTAATCCCAGCTACTAGGGAGGCTGAGGCAGGAGAACTGCTTGAACCCCGGAGGCAGAGGTTACAGTGAGCTGAGATGGCGCCACTGCGCTCCAGCCTGGGTGATGGAGTGAGACTCTGTCTCAAAAACAAACAAAAAAACACAAAAACAATAGGGAAGAAAAGGATTTAGTTAAAATTTAGTATGAAAACAAAACAACAGGTTGAAAGCCATTCCCAGAGTTACACTTGAGTGCTGAAAGAAACCCAGAGCTTTTCAGTCCAACAATTCGGCCCCACCTGCACGGTCTTCCTCAGCATACCTCAGGTACATTTCCTGACTGGCTCCCTGATCTTCAATTGAGAACGTTGTTGCATCCCGGTTTAGATGGTGGTAAGAGCAGATCACTCTTCATTGGCGACACATCTGTCCTACTAGAGACTACAACCTCAGAGTTTTCTGCTGTGAAATTCTTATCAGAAGCCTGACTATGGGCAGACAGAACATGCAATATTCTGGGTACTCTAAATTTACTCCTGATCATCAAAAGCTACATATTCGCAGAACTGCTTTCAATGACTTGCGCTTTTGAATTATGTCACTGCTGGCCTAGAGTGGTGGAAGGAAACTTGCCATTGTAATGACTGAGAGATTGTGACTTAACAGGTCCGGGGTGGGGCTGGACATCTGGATTTTTAATAAGCTTGTCACAGATGTGTCCCAAGGTTGAAAATGACTGCCCTGTTTTGCATAACGTGGAGGGTTGTTGAGACTATTGTCATGGTGTATTTACTGTGTCCCCCTCTTAAAGAAGAGCCACAGGGGCAATTTCCCTTAGGTCTCAGTCCTGAGCTGATCTTACCAACACCGTGAAACTGACTGATGGTGTTTAGAGGCAAACCTACCGCTCCTTTAAAACATTTTTTTATTCATAATCGACACACAGTAATTATTCCTACTGATGGGGTGCGGTGTGCAGCATGGATGGACATATACATTGCATAGTGATCAAGTCAGAGTGTTTAACATGTCCTCGACCTCAAACGTATTGTCTCTTGGTGGTGAGAACATTTAAAACCCTCTCTTCTAGTTATTGTGGCACATACAGTCCACTGGGCAGGACCCAAGGGCGGCATTGTGGGTGTCGTGGCAAGCACAGGGCTTTAGAACCAGAGGCCCCGGTTTAAAGCCCCGCATCATCTAGGTTGCATAATCTGTTTCTCATTAATATAATGGAGACGATGCGTCCCTCGCCAAAACGCCGTTAAGAACTCACAGGCAAAAAAGTGTAAAAAGCCTGGGCCGGCGTCCGGCACGACACTCGGGGCCAGGGAGCCAGGGAACCAGGGAACTGGCGCGTACGGCGGACCCGGGGCTCCCAGCTCCTCCTCCCCCCCAGAGGCCGCACCTGCGGCGCCTGCCGCGAGGGTTCGAGAGCCGCCTCCGGCCGGGGAGGGCAGAGGCCGGTGGGGCAGCGGCAGCGGCAGCGCGCAGGGCGCTCGTCCCCCCGAGGCCGGCTTCGCGCGCCGGCGCCGGGCGCTTTGTTGGAGCCAGGCCCGGCCCCCCGGGCCGCCGGCCGCGTCGGGCTCACCTGCAGGCGGTGGCTCTTGACTAGGTGCATGTTGAGCGCGGGGCTGTTGGGCAGGATCTTGCCGCAGCCGCGCACGGTGCACAGGATGTTGGTCCGCACGGCCCGGGACAGCTCGCTCACCGACGGCTGGATCAGCTCCCCCGCCGGCGGCGCGGGGACAGCGGGCTGCTGCGTCGCCCCCGCGGGCCGCGGCCGGCTGCCCCTCAGTCGGGGTCCCGGGGGCACCCACGGGCCCGAGGCGGCGGCGGCGGCTCCTGTCGTGGCCGCCGGGACGGCCCGGGCACCCGCCGCCAGAGCCGCGGACCCCGCCGCCGCCGCCGCCTCCGAGGCCGCCATGGCTCCCGCACGGCCGCCCGGCCCAGTTCGTAGGCCCCGCCCCCGCCGCAGCCACTTCCGGCAGGGGGCGAGGCCGCCAGGCTTGTTAGCATCCGGCGGGCCCAGGCGGCCGCGGCGCCCCCTGCCGGCCGCGGAGGGCGCGCCTTGGAGGGAGAGGACTTTAGGTGACGCCGCCAGGAGGCGAAATTTCACCTGCCAGCAGGTAAAAGGTATTGCCCCGCCTCTCTAATCGATCCATTCTTCCTAGGAAAGTGACTTCAGGCAGTAGTCACATAAAAGAAAAAGCAATACGTTGAGCAATGCGTTTACTTCCCAAAGATTAGAAACAACCCAAATGTCTAGTGGCAGGTGAGGCAGAAGTACACTGATTTCCGCCGTTGTTTATTACCTAGGCCTTACTGGGTACCAGGTGGGTCTGGTGGATGCACTTTTCATGCTGTGTCTCATTTTGTCTTCAAAACGACTGTAGCGGGTATGTACTGTAACTTGCCCCACCTTGTGCAGAGAAGGACATTTAGGCTTATATAAATTAAGTAACTTGACCTAGACCACACTATACAAATGAAAAGATTGTTATTATTGATAGGATTAATCATTTTAAGAAGGCTGGATTTGCTTGCTTCTATTTTAGCTGCTGAAATTAGGATTACTGTTTGGGAGACACTGCAGTTCAGTATACGATTACAAAACTTAATACTTAGACTGGGTAGTTCATGTAAATGGACATAGGAGGCTGGGGTAGACAAAAGGGAGGGGTGAGGACTGCAGTGAAATTGGAAACACATCCTTTATTAAAAGGGGGCAGCTGCTACTCATCTTTGGTATGGCTAGAGTTTTATGTGAAAATTTCCACCTTTTACATACTAGCAGCTATATTCGTTTTCTCTTGCTATTAATAAATTACCACAAACTTACTGCCTTAACACAAATTTATTATCTTCCAGCTCTGGAGGTCAAAAGAAATGAGACTGCTGGGCTAAGATCAAGGTGTCAGCAGGGCTGTATTCCTTCCCAAGGCTCCAGGGGAGAATCTGTTCACTTGCCTTTCCCAGCTTCTAGAGGTTGCCTACATTCCTTGGCTTGCGGACCCTTCCTCCATCTCCAGAATCAGTAACGGTGAGTTGAGTCTTCGTCACATCACATCACTCTGATTTCTTCAGTAGTGATCCCTCTGATTCTTCTATTCTTGAGGCCCCCTGTGATGACATTGGGCCCATTCAAATCATCCAGGATAATTTCTCCAACTGCCAAGTCCCTTTGCCTTGCAAGATAACTGTGATAATGTGAAGTATATATTTGGTCTTTGTCCTGGCATGCAATTCCTAAAATCCTTGGAATCAGCAAATTGGTGTTTTTTTGTATGCTAATTAGTTGACTGATGACTCACAGTCCCTAGGTAGCTTTAGGATGGGACTGGTCACTGGAAAGACCAAGGTAGGATTAGAGGCTTGAGACTTTCAGCCCTCCCCCTCAACCTCTGGGGAGGAGACAGGGGCTGAAGCTTAAGCTGATCAATCATTCCTAGGTAATGAAGCCTCCATAAAATCCCAAAAGAAATGGGTTTGGAGAACTTCCAGATAGCTGAATGCATGGAGTTTCCTGGAGGGAGGCGCACTCAAAGAGGGCATGCGTGGAAGCTCTTGCCCTATGCATCTTTTCATCTGAATCCTTTGTAACATCCCTTGTAAGAAGTCAGTCTATGTGTCTTCCTGAGTTCTGTGAGCTGCCCTAGCAAATTAATTGAACATGAAGAGAGGGTTGTGGGAAATGCAATTTATAGCTGGTTAGTCAGAAGCGCAGGTGAAACAACCTGGGGCTGGCAACTGGCCTCAGAAGTGGGTGGCAGTTTTGTGGGACTGAGCCCTTAACCTATGGGGTCTGATGATATCGCCAGGTAGTTAGTGTTGGAATTGAACTGGAGCATACCCAGCTGGTATCTGCTGTAGAACTGATTGCTTATGTCAACCAAGAAGAGGTGAAAGGGCCAGGCATGGTGGCTCACGCCTGTAATCCCAGCACTTTGGGTGGCCGAGGCAGGGCGGATCACGAGGTCAAGAGATCGAGACCATCCTGGCCAACATGGTGAAACTCTGTCTCTACTAAAAATACAAAAATTAGCCGGGTGTGGTGCGCACGCCTGTAATCCCAGCTACTCAGGAGGCTGAGGCAGGAGAATCGCTTGAACCCAGGAGACGGAGGTTGTGGTGAGCCAAGATCGCACCACTGTACTCCAGCCTGGTGACAGAGCAAGACTGTCTCAAAAAAAAAAAAAAAAAAAAGAAGAGGTGAAAGACCACACTGCAAAGCAGTAAGACAAGGCATTTTTTTTTAATTAAAAAAAAAAAAAAGAAAAGAGACAGGGTCTCGCCATTTTGGCCAGCTTGGGGTCAAGTGATCCACCTGCCTCGGCCTCCGAAAGTGCTGGGATTATAGATGCAAGTTACCACGTCCAGCCAAACAAGGCATTTTGATTGGGGTCTTAGAAATTACAATTTGGGAGACACAGATTCACCTAGAAGCCAAATGGGGTTCTGAAAAGAGGGAGAGAAGTAGATGTTTTTAAAAGAAAGCAGAGGGTTAATACACAAATTGTTTTGAAAGAATTATCATTGGTGGAGGTGGCTGGCTTAGTACATGAATCCATAGTTGATTGGTTGCCGCTGTTCAGGAGTTGTAGCACTGGTGAAATTCAGTTTTCCAGGATGTAGTGGTTATTGCAGTTTTGGCCCAGTTCAAAGCTTCAAGGCAAGTTCATATTTTTTGTTTTTGTGTTTTGCAAGTTGCAGATTGTGCAGGCAGTCCTTCTTAGAATGGCTTCCCAACTCCATTTTAGAGCTCTGAACCAAAGTGATGCCATTTTGTGTATCACTTTTCACATTTTCCTTTTTTGATCAAGATCCGAGGCAGCATAGCTGATTAATCATTGGTTGGTTGGCCACAGATTAGTTATCTGTTCCCCTTAGAGCTAGAAGCACCTGTGTCTAGAGTGTTATGTCCCACAAAAAGTGGTTGTCAAGTCAGTGCACATCCAAGCTTCCAAGATTGGTCAAATTTGAGTAACAAAGGGTCCATTTTAACAAGGAGGCCTGCATTAGTCTATAGCAGTTAGCTGTATATCAGGAGAGACATACATTTGATTAACCATTTAAATGTCTAAATGTTGTGACATCATGATTTTAACATCTTGGATACAATGGGACAAACAGAAGGTACAAGTCCTTCTGCCAGCTGCTCGGGTCCTGGGTCCCTTGACTGTGGCTTCCAGAATAGCAGAGCAGCTTTTGGATCCTGCAAACAAGTGCTAAAAAAAAAAAAACACTGAAAATCAACTGATAAAAGACGGATTAATAGGAGAAAAGACATACAAGTTTTATTAACGTGCCTGGTGGGGAGGGGAGGCATCAGAGTGATGATTCCCCAACCCCCAATGGGGTGTGGACGCTTATATACCCTTTTTCATAGGAGAGTAAGGAGATGGGGAACGTGTGTAATTCTTCTGAGGAGCAGTAAATTATTATAAGGGAGAGTAAATGGACCAGGGAGACAGAAATTAACTTGTAAATGATTCTCTTTGGAATCTGAATGAGCCTGAGGGGCAGGCCTTATGAAAAGGTCCATCCATATGTGGCTCTATTCCTCAGTCTTCATTTTTTGATAGATAATGAGATTTGAAGGACAGAATAGAAGGCAACTGTGTTTCTTTTAGTAAGAAGCTTTCTTAGTCAGACAAGGAAATTCCAGAGGGAGTTCCTCTCTGCCCTTGGTTGAGGCAAGAATAAGACAAGGTTGGAGGGACCTTGACTCTCAAGTGTATTTCTCAGGCCTTTCCATTTTCAAAAGCATCCAGCATGCCAAAGTACCATCATTTTCTGTGCCTCAATATTCCCTAGTCTGAAATTTCCCTAGTAGTTTCACAAATGAAACAGTGAGTTGGCCATGAAGAGAAAAATCAAGTTAAATAGAATTTTGGCTGGGCACTGAGGCTCACACCTGTAATCCCAGCACTTTGGGAGGCCGAGGCGGCAGGATCACTTGAGGTCAGGAGTTTGAGACCAGTCTGACCAACATGGTGAAACCCTGTCTCTACTAAAAATACAAAAATTAGCTGGGCATGGTGGCACGTGCCTGTAATCCCAGCTACTGGACAGCTGGCAACCAAGGACGTTGGATAAAGAACCTCAACCAAGGTAGGGGGTTAAGGAATGAGACAACTCGTAAACAGAATCCGTGGCCATGGGAGAGGTGTGGAACACAAGGGGTTCCTCCTGCAGGAACTGTGCTCGAATCCGTGGCCGCACCAGAACAAAGAAGGGAGTTGCTTTTTTGTCCCACTCAATTCTGACACCATTTAATGTCATCCAAGGGGCAAAAGACCACACTGCAAAGCAGCAAGACAAGGTGTTTTTATTGAGGTCTTAGGAATTGCAATTTGGGAGACAGATTCAGCTAGAAGCCACTTGTGTTCTGAAGAGAGAGGGTAGAGGAGGGGTTTTTAAAAAAAGCTGAGGGTGATTAGACAAGTTGACAAGTTGTTTTGAAAGAGGCAACTGGCTTAGTACAAAAATCCATAGTTTATTGGTTGGTGCTGTTGAGGAGTTGTAGTGCTGGTGAAATAAAATTTTCCAGGATGCAGTGGTCATCGCAATTTGGCCCAATTCAAAGGTTCAAGGTAAGCTCCTGTATTGTTTTTTTTTTGGAGCTTTTAATTTTTTTTCAAGTTGCAGGTCATGTAGGGAGTCCTTTTTAGAATGGCTTCCTCCCTCCATTTTAGAGCTCTGAACCAAAGTGATGTCATTTATTTTATTTTATTTATTTATTTTTTAAGATGGAGTCTCACTCTGTCACCTAGGCTGGAGTGCAGTGGTGCAGTCTCGGCTCACTGCAACCTATGTCTCCCGGGTTCAAGCGATTCTCCTGCCTCAGCCTCCTAAGTAGCTGGGATTACAGGTGCACACCACCAGGCCCAGCTAATTTTTGTATTTTTAGTAGAGTCGGGGTTCACCTTCACCATGTTGCTAAGGCTAGTCTCAAACTCTTGACCTTGTGACCCACCTGCCTTGGCCTCTGAAAGTGCTGGGATTATAGGCGTGAGCCACCATGCCTGGCCTTTATTTTATTTTTTGAGGCAGAGTTTCACTCTGTCACCCAGGCTAGAGTGCAGTGGCATGATCTTGGCTCACTGCAACCTCTGCCTCCCCGGTTCAACCAGTTCTCCTGCCTCAGCCTCTCGAATAGCTGGGATTACAGGCGGCTGCCACTACCCCCAACTAATTTTTCTATTTTTAGTAGAGACAAGGTTTTGCCATGTTGGCTAGGCTGGTCTCGAACTCCTGACCTCGGGTGATCTGCCCACCTCGGCTTCCCAAAGTGCTAGGATTACAGGCGTGAGCCACTACACCCGGCCCAGAGTGAAGTCATTTTTCTATATCATGTTTCACACTTGCTTAATGTGTGGGGGAAACCCCCTCCCCCACATATCTGGTATCAGAAGTGTGAGAGTACACTAGGAGAAACCTCCTGAAGTGCTGGGATTACAAGTGTGAGCCACCATGCCCAGTCTAATGTGTTTCTGTAACTCCAAATCCTCTCTGAAACAAGATAAAGAATAGATTTTAAAATGTTTAAAAAAGACATGCTGGCGGGCGTGGTAGCTCATGCCTGTGATATGGTTTGGCTGTGTCTCCACACAAGTGTCACCTTGAATTGTAATAACCCCCATGTGACAAGGGCAGGGCCAGGTGGAGATACTTGAGTCATGGGAACGATTTCCCCCATACTATTCTCATGGTAGTGAATAAGTTTCATGAGCTCTGGTGGTTTTATAAATGGGAGTTTCCCTGCACAAGCTCTCTTGCCTGCCGCCATGTAAGACATGACTTTGCTTCTCATTTGCCTTCCACCATGATTGTGAGGCCTCCCTGGCCACGTGGAAATGTGCGTCAGTTAAGCCTCTTTCCTTTGTGAATTACCCAGTCTTAGGTATCTTTATTAGCAGCATGAGAATAGACTAATACACTCCTATAATCCCAGCATTTTAGGAGGCTAAAATGGGCAGATTGCTTGAGCCCAGGAGTTTGAGATCAGCCTGGGCAACATGGAGAAACCCTGTCTCTACTAAAAATACAAAAATTAGCTGGGCATGGTGGTGCAGGCCTGTAGTCCCAGCTACTCAGAGGCTGAGGCAGGAGAATCTCTTCAACCCAGGAGGCAGAGGTTGCAGGGAGCCAAGATTGTGCCATTGCACTCCAGCCTGGGCGATAGAAGGAGACTTGTCTCAAAAAACAAAAAACAAACAAAAAAAAAATTAGCTGGGCAGGATGGAGCGCGTCTGTAATCCCAGCTATTCGGGAGGCTGAGGTGGAAGGATCACTTGAGCCTGGGAGGTCCAGGCTGCAGTGAGCCATGATCATGCCACTGCACTCCAGCTTGGGTGACACAGTGAGACCCTGTCTCAATAAATAAATAAAGAAATAAAAAATTAGAAAGGAAAAAATTTTTAAAAAGATAGGGTATTTAGTGATGATCACTGAAGTACTTTGATCAAAATTAACTGATGTGCCAGTTTTTTGACACCTTTATTCATAAGTCAATATATTTGTCAGTTTGAATGTTATACACATGATAAAATAGATTATGAGAAGTATCATATTTACAATAAGAACACTATTTTATATAACTGACTCACCAAATATGCAACCTCTTGCAACAATAACAGAATGGACTCAACTCCATCCTTTGAATAGACCAATTTCATGATTCTCCTAAAAAGTTTTGAGTTGAGTATAGTTCCTTGTTGCTTCTCTCTGTGATCCAGAGCTTAAGAATCAATCCCTGGAAACCAGCCACTGGAACCAGACCTCTCCAGAATTGAGAAGAGACAGCCATAGAAAAAAGGACACAAACCCAAAAGTCTTGAGCGCTGTGCCATATGCTTGATTTCAGAGCATTCAGGCACTCAAGGTCAAGTGTGGGGCCATATATATATATGTCCTGTCATCTCAAATGCCACAACGGCTACAGTTAGCAGGATATCAGAGAGAGGAGGCATATCGTGGAGGAATGAATCAGTCCCAACAATTATGTGAGCATTTCTAAAAATTCAATACCAAGGATTCTTGAAAATACAAGTTTACAGACGGAAGCTATACAGCTAGCCATGAACTGAAGTGCATGTGCAATATCAAGAAGGAGGAGCTGTGCTTAAGAAACCACGCACGTCTTATTTATCTCTAATTTTAAAATAATTCATTCTCTTGTTGGGTATGCAAGTGAGCAGTGGAGAAAGTGGAGCATCTGCAATACCTGAAATTAAAAAAAAAAAAAAGGGAAAAAGAAAATTAAAAGTCATCACAGGAGGATGGATTTGAGTCAGTTTAAAAATGGCTGAGATTAGAGGGTGGATCATAGATGCCCCTCCTCCCTATTAAGTACAGAAGCAGAAGATGCAAGAGAGAGCAGGATGGGCTAGCAGACTAGGGTGATGGGTGAGCTCAGAAGTAATTAGCAGATTATAAGGATGGAATGGAGGCATGTTGTTAATTTTTCTAGCTTATAGAGTAAGCTGACCACTCACCCGCTGGTGCTAAGGATTTCAATGCTTCCAGAAGATGTGGGCTAGAGAACTTTATTAGGCATCGGAGGGGTTCTTCCCTCTCAGCCAAGATGCTCCCATTTAAACCACTTTTGAATTTCGTTTCAAGCTGTCAACAAACATTTATAAATGACTATTAAACATATTGTATAAATACGAATGGTAAAATATAATGAAATCATAATGATACGTTTCATTAATTCTTGCCATTAAGAAATACAGGAATTAACAGGGGTGGGGACCATTTAATCTGCTAACTGCAAACATAGAGGGCAGGTCGGGCAAAGTGGCTCATGCCTGTAATCTCAGCACTTTGGGAAGCCAAGGCGAGTGGATCACTTGAGGTTAGGAGTTTGAGACCAGCCTGGCCAACATGGTGAAACCCCGTCTTAACTAAAAATACAATAATTAGCTGGGTATGGTGGTGGGCACCTGTAATTCCAGCTACCCAGGAGGCCAAGGCATGAGAATTGCTTGAACCCAGGAGGCGGAGGCTGCAGTGAGCCAAGATGGTGCCACTGCACTCCAGCCTGGGCAACAGAGTGAAACTGCATCTCAGAAAAAAACAAAACAAAACATAGAGGGCAACTGGTGTATCAAACAACATCCAAGGCAAAATGCCAGCATGCACAGTGCCTGCTACATGGGAGATACTGACTGTCAGTTCCACCCTCAGGTGCCCTTTACAGTTTGCATTCTTAATGGAAAATTAGTGCTATCTTTTGCAATCTGTAACTTCAATGTAAAAATACCACATTTTTTTTGAGTCACACTGAGATTTCTTTCTTTGTTTCTTTTTTGAGACAGAGTCTTACTTTGTTGCCCAAGTTGGAGTGGTACGAACATGGCTCATTGCAGCCTCGACCTCCCTGGCTCAAGCCATTCTCCCGCTTCAGTGCAAGTAGCTGGGACCACAGCCACATGCCACCACACCTTGTATTTTTGAATTTTTGTAGACACAGGGTTTTGCTGTGTCGCCCAGGCTGGTCTCAGTCTCCTGGGTTCAAGGGATCCGCCCGCCTCAGCCTCCCAAAGTGCTGGGATTATAGGTGTGAGCCACTGTGCCCAACTGAGATATCTTTTTAACTTCTAATTATGGAAGATTTTAAACATATACAAAAGTAAGGAGCACGGTATGAGCCCCATGTGCACATCACCCAGGTAAAATAATTATCAACTTATGGCTGGGCGCAGTGGCTCACGTCTGTAATCCCAACACCTTGGGAGGCCGAGGCAAGGTGGATCACCTGAGGCCAGCCGTTCGAGACCAGTCTGGCCAACACGATGAAACCCCGTCTCTACTAAAACTCCAAAAAAAAAAATTAGCCAGGTGAGGTGGCAGGTGCCTGTAATCCCAGCTACTCGGGAGGCTGAGGCAGGAGAATTGCTTGAACCTGGGAGGCAGAGGTTGCAGTGAGCCATCACGCCCAGCCCAGATTCATAATTTCTAAAGGTCTCTTTTGCTAACAGAGGAACTTATAAATACAATAAAGAGGTCTATTTAATTCATAAATTTATTACATGAAATTTAAGTGACAAGTGAAAAAGGAACAGTTTCTTAGATCTGTTTTCCACTTAAGGTTTTTGTTCTTTTTAAACAATGTTGATATCTTGTACTTAATATTTATTACGACATCTTACCTTATATTGTGCAAATTCTAGTTGTGGTTGAGGATAATCTCCAAATGTTTCTTGAGTTATTCGTTGGACTCTCTCTTTTTCTACTATGTTTTCATGAATGATCCTTGAATCCACTATGGGTGGAAGATTTCAAATAAAACAGCCGTTAGGAATATATTTCATCCTTAAATTATCCTCCTTTCATTCCTAACCCTTCGAATTGTTTGTATAATTTTAAAATAATATTTACTGCTTCTTCTCTTGGCTGTAATAATTTCTTAGTGTAGGGAAGTTTCTTAGGGTAGTGAAGTACAGGTTGATAAAAGAGAAAATAAAAATCATAATTCTACCACCCAGAGATAAGCACTGTTAGCATTTTAGTATATTTTTGCCTAGCTCTTTTTACAGTGAATAAAAATAAAGATGCATATATGTGTATATATATATACACACACATATATATACATATATATACACACACATATATATACACATATATATACACATATATATATACATATATATATACACACATATATATACATATATATATACACACACATATATATACACACACACACACACACACATATATATATATATATATCTCCATGGCACCCAGCCTATATATGTATTTTTTTTAAGAGATGGGGTCTCGGCTGGGCACGGTGGCTCACACCTGTAATCCCAGCACTTCAGGAGGCTGAGGCGGGAGGATCACTTGAGGTCAGAAGTTCCAGACCAGCCTGGCCAACATAGTGAAATCCCATGTCTACTAAAAATACAAAAATTAGCCAGGTGTGGTGGCAGGCGCCTGTAGTCCCAGATAGTTGGGAGGCTGAGGAAAGAGAATCGCTTGAACCTGGGAAGCAGAGGTTGCAGTGAGCTGAAATCATGCTACTGCATTCCAGCCTAGGAAATAGAGTGAGACTCTGTCTTAAAAAAAAAAAAAAAAAAAAAAAAAAAAAGAGAGACAGGGTCTCACTATGTTGCCCAGTCTGGACTGGATCTCTTGGGCTCGTGATCTTCCCTCCTCAACCTCCCAAGTAGCCGGGACCACAGATGCATAACATTGTTCCTAGCCTCACCTATGTATTTTTAAAACTGGAATCGTAAGATACACACAATTTTATATCCTGATTTCTTTACCTAAGATGAGATCAACAGCAGTTCCTATGACACTGGAAAATCATAAAAGTGTTTAGTTTATAACAGTGGCACTGTTTCATTTCATTGCCAAATCTCTACTAAGAGATAGGAAAGTTTTCATTTTTTTATGAATTTTTATTTTACCCCACCACTTTTGTAAATTTACTTTAGTAGTTCTGTACTCTTTTCTCTTGGGTTTTCTAGTGAGAGACTTCAGACATCTGTGAGTAGCAATACAGTCATGATTCTCATTGTTCTAGAAGTTTATCCAGCGCATTAAGAGCATGGGCTCCAGATCCAGACGTACCTGGATTTTACTCCCAGTTTTGCCACTCCTTAGCTGTGTGACTTTGCCTAGAGAGTTACCATACCTCCCTGAAACCCAGTTTCCTGATGAATGGCGCTTATTCACAGGACTACTGTGAAGATTAAGGAAAGAATACATATAAACATCTTAGTGTGGTGCCTGGCACACAAGAAATGCTCAACAACTATTAGCTAACTTTTGTTTTTGTAATTATTGTTTTGTTGTTTATTGTTATTCTAGTAAATTCTAAAGGAGAACTATGGTAGATTAGCTTTCCTCCTTCAACAGATATTTACTTTTCAATTTTTCTGAAAACAATAAAAGTTTTAAATTAGGATCCTACTATACACGTTTTACCAAGTGAAAGAAATCTATAAGGGAATGATGCATTTCCAAAATTCAGTTTCATATTAACACACACGTACTATTTATATCTAGTCCAAGGCTTCTTTCCTGTAGAGGTGTCGTAGAGTTGTGAGTTTCAAAGGTCTAGGGAAAAAAAAGTGAATATTTTACTAATCTTGACATCTTGAAGTACAGATATTAATTTTTTTTTTAGTATATTAAAGTATGTCAAATGTTTATTTTTTTCCAACAGAAAGATCCAAAGCCATATCCTGGCTGAGTTGGCTGAGTTGAGCAGGACACTGACAAGGAGGCTGCTGAGCCTGCAACTCGACTGTTCTGTTTGAGGAGCTCTGTGCTTTATCATAGAAATGGATCTGGTGAGTGCAGAGCCCAGGGAATCTACGGAAGCATTTGCACTGTGGTATTTCAGCGTCGTCAGTGCTCAATCTTCATAACCCTAAAAAACTTACTGAGATTGGAAAAATAACTTTCCTACTGTAAGTCTGAATCTCTTGAACCCCTTCTCCTACCTTCACCCACTGAATCCATTGTTTTTATAGTTCTGTGCTTGACAACGTGGATTTTCGTAAGAATGCCACTGTCTTTTTTTTTTTTTTAGACAATATCTCAGTCTGTTGCTCGGGCTGGAGTGAGTGGCATGATCATGGCTCACTGCAGCCTCAGTCTCCCTGGGCTTTGGAGATCCTCCTAACTCAGCCTCCCAGGTAGCTGGGACTATAGGCATGCGGCACCACACCTGGCTACTTTTTTTTTTGAGACAGAGTCTCACTCTGTCGCCCAGGCTGGAGTGCAGTGGCACTATCTCCACTCACTGCAAGCTCTGCCTCCCGGTTTCATGCCATTCTCCTGCCTCAGCCTCCCAAGTAGCTGGGACTACAGGCACCCGCCACCATGCCTGGCTAATTTTTTTGTATTTTTAGTAGAGACAAGGTTTCGCCGTGTTAGCAAGGATGGTCTTGATCTCCTGACTTTGTGATCCGCCCGCCTCGGACTCCCAAAGTGCTGGGATTACAGGTGTGAGCCACCGCGCCCGGCATGCCTGGTTATTTGTTGTATTTTTTGTAGAGACGGGTTTTCGCCATATTGCCCAAGCTGGTCTTGAACTCCTGGGCTCAAGGGATTTGCCCTTCTTGGCCTCCCAAAGAGCTAGGGTTACAGGCATGAGCCATGGTGCCTGGCCACTACTGTCGTATTATAGCAGAACAGTTTATATCAATTTGGTGAGAGGGTAGTAGGTAGGAGGGGATGGCTAGAGAAGAAAATCATGATCTAAGTTTAAAAAATATATATTATTTATTTTTTGTTTTGTAGAGATGTGGTCTCCCTATGCTGCCCAGGCTCATCTCAAACTCCTGGGCTCAAGCATTCCTCCCACCTTGGCCTCCTAAAGTGCTGGGATCATAGGCGTGAACCACTGTGCCTGGCCTCATGATATAACTTCTTAATGTTAGTTTTTCCTTAAAGAGGGACTGCTTGCAGAGAGCTGTCACTTCTTTCTGCTTAGAACAGATGAAAATACAGAAGTATAACATCTCTAGTGGCTCAAAGATATACACAGAGCATTAACAATCCACTCACAGGAGTGTCAACACATATGCAGACATCTGCCATGCATAGTTTGAAAAAACACCCCTGCATCTGTAAGGACAGATCTGTATTTGTCATTAGAGGGGAACATTACATTCAAATTATTTTAACAAATGAACTTTGGGATTTAAAAAACCACTGCTTTTCCCTTTAATTCCAGTGCCTGTATAACCTGCTTGAGTGATGGGACAAAAAGTTAATTCTACTTCTCTGTTGTTTCATAGAATAATATATTTAGCTTCAAAAGATAATGTGAAGTTTCTCTAAAGAGAAAACAAATTCTAGTGTGATCAGGTGATTTGGAAGCTGAGATCTACAACACAGACTCCAGTGACTAATGAGTGGTATAAAACACAATACAATTATAAAAAGATGACTGTGAGGAATTTTTATTTTCCTTTCATGTTCACTAATTGCAAGCTTTCTTCATTTCGGTAATATCTAAAATGATCTCCTCTTGTCGGAGGTAGATTTTCCCAGTAGCTTCTAACTCCTGTGTCAAAGAGAAAATAAAGATTTACCTTTAAAGAGAGTCACTGATTGGCTCACCTGATTATACTGTTTAAAAACAATAGCCTTAAGAGAGTCCAGATACCGACTTCTCAGGTCCATTTTCACAATCTGATGGTGTTTGCTAGCAATTGTCAGCGCCTTGAAATGAAAATTTGCAAGACTATTACTAGGATTACTGCCTCTGTGTTTATAATACTTGTCAAAGTAAAATGTAAGAGCTGCAATTAGGGAATAGTTTCCCCGTAAGTGTAAAAAGAAGTCTAGAAAAACATCTGATAGCCTGTTACTGAGCTTCAAAAACAAAGTGGTTAATGGCATTAATACTCTGATAAATGCAGTCTTTTGTATCATTTCTTAGAAAAGCGATCCTGTTTAAAGTTAGGAGTTACTAATAAATCAAGTTCAGACTTTGGAATAAACAATAAATACTCAAAATGTTACTGTTTTTGAATATCAGTCATCTAATACCATAATGATATTGCCATACAAAAACGCAGATATGTATGCTTTTTGGCAAATACTGAAGAAATAAGTGTGTATTGAATACAGCTCATAAGAGTTTCCTGTCATTAGGGGAAAAGAAGACTGAAACAGAATTACTATGATAGGATAAGATGTTTAACCTGATCTAGAGAACAGACAAGTTTGCCTTAAGATACACAATAGAAATGAACATTAGTCCGCGCAGTGGCTCACGGCTGTAATCCCAGCGCTTTGGCAGGCCAAGGCAGGTGGATCACTTGAAGTCGGGAGTTTGAGACCAGCCTGGGCAACATGGTGAAACCCCACCTCCACTAAAAATAGAAAAATAAGTTAGCCAGGCATAGTGGTGAGTGCTTGTAGTCCCAGCTACTTGGGAGGCTGAGGCAGGAGAATCGCTTGAACCTTGGGGGTGGAGGGTGCAGTGAGCCAAGATCGCCCCACTGCACCCCACCCTGGGTGACAGAGTGAGACCCTGTCTCAAAAAAAAAAAAAGAACATTAGCCTTTGGGGTAATGTTTAAACTACCTGTGGCAAGGTGTACTCACCTGGCTATAAGTGGATGAAAGACCACTATGTATCATGGAGCAGGAGACCCCAAATGTAAAGAAGTGTTTTAAGGAAATAGAAGTGAGTAGCAGTCTTTGCCATTTCAATAAACCACCAAAAAACTTAAATGACAAGCAAGTAGTCATTTACTACCTAGGGCTCGCCTGGTCACAACAGTGGAGTCCTTGGTACTCCACACCGCACCTCCACCCCACTCTGCTGTGGAGTGACAGGACATGATGCAGCCAGGATGGTGGAGCTGCTCGCCTACAACCAGCTGATGTGGCAGCTCTGGAACCAATTGAAGGTGCCACTGAGGTTGTGAATGCTAACAGTGGTAGCAGCAAGTGCCAGGCCAATTTAGGGAGAACTAACTTTGGGGAAAGATGCTAGGAAGCCTGTGATATTAAAGGCAGAACCATAAAGAGAAGCAGGCTCGGAACAGAGGCTACATCTTATGTGAAAGCAGTCTCCTTGTGTATGGAATGTGGGAGAAATGGTTACAAATGAAAATAATGTTCATTAATAAGCAAATTATACAATTATGAAAAAGTAATGAGGTATATTCATTTGTAACCACGTGGAAATGTTATGTTAATTTTTTTTTTTTTTTAAGACGGAGTTTCTTTCTCGTTGCCCAGGCTGGAGTGCAATGGTGCGATATGGGCTCACTGCAACCTCTGCCTCCCGGGTTCAAGCAATTCTCCTGCCTCAGCCTCCCAAGTAACTGGGATTACAGGTGCCCACCACCACGCCTGGCTAATTTTTTTGTATTTTTAGTAGAGACAGGGTTTTACCATGTTGGCCAGGCTGGTCTCAAACTCCTGACTTCAGGTGATCCACCTGCCTCGGCCTCCCAAAGTATTGGGATTACAGACATGAGCACCGCGCCTGGCCTACCCTGGCTTTTCTAATAACCATCTTGTCAAAGGAAATAGCAAACTTTGACAGTAGTTATTTTGAACGAACGGAATAGGGAAAAGGGGTATGAAGCTTTGAAGACTTTTTATCTTTAGAGACTTCTGTATCGGTTGCATTTTTTTATATTAAGTATGCATTATTTCTAGATCAAAAAACAATAAAATATAGCTCCAATCTAATATCTTATGCCATGTTCCCATCTGCAGATAACAACACTCTGTTTCTTATTTTAGGAGAACAAGAATTACATGTGGTATTCTATATCTTTTTTTTGTTTTTTTAGAGGTGGGGTGTTGCTTTGTCTTGTGATCGCAGCTCACGGCAGCCTTGGACTCGTGGGCACGAGCAATCCTCCCACTTCAGCCTCCCAAGTAGCTGGGACCACAGGTACATGCCACTGCACCTGGCCTAGTATTCTCTATCAAATACTTATTCAACAGTTAAAATCTATATAGACCTTTGAGATAGGATAATAAAATATTATAGCTTGTAATAATTTTTTCCATACCTGACCCAGAAGCGGTGTATTGCGCCTCAGCATGGAGGAGGACGTGAAGGCGTACGGAGTCTGGGAGTAGTACACCACGTAGGTAGGTTTGTACTGGTTTGGCTTTGTGTACTGTGTTCCCCAGGCAATTCGAATCCAGACTGCATTCTCCTCAGTTTCTCTGAAGCTGACTGTCACCTTATTAAAGAAAAAAAAAAAAGGCTTAATTTCCTAATTAAAATTTCACTGTGGCACCAACTCCAGGTGCTTATTAGGGGTGAACAATGATGTCCCTATACTCTTGTATGCAGGTTGAGACCTGGCAGTCTTTTCTGCTTTTCATGAGTATTTTGAGAATCTTTGGGAAAACATTTTGTGATTTTAAAAAAAAAAAATCCTTTTCAGTTCTTTTTTTTTTTTTGAGACTAGGTCTTGCTCAGTTGCTCAGGCTGGAGTGCTGTGGCATGATCATAGCCTGCTCACGGCAGCCTCAACTTCCTGGGCTCAAGCAATCCCATCTCAGCCTCCCTAGTAGCTGAGACCACAGGCACGTGCCATCATGCCTGGCTAATTTTTTTAAAAAAGTTTTTTTTTGTAGAGGTGATTGTTTTTTCAATAATTTCTTGGGCTTGTCCTGAAAACTGTTCCTCCTTACGTAAGAATTTATGAGGTAAGGCAGCCTTACAAATGAGATACTTGTTTTATAATGAAGCCTTCTTAGCATCTAACCCAGACCTAGCACACGCTATAAACTTTAACAGTAAGATTTCTATGTAATTAGGCTGGGTGTTGTGGCTTATGCCTGTAATCCTAGCACTTTGGGAGGCTGAGGTAGGAGGATCGCTTGAGCCCAGGAGTTTTGAGACCAACCTGGACAACATAGTGAAACTCAGTATCTACCGGAAAAAAAAAAAAAAGCCAGGCACGGTGACATGTGCCTATAGTCCCAGCTACTCAAGAGGCTGAGGTGGGAGGATGGCTTGAGCCTGGGAGGTCTAGACTATAGTGAGCCGAGATCATGTCAGTGCATTCCAGCCTGGGCAACAGAGTGAGACCACGTTTCCAAAAAAAAACAAAAACAAAACAAAAAGAAGAAGAAAAAGAAGATTTCTATGTCATAATGGGCTTAAAGAAGATTTCTATGTAATAATGGGCTTGAAAATATACTATTCCTAATGCTCTTATGCATTTAGCTCAGAAGCTAAAAACTCCTCTAAAAGAATGTTACATGGCAAGACCAGAGGTACTACCTTGAATCCACTTCATGGATAAAATACAGGCCTTTCCAAACTTTTAAATATGGTTGCCAATTGGTCTGGAATTTAATAGGCTGCTCCTGGATTATCAGCTCCCCTCTGATTCAGCTTCCCTTTAAAGCTCTGAGCCTAGAAAGGAGGGACTTGAGTGAGATGCACTCAGCTTGCCCACGTCTCTGTTTCCTCCCTCTGAGATCTTGTTCTAGGAAAAGTGGGTTGTTACAGTGGCACTAGCAAATTCTGCTCATTCTTTAGCAGCTTTTCCAAATTCCCTCAGTGCAGGAGACAAGAAAGTCTCCCCAGTCCAGGGTATGGCGGCACACAGCTGTCTGACTTTCCTGAGTGAGCATCATAGAGCTTGGACCCAGTCACATGCTCAGTGGGCCTCTACTGCCTTGAATGGAAGATTGTCTTATTCTGAATAGCTTCTTTGTTTTACATTAAAAAAGCAAAAACATCTGTAAAATCAAGGGTGCTTCAGGTTTGCACTGACTATTACTGGAACTACTAGCTACATGTGGCTATTTAATGTAAAAAATCATTGAAGTTTAAAAAGATTAAAAATTCAGGCTGGGTGCGGTGGCTCACACCTGTAATCCCAGCACTTTGGGAGGCCGAGGCAGGCAGATCATCTGAGGTTAGGAGTTCGAGACCAGCCTGGTCAACATGGAGAAACCCCATCACTACTAAAAATACAAAAATTAGCTGGGCATGGTGGTGCGTGCTTGTAGTCCCAGCTACTCGGGAGGCAGAGGCAGAAGAATTGCTTGAACCCAGGAGGCAGTTGCAGTGAGCCGAGATCTCGCCACTGCACTCCAGCCTGGGCAACAGAGTAAGACTCTGTCTCAAGGAAAGAAAAAAAAAAAAAGATTAAAAATTCAGCTGCTCAGTCACACTAGCCGCAAGTGCTCAGCAGCTACATGTGGCTGAACTGAACAGTGCCAATACAGAGCATTTCCATCACTGCAGAAAGCTCTGTTGGACTGAGCTCCTCTGGAAAAAGAAGCCTCAGGCCCTGAATGGACAGGAGAGAGGAAAGGGAAGTTTTCATAATATTTACAGTGTGTTTCTGATATGGAGTAGAACCGTATGAACTATTACTAACTGAATTTCTTACAAATTAAAAAAAAACTATGATAGTAGCAAATTTTAAGTGCACAGACGTCATGACATTGAATTTTATGTAAAAGATGAATTTTATTCTTACATTTTTTAATGCTCTCTGAAGAATTTTCTTGAACGAATTTTTAAATTGTTTCATATCAAAAAGGTCAACATCTTCACCTGCCAAAGTGAAAAAAAAATAAAGAAAAATCAAGGGAGCTACAATGTCTTCAGTAAATACATTCGTAAAGTACCATGAAACTAAGCATTTTGTATAATTCCAGAGTAATAATGATCAAATCACACAAATGGTGCTAGTACTTCTGACATGGCACCAAGAAGTATGTTTCTCATTTTCCAAAAGTGAGTAATAAATAATCACCTCATTTTGAAAGAAATGAGGAACATACTGCTATTTTTTTTTTTTGGATATAGAGTCTTGCTCTGTTACCCAGGCTGGAGTGCAGTGGTGCAATCTCAGCTCGCTGTAACCTCTGCTTCCTGAGTCCAAGCCAAACTATCAAATATTCAATTGTAAACAGAAAATATTACCTGGTCCTTTACTCATCTGAAAAACTTCCCAAACTTTCTGGTGCTGATGAAATTGCATATCTGAGAGAGGGAAGAAAGCTTTATTACTAGCATATCATAGAACTTTGAAGTAATATGCTTATAGATATTTCTATACTTTAAAACTGGGGAAAGTAACAGTAATTCACAAATTGAGTTATACAGATTTGTATTCAAAATATAAACTTTATATGGATTAAAGTACTTCATATAAATAAAGCAAATCATAATTACTTAATTCAACTGACTTAGATAATACAGTTGAGTTTTGGTATTTATTCTATGTTAGCCCATTTATTCCATTTCCACATTCCATTTATTCCATTCCACAGAATGCCACATTAATCTGGCACGACAGGGAATGCTGTGCCCCACAGGACCCACATTTGAGCCAGCTGTTCCTCTGCCTGGAGCCTCTTCTCCTAGCTCCTTACACACCCTACTCCCCACCTCATTCTGCTCTCTACTCAGAGTAGTCCCCGCCCGGATCACCCTACCCCAAACACCCTGCGTTAGTTCCCAGTTCCTGTCGGAGGACTCATCACTACCTGATGTCACATTATGTATGTATGTATGTATGTGTGTATTTATTATTATTATTTTTTGAGATGGAGTTTCACCCTTGTTGCCCAGGCTGGAGTGCAATAGTGCAATCTCAGCTCACTGCAACCTGTGCCTCCCGGGTTCAACCGATTCTCCTGCTTCAGCCTCCCGAGTACTGGAATTACACATGCCTGCCACAACGCCTGGCTAATTTTTTGTATTTTTAGTAGACATGAGGTTTCACCATGTTGGCCAGGTTAGTGTCGAACTCCTGACCTCGGGTGATCCACCTACCTTGGCCTCCCAAAGTGCTGGGATTACAGGCGTGAGCCATCGTGCCCAGCCACATTATTTATTTAGATGTTCATTTGTACACTGCCTGTCTTTCCAGTTAGACTCTGATGGAAATGAGGGACCTGTTCACTGTTGTAGTCCCAGGTCTAAACTTAACTGCGTGGCATAAAGCAAGCACTCAATATTTGTTTTGTTTTTCTAAGAGACAGGGTCTCACTATGTTAACTGGGCTAGACTTGAACTCGCGGGCTCAAGCAATCCTCCTGCCTCAGCCTCCCAAGTGTCCCACACCACCACACCAGGCTTCAGTATATGTTTGATGAACGAATGAATGAATAAGTATATGACAGAAAACACCTTTCAGGAGTTACAAACTTGGAGTGTCTTGGAGTAGAAATGGACCTAGGAAGTTAGCAAGTTCAACCATATCCCTTCATCCTTCTGGCTTAAAATTGTCTCTGCACTGACCTCTGTCTGTGCCTCTGGACTTCAGACCAGGTTTTCTTTTCTTTTTCCTTTTTTTTTTTGAGACAGAGTCTCACGGTGTCGCCAGGCTGGAGTGCAGTGGTGTGATCTTGGCTGACTGCAATCTCTGTCTCCTGGGTTCAAATGATTCTCCTGCCTCAGCCTCCCGAATAGCAGATTACAGGTACCTGCCATCATGCCCGGCTAATTTTTTGTATTTTTAGTAGAGATGGGGTTTCACCATAGTGGCCAGGCTGGTCTCCAACTCCTGACCTCAGGTGATCCACCTGCCTTGGTCTCCCAAAGTGCTGGGATTACAGGTGTGAGCCACTGCGTCCAGCCAGGTGCTTAATGAATTTTTGAATCAATGTATGAGAAATGGGAATGGTGTGGATCCACCTTTTATGCTTGAGAGAATCCAACCACTGAAAATGAGACAAACTAAATCAGAGGCAGATGCTCCAAATTCAGCAATAGCTGAATTGGAGCATGCCATGAGTTGGAGCAAAGTATTAATAAAGATAATTTTTGTTACACTTACAGAAAACAGCTAATACATAATGATTGCAATTAGTTAATACCAGGCTTTAAGTATTTAACATGTACTCTTATTTAATCCTCACCATAACCTTATGTGATATTATCACTATTATACAGATTGGTCAAATGATAATACCAGAGATGTCGGTATGCCACAGAGATGTTAACCAACTTCCTCCAGGGCTCACAGGGAGGCAGTAACGGAGCCATGAAATGAACCCAAGAGGTCTGGCCCCAGGGCCTGTGTTCTCAGCCCCTATATTATGCTGCCTTCTGATAAAAAAAACAGACATCTTGAAAAAGTACAGACAGGAAAGCTAGACAAAAATCAATGAAATGGAAGGGAGGAGAGGTGAGAAGCTACACTGTAATAGGAACAAATTTTCAGAAAGATATTTTCAAATCCTTTAATAATAATACAGATGCTTCTTGACTTATGATGGGGCTATGCCTGATAAATCCACCTTGAGGTGAAAATAATTCACCTAACCTTCATATATCTTAGCTTAGCCCAGCCTACCTTATGTGTGCTCAGAGCACTTACATTAGCCTACAGTTGAGCAAAATCATCCAACAGAGTCTTCTATCATAAACTGTTGCATACCTCATGTAACTTACTAAATGCTGTACTGAAAGTGAGAAAAGAATGGTTGTATAGGAACTCAAAGTATGGTTTCTGTTGAATGTCTGCTGCTTTCATACTAGTTGAAAATTTTTAAGTTGAGCTGTTGTAAGTTGGCAACCTGAGTAATACAAAGCCAAACATTTACTTTGTGTTTCTGATGTGCCAGTTACCATGCTAACAGCTTCTCGGGCACTACCTCATTTAATCCTAACAAGAATACCGTGAAGTAGATAATGTACTATTATCTCTGCTTGAAGTCTGAGGCTCAGAAAGGTGATGCAACTTGTCAAAGAACATACGGCTGAGTGACATACTGGGATTTGAAACAAGGTCTCCTGAACTCTAGACTCTGAGGCGTTATATACAAAATTGCTTCTGGGACAAGTACAGCGGTTCACACCTATAATCCCAGCACTTTGGTAGGAGGAACACTTTAGCCCAGGAGCTGGAGACCAGCCTGGGCAACACGGCAAAACCTTGTGGCAAAAAATACAAAAAATTAGCCATACATGGTGGTGCACTGCTATAGTCCCAGCTACTCGGGAGGCTGAGGTTGGAGAATCACTTGAATCCAGGAGGCAGAGGTCGCGGTGAGCTGAGATGGCGTTACTGCACTCCAGCCTGGGCGACAGAGGGAGACCCTGTCTCACAAAGAAAGAAACAAAATTGCCTCTAATAAACTGATTGGTTAAGTATAAATACAAATCACTGACACTTACAAATGATGTCTAACAGGGCAGCATCACTGATACTTGCACGCTTTTCCTAAAAGAGAAAACAAATTATTTAGTAACTGTGGTTATAGGTTTGGTTCTATCCCGTTTAAAACACATTTTAGGATTGGTTAGAACAGACTATTAGCACATTCTCAGTACTTTACTGACAACCCATCTCCAATCTCTTCTCCTGTTAACCAATGGACATTCTTTCTGATTCATGTCTTAGTCCACAACCTTCTCTCACAATTTATTCCTCATTTATCACTTTTAACTTTTTGATTTTTTAAAAATTAACTTTATTGAAGTATAATTATCATCCATTAAACTGTATATTTTTAAAGTATACAATTTGATACATTTTGACTTATGAATATACACACAAAACCACTACCACAATCAAGACAGTGACAATATCCACCAGCACTGCCTCCCAGATTTTCTCGTGTCTCTTTTTTTTTTTGGAGACAGAGTCTTGCTCTATTGCCCAAGCAGGAGTGCAAACGCGCAATCTTAGCTCACTGCAACCTTTGTCTCCCAGTTTCAAGTGATACTCCTGCCTCAGCCTCCCAAGGAGTTGGGATTACAGGTGTGCACCACCATGCCTAGCTGATTTTTGTATTTTTAGTAGGGAAGGGGTTTCACCATGTTGGCCAGGCTGGTCTCCTAACCCAAATGATCTGCCTGCCTTGGCCTTCCAAAGTGCTGGGATTCCAGGCAGGAGCCACTGAGTCCAGTCTTGTGTCCCTTTCTTATCACCGCCCACTTCCTTCCACTCTTCTTGGTTCCCATGTCTCTACCTCCCAAGCCTTAGTCCTAAGGCAAACGCTGATCTGCTTTCTGTCATTACAGATTTGTTTGCATTTTCTAGAGGTTTATATGAATGTTAACATAAGTGTGTACTCATTTTTTTGGTCTGGCTTTTACTCAGCACAATTATTTTGATATCCATCCATATGTTAGCATCTATGAATACTTCATTCCTTTTTACTGCTGAGTATATCCACTGTATGGAAACATCACAATCTGTTCATCTGTTTACCTGCTGATGGACATTTGGGTTGTTTCCAGTTTGTGGCTTTTATGAATAATGTTGCTGTGAACATTAGTACACACGTCTTTATGTGAACGTGTTTTGTTTTTAAAACAATGCTACAATGCATCTTCATTTATATAACTAAATATTTATCAATATTTATACATACCTCCTATTTTTTATTATTTTCTCATCATAAATTTCTGTAAGTAGAATTGCTAGGTCAAAAAGTATATTTATTTAAAAGCAAAGGAGGCCAGGCATGGTGGCTCACACCTGTAATCCCAGCACTTTGGGAGGCCAAAGTGAGCAGATCACCTGAGGTCAGGAGTTTGACACCAACCTGGCCAACATGGCAAAACCTCGTCTCTACTGAAAATACAAAAATTAGCCAGTGTGGTGGTGCGTGCCTGTAGTCGCAGCTACTCAGCAGGCTGAGGCACTAGAATCGCTAGAACCTGGGAGGCAGAGGTTGCAGTAAGCTGAGTTTGTGCCACTGCACTCCAGCATGGATGACAGAGCAAGACTCTGTCTCAAAAATAAATAAAAAATAAATAAATAAAAGTGAAGGAGAGACGGGTATATTGGAATAAGAAAATTATTTGAACTAAATTTGCAACTTTTCTGATAGTCTGAAAACATTTTAAAACAATAAGCAATTAAAGAGATAAATACACATGAAAGACAGAGTCTCTTTCCTTACAAGTTTGCCAATACATCTGGGTGTTGTTGTCTTTTCATCCTTGATAATTTGATAGGTTTAAAAAAATACTGCGAAAAATACTGCTCGTTATTTTAATTTGTACTGTTTTTTCTACTATATTTACTTTTTCCATCTTATTGATTTTTAAGCATTCTTTTAAGATGAAAAGGTCAATTAAAAATTAGGTTTTTTTCCACTGCAGTTGTATATAGCCCTCATCACTTCACTAGTAGTTTAGCAGCTACCTTACATCTCTTTTGGAGTAAGGAATAGAAGAAAGAAAAACCCAAGGGGGTAGCACTCTGTTCAAGGCTCATCATTTTTAACACTGTTACCTCACACAGATGGATCAAGTGCTGAACTACAGATTCCTTTCTCTGTCGGAAATTTACAGTCTGCAGTTGATTTTCAGACAAAAAATCCCAGGCCTTCAGGATTGTTGTCAGTTCATTCATGGGGATTTTCAAGATGGTCCTCTTGATGAACTCAGCAACAGTCTCATCCATCTCTTTGGCACTTTTACAAAACAAAAACAGCACAACAAAGTATTAACCAAATACAATACTTGTCTGTCTTTATTTACACATACACATACACATATGAAAAATAGAGACAGGGTCTCACTAGATTGCCCACGTTGGTCTTGAACTCTTAGGCTCAAGCAATCCACCCGCCTCAACCTGCCAAAGTGCTGGGATTACAGGCGTGAGCTACTGCGCCTGGCCATCGGCATCATATTTAGCTGGGATTTTGATTTGTAGGTCCAACACCTAAATGTTTACACTTTTTCAGCTATTTTGCAGTGTTTTAGCATGAGCATTTAATTATTTTCTCCTTAATGTATATTTAAATGTTTTAGAGTTTAAAAATTAGTGCTATCTCTCCTTTTCTGGCTAGAGTATTTTGATGTTTTGATGGTGATGATATATAAATCATTCATTCATTTACTGATTCATGTAACCCCTTACTGAGGATCTGTGCATGCCAGGCCCTTTTCTAGGCACTGGGGATACATATGTCTTTGGCCAAAAAGACAAACATCTGTTCCAGTATGGCACATCCATTCTAGTGGGGAGAGAGAAACAACAGGGAAATCACAAACTATGTTAAAAGTGAGGAGTGCCGGAGAAAATGGAATAATTTTGGCAGGCTGAGTTGAGCGTGGGAGTGCTGGAGAGAGTAGGCATCATAGAGAACATGACTTGGGGGCAATCCTTGTAGGAGAAGGAGTCATGTGGTGGAAGAGCTTTCCAGGCAGAAGGAACAGCATGTGCAAAAGTCCTGAGGCAAGAGCCTGCTTGGGGCCTTCGAGGAACAGGGAAGGGTGGCCTCCAGTCAGGGGACAGCAGAGACAGGAAGGAGGCATAGAGAAGGAGGTGAGGTCAGTCATCATGGAGGGCCTTGAAAGGCACTGCGGGGATCACTGCTGTTTTCACTCTGCAAGGTGCTGAGCACAGGCAGGACATGCTCTTGTTTAGCTTTTCTACCAGGATCAATCTCGCTACTGTACTGAGAACGCAGTGTAAGGAGGCGAGGGCAGAGGTTGGAGGTTAGTGAGGCAGGGGAAGAGGTCAGGTTCTGGATACACTTTTAAGAGGGAACTCACGGGGTTTCCAGATGGATTACATGTGGGGTGTTAGATCAAGAAAAGAACCAAAGATGAAACCAAGGTTTTTACCAGGGAACTAAAAGACAAAGTTACTATTAGCTGAGACGGCCAAGACTGCGAGAGAGGCAGGAGAAAGCTCAAGAATTCTGTAATTCTGTTCTGAATCTGTTAATATTAAGATAAAGATGAGAGTCCAAATGGAGATACCGAATAAACAGCTGGATCTGTGACTCCACAGGACATGCTAAGAGCTAGTGGTGCAGTGGATTGCTGTCTCTTAGTCCTTTAATGCACCGCCTGTGAACAAAGAGCTCTTTCCTCCCTCACTTCTCCTGCCCATGCCTGAGGGTGAGATTCCTTAATTGTCTATAAGGTCCTGAGCCCCAAATCTGGTGTGCCTCCCTTATCAATAGGCAAGGGATATAATCTCCAGAAGAATGACCTAGCGGCTGCAGGAATAAGGAAGGAAGATTCTGAGCTCTTTTATCATTTTCCTTTGGCAGAAGTTGTGAGCCAATGGTGACAGCTGATCTCACGTCTGCTACTTTATTTGGGGACACCAGTGAGCATCTCTCTCTCTCTCTTCAAATACAGAACAAAAAAGCAAGCAAACATGATATTTATTTATTTTTTTCATTTGAGATAGAGTCTCACTCTGTCGCCCGGGCTGGAGTGCAGTGGTGCAACCTCGGCTCACTGCAACCTCCCCTGCCTGGTTCAAGTGATTCTCCTGCCTCAGCCTCCCAGGTAGCTAGGACTGCAGGCGTGCACCACCACGCCTGGCTAATTTTTGTATCTTTAGTAGAGACATGGTTTCACCATGTTGCCCAGGCTGGTCTCGAACTCCTGACCTCAAGTGATCTGCCCTCCTCGGCCTCCTGAAGTGCTGGGATTACAGGTGTGAGCCACCGCGCGTGGTCTGCAAACATGATTTTTATACAATGCAGGGTACCACCCGCATACTTTAATGTCCCTTAACAGTGTGTCTTCTAGGAAGGCACACACAGACCTTGGCATCTGTGTTTAAGACAAGCCTGTCAGTCATCTGTTTCCTTCACAACTGTGGGAATTCCAGGGACAAAGAAGTATCTTCCTACAAGAGTCCTGGCTGTGACTTATTTGTTGAACACTGAAAAATTATCCTTGTCCACTTCTGAAAAGAAATAGTTGACTGTATTTTAACAATATACTGAAAATGATAGTAAGACAAAGATAAAGAGGAAGGATTAGGAGTCATTTAGAAATAGAAAAATAACTGAATTAAGGTCGTAGGAACAGAATCAGGATCATGAAACAGGAGTCGGATTTGTTTCTTTGTGTAGTTACTGGACCATCTAAAGCCTTCACCATGGTCTACAAGGCCCCGTGTTGCGTGGCCCCTGCTTCCCTCTCCTTGGTTTTCTGAGCTCCAACTACACTAGTCTCTTAAATAATCTCTAGAGAAGGACCATTGTGCCTGCAGTTACAACTGCCTAGAAGGTTCTTCCTGCACATGTTCTCTCCAGTGACTTCTTGCAATTCTGGTGTTAGCTTAGATGGTTTCTCCTCAGACTTATCCTGACCACCCAACCAAAAGTTACTTCCCCACTCTCCACTGCTAATTGTTTTTTTCCTTTTTTTTAGACGGAATCTTGCTGGGTCACCCACATTAGAGTGTAGTAGTGGGATTTCTGCTCACTGCAGCCTCCTGCAGCCTCTGCCTCCCAGATTCAAATGATTCTCCTGCCTCAGCCTCCCGAGTATCTGGGATTACAGGTGTGCACCATGACACCCAACTAATTTTTCTACTTTTAGTAAAGATGGGGTTTCACCATGTTGGTCAGGCTGGTCTTGAACTCCCAAGCTCAAGTGATCCTCCCGCCTCGGCCTCCCAAAGTACTGGGATTACAGGCGTGAGCCTCTGCACCAGGCCATCCACTGCTAATTGTCTTTACAGAACTATCTGAAATTATCTTTTTAACTTTTCTTGTTTCTAAAATTGAGCTCCAGGGCAGGACGATGTTTTTATTCACAGCTATACTCCTAGACCAGAACTGCCTCACTATAGTCAGTAAGTCTAATCAGGCCAAGAACAGTCTAATGTGTCTTTGATAAATACTTGTGGAATGAATGCCTGAGGAGACAACCTGGGTGGTTTGGGGTTCAACAGTCAGTGAAACATCAAATCAACACCTCTCCCATTAAGAACACGGGCGAGGGGCCGGGAGCGCGCCGGGCGTGGTGTATCACTTGAGGTCAGTCGTTCAAGACCACCCAGGCCAACATGGTGAAACTCCGTCTCTACTAGAAATACAAAAATTAGCCGGGTGTCGTGACGCACACCTCTAGTCCCAGCTACTCGGGAGGCTGAGGCAAGAGAACAGCCTGAATCCGGGAGGAGGAGGTTGCAGTGAGCCGAGAACGTGCCACTGCCCTCCAACATGGGCGACAAAGCAAGACTCCGTCTCAAAAAAACAAAAAACAAACAAAAAAACCCACAGACGAGGCTACCCGTTAAAATGAAGATTCCTGGGCCCTATCAAATTAAACTGTGAGGAGGGCGCACGGAGGGCTTGAGATTTAGCATCTTTTAAAAAGTACGTCAGATGATTTATTCCGGGTAAAGTTTGCAGAACGCCAGTCTAAAGAAATTTGGTAGAGCGCCCTCAGTCTCACCAATTAAGACGGAAATCCCTTTAGTAAACGTTTACCCCGTGACCATTTTTAAACTTTCCTTTTTTTGTTGTTTCGGAGACACAGTCTCGCTTTGTCGCCCAGGGTGCAGTGCAGTGGCGCGATCTCGGGTCACTGCAACCTCCGCCTCCCGGGTTCATGCGCTTCTCCTGCCTCAGCCTCCCAAATAGCTGGGATTACAGGCACCCGATACCACGTCCGGTTAATTTTTGTATTTTTAGTAGAGACGGGGTTTCACCATGTTGGCCAGGCTGGTCTCGAACTCCTGACCTAAGGTGATCCGCCCACGTCGGTCTCCCAAAGTGTTGGGATTACAGGCGTAAACTACCGCGCCTGGCCCCATTTTAAAACTTTCTTTATACTTCCTAGCGTTTTAGTGTCTGACATACAGTAGATGCTCAAGATCTGTGGAACGCATGATCAAAAAGATCCATTTTAAGTAACGTTCCCGTAGCCACACACCTCTGCTGCGCTCCAACAGGCAATGCGAGGAGCAACGCAAGAGGGTACAGGGACAAAAAACGACGGAAGCCGAGGTGACAGAAAAGCAAAACCCCAACTCTGGGAAAGGAAGCAACCCCAGGATCGTAGAGCGGAGCCCCTGGTCACATGACCACACGGCCCTCCCCTGACGCAGTCGCGAGCCTACGAAAGGCTCCACCCGCCCCACCGCGGGCGAGGTGACGTCACAGCCGGCACAGCGCCACCGCCCCCTCACCTCGGCCCGAACCGTAGTTCCTCGCCCCGAGCCCGAGACCCAGCGCCAATCCTGCGCCTCACAACGTGCGACAATTGCGAAAAAGCCACCCCCGAGGCCTGGGATCTGGCTTCCTCAAGGCCCCACACCCTCCGGGGCCCGATCCAGTGCCGCCCGGGGCTCTCTTACCGGCCCACATCTCCTGCAGTCTCACTCCTCAAGAGCTGTTCCCGCTCGCCGCGCCTTCAAAGCCACCAATTGCAGTTCCCGCCGCCTCCAAGCTCCGCCCACCGGAGCACAAGCATCAGGCTGTGTCTTGGGCACAGGGGACTGCACGGGGGAGCGACTGAAGCGAAGGTCGCCGAGCCCCCCACGCCGCTCTTCTTAGAAGTGTGCAACCTTGCACCAGTAGTGGACTTACACATAGGCTCCGTTAGGACCTGGCTTATGTGCTCGGCTTGTGGCTTAGACGCTGCCGTGCCCCAGTGGACTCACTGTGCCTCCCCCCACGACGGACGGAAATGGGCCCCTCCAGGACAGGCGGCGCATGCGCCTTGGGGCCCGCGGGCGGCGGGGGCGAGGAGCCGGGAGCACGGTGGAGCGGTGGAGGGCGTCACTGGGTTTCGGCGTCTGGCAAGCGGTTCAGCTGTCTGCTCCCTAGCAGCCGGCCTTCGGGTCGGGCGTCTCCGCCGGCTACTGCCGCTTCAGTTCTCCCGGTGTGGCCACGAGTCGGGTGAGTCTCGGGAGTCCAGGCCGTTCCGAACGCGTTCCGTTGTTCCTCCTCAGGTCCCTGATGGCGCGTCCCGCCGAGCCCCTTCCTGCCGCCCGTCGGCCCCAGGAGGTGGGGACCAGGAAGACCCGGCTGCCGCAGGCCCACAGCCGGGCTGCTGCGCTGGGGAGGCTGCGAGCGAGGTGGCTGGGCGCTCGCTGGAACACGCTGGTGGCCGAGACAGGCCGTGGGCGTCGCTCGGGGTTGGGATCCGCCCGCCACTCACTCAACTGGCTGGTGACCTTGGGCGCGCTCCTCCCCTCCCGGAGCCGGGGCTTCCTCGCCGGTAAAATGGACCTTGAGGAATGGAGCCCTCAACACAGGGTTTGACACGATGAGCGCCCAATAAAGTGTTGTTATTGTTGTTTATCTAGCAATTGAGAATTTGCGGGTAGAAAACGGGGGCCGTTCAAGCAAGTCTCAGCTGCAGTGCCCTGTGATGTGAGAACCCACCAAGAGCCCCATCAGTACACTTTACTCTTTTTTCTCCTTTAATGCTTTTTTTTTCCAGGAAAGTAATACATTCATCTTGCTTTTCTTGCGTTTAAAGATCAGGCGTTTTACGTAGAGTCTTAAGTAAATCAGTTTTGGAAGTCTTCATTTAAAACCTCAAAGGCATGGAAGTTTTCGATGGCAAAGGAATTATGTTGTGATGCCATTCGTATCTCCTCTCCTTTATATGTATGGCTTTTGCACTTGTTTAGTTGATTTAAAATGAGTTTCTTTTTCATCCTTTTCCTACTGCGTTGAGGCCTGAACTAGTTGTCAGTTTCTGACATTCCGCGAACATCGATTGGGCATTTACCATGTGCATTGGCAAGAATGCTCCCTCACGAGCCTGTGCGTTCCTTGAGATGTGTGAACGAGTATTTTCCTCTGAAATTCACATGATTCTGGCAGAGTGCTAGGCACCTTGTAAGTCCTGGTAATGTTTATTCAGGGAAAGCTGCGAGGGCGCATTCTCTGAGAAACTCTTCGGTGGAAGTCAGAGTAGTTAAGCCCTTCTCCCTAGGCAGCACCCCCGGGTCCCTCCCAGAAGCAGCCTGGCATGGGGTCTACAGTGCCAGCGCCAGTCGCTTTCTTAGTGGTATCGGTTTAGAACTGGTCCTGTGATAAGTGGAAGTGGGCAGGGGAGGCCGTCCCCGACCGTGTCTGCGACCTCTGCTGCAGTATGGCTCATAGCTTGAAAAGTTGAAAAATAATTCTTTAATACCAGGGCCGAAATGTAGGCCTTAAAAATGTTTTATGTTATTTATTTATATATATATATATTTAAATTTTATTTTGAGACGGCGTCTTGTTTTGTCGCCCAGGCTGGAGTGCAGTGGCGCGATCTCGGCTCACTGCAACCTCCACCTCCCGAGTTCTAGTGATTCTCGTGCCTCAACCTCCTGAGTAGCTAGGGTTACAGGCCACGCCTGGCTAATTTTTGTATTTTTAGTAGAGACGGGGATTCACCATGTTGGCCAGGCTTGTCCTGACCTCAAGTGATCTGCCTGCCTCGGCCTCCCGAAGTGGTGGGATTACAGGCGTGAGCCACCGCGCCTAGCCTAAAAAGATATATTTTAGAAAGCGGAGTGTTTACAGTTTTTTTTTCTGGAGAACAGTTTCTTCAGACTCTGCACAACAGACTTTTCTGGCCTTGTTTTTTGCTTATTTTGCAGTAGCATTAGAAATTACAACTGTAGTGTAAATTTCCTGTGCAGCCGCACAATAGGAAAATCTTTCTAAAGAAAAGCCAACTGGCATTAAAATACAGGGTTCTTCCTTGTGATTATAGATTTGCTGAAGTGAGTTATTAGAATGCTTACCCGTTTTCTTTATACTAGAGTTAATACAGCGCTGGCTCTTGGTTTATTTTCTAAAATTGTGCCACCTGGTGGTTGAAATCTGTCTTAGACTACTCTTGAGGAAAATTGTACCTCAGAGTCAGTAGACAAAGATTGAAGGAGTGAGTAAAAGAAAGCTATAATTTTTATATCTTCACTAAGAGTACCCTACCGCTTCTACCCTCCCAGCTTACTCCCCAGGAAAAGTTAAAATTGCCCTTATGGGCCCCTTAGCTAGCTATCAAAACACATTTGACAGCTGAAAATTTTAAGGAATTTCAGTGGACTGTTTTGGTATCATTGTGTGCATACACAGTGGATGGGGCTGGATTGAGGAGGGAGGTGGTGGAATCGTGACAAGTTTACCTTTTTGATGTTTTCTTAAATGCCATTGTAAAGATGAGACTGACAAACTGATGGAAGTCAGAGTAGTTAAGCCTTCCTCCCCAGGCAGTCCCTGGGGTCGCTCCCAGGAGCAGCCTGGCTTGGGGTCTGCACTGGAATTAAATATTATTCTATTCAAATAATAACAGTTTGAATGGAATTTATCCCTCTCTATTTCACTGGAAACATCCAAGAACGAGGTCTTATGTTCCTTTCACTTTCGTTTCCACCATGCTGCTGATGTTCATAATTATTATTTTTTGAGATGGAGTCTCACTCTTTCGACCAGGCTAGAGTGCAGGTGGTGCCATCTCAGCTCACTGCAACCTCTGCCTCCAGGGCTGAAGCGATTCCCCTGCCTCAGCCTCCCAAGTAGCTGGATTACAGGCCCCCACCACCACGCCCAGCGAATTTTTGTATTTTTAGTAGAGACTGGGTTTCACCATGTTGGCTAGGCTGGTCTCGAACTCCTGACCTCAAGTGATCTGCCCACCTCGGCCTGCCAAAGTTCTGAGATTACAGGCGTGAGCCACAGCTTCCAGCCTCACATAAGTTATTTTAAACCCATGCCATCACTGAGATATATAGGTCAAGAGCAAATTCCATTTTATGGAAGAGAGACTTAGGTCTCAGATTAGTAACCAAAATGATGTAACTTGTGAGTAGCTGACTAGTGACAAATACAATACTCTTCTCTTTTTTTGTGTCTTGACAGACTCACTATTTCCACACTTACAGGATAGTATTACGTTGGCTGCTTTGGAACTTGGGCCTAGAATGACTACCTTTTGAACTTGTAGTCAATCAGAAGCTCTTTGGGAAATAGTTTTTCCATCTGAATGTATTTCATTCACAAACTGCTGTGAATGCCTGTCTTTCCTATTTTGAACATGGATTAAAAATCTGTCATGGTTAGAGATTATGTTGGGTTGTGACTTTGCAGCTAACTACTGTGTGACCTGGGGCTTAGTTTCTCTATGAAAATGTGGGCAGTGCATATTTTGACCTATAAAAAGACAGTTTCTCATGGTTCAACTGAATTTAAAAGGCTACCCGTTTCATAAGGTTATTGCATTGTAAGACTTGTGCTTAGCACTTGGCAAGTGTTCAACAAATTATTTTCTAAACTAATAACGTTGATATCTTCTTATGACTTTGAAGAAATTTTAAGAATAAGAATATGGAATACGTATTTAGCGTTTCTTCAGTTTGTTAAATATATTTTGAGTTAAATTGTGTTACTAGAATAGTCTTTTAAAGGTGAGTGCTGGAAGACATCAGCACTTAATTACATGTGTTCTGAGAGAACATTGCCATTTTTACAGTTGTACCTTACATATTACACCCCAGAATACAGCAGTACATCTGTGTATGCACCAACATTTAGGCAAAGCCAAGTGACACAAAGTGGATGGAAGTGAGCATAGGTGACGGGTAGGTAGAGGGCAAGGGGAGGAAGAACATATCTAGCTAAAAATATGTGGTAGAAGAAAGAAGGGAGTGATGGGGAAAGCAAGGAATCTGTTGGATAAGGGATAAGGTGAGTGTTTAGAGCTTTAGGTTAAGTAGTAGCTTCTTACCAAGAATAGGAAAAGGAAATGAAATTAAACCATTTTATTCTTTGACATAGTCATCTAGGCTAAGAAAGTAGAAGGGCCTTATAAATATATACAATTATTATTTGTCAATTCAAAGTAAAACTAAATAATGTGAATTAGAAGGGAAGACGTTTTATTGGTACCCTACCCTGATTGACAATAGCATATGTATTTGAGGTAAACTTGTTATAGAGGGAGGAAAATATGTACCATTTTATGTACTTAGGCTTATATACATCTTTGCATCTATTAATATTGTCTCAGTCAAGTGTCTTCTCAGGTATTTGTCAATTAAAGAAATCATTTCAGTACATCATAAGCTTGTTTCTGAATTGTAAAGGCACACATTTGAGTGCCGGTTGATAGAAATGTGCAAAAATATTTTGTCAAATACATTTAGAAAATGTTAGAGACATTTTCTAGTGATTAAACCAGTGTCTGTTTTCTGTTATTGTTGTTTTTGAGATGGAGACTTGCGCTGTTACCCAAGCTGGAGGTCAGTGGTGCCATCTTGGCTCACTGCAACCTTGCCTCCCAGGTTCAAGTGATTCTCCTGCTTCGGCCTCCCAAGTAGCTGGGATTACAGGCGCCCACCAACACGCCCAGCTAATTTTTTGAATTTTTAGTAGAGATGGGGTTTCGGCATGTTGGCCAGGTTGGTCTTGAACTCTTGACTTCAGGTGATCCACCTGCCTCAGCCTCCCAAAGTGCTGGGATTACAGGTGTGAGCCACCGCATCTGGCCTATACCAGTGTATGTTTTCTTTAGGAAAAAATAAGGCAGAAACCAGAAAACTAACACTTCACATAAATGTAGGTGCAGAATATTGGTACGATATTGGATAACTTAAATTGCTGAACTGTATGAAACTTAATTTTTCTAAGGCAAAAATTGATATCATTGGAAGGATCTTGGAGTCAGTGGCAGGCAAACAAAATTTAAACTTGGCTGCATTTTCTTTTTTCGTTTCAAATGAATACTTAACTAGGTGCAATGGCTTTATTTGTGGTCTTCAGCTGTGGTGTGTGTGTGTGTGTGTGTGTGTTTAGTAGTTACTGAATAGTACAGGGACCTACTGCATTTTTATAAGTTGCAATTGAAATAGTAGCTATGCTATAATCCTTTGGAATTATTTGTTCAGACAGTTTTTTGTTTCTGTTGAGTGGGAGGTGGATGGGCAGTTTGAATTTCTCACAGGTTTTTTTTTAACAGCTTGAGGTATAATTTACATACCATAAAATTCGCATGGTGAAATGCACGTAACATAAAATTTACCATCTTAACCATTTAAATGCACAGTTCAGTGGTATCAGATACATTAATAATGTTGTGCAACCATCACCACCGTCCATCTCCATAATACTTTTTATCTTGTAAAACTGCTTGTTAAACAGTAACTCCCCATTCATCTCCTCCTGCCCTTCCACCTCCCTCTGGTAACCACCATTCCACTTTCCGTCTCTTTGATTTTGACTACTTTAGGTGCCTCGTATAAGTGGAATGTTAAAGTATTTGCCTTTTAAAAAATATATAATTTCAAATTTTATTTCAGATTTTGGATATAAGTAATGTGCAGGTTTCTTACATGGGTACATTGGATGACACTGAGGTTTGGGGTACTGTTGATCCCATCATGCAGGTAAGTGAGCATAGTACCTAATGGTTTTTCAGCCCTTACCCTCCTTCTACCGTCTATTAGTCCCCAATGTCTTTTGTTGCCATCTTTATGTCTGTGAGTATCCAGTGTTTAGCTCCCACTTATAAGTGAGAATATGCCATATTTGGCTTTCTGTTGCTGCGTTAATTCACTTAGGATAATGGCTTCCAGCTGCATCCATGTTGCTGCAAAGGACATAATTTCGTCCTTTTTTATGGCTGTTTAGTATTCCATGGTGTATATGTACATATTTTCTTTATCCAATCCATTACTGATAGACACTTAGGTTGATTCCATATCTTTGCTATTGTGAATAGAGCTACAAAGAACTTATGAGTGCATGTTTTTCTTTTTGTAAAACGGTTTATTTTCTTTTGGCTATATACCCAGTAATGGGATTGCTGGATCTAGTGGTAGCTGTTTTAAGCTCTTTGAGAACTCTCCAGACTGCTTTCCACAGTGGGTGAACTAATTGACATTCCCACAACAGTGTATAAGCATTCTCTTTTCTCACAACCTCCCCCAGCATCTGTGTTTTTTTGACTTTTTAGTAATAGCCATTCTCACTGATGTGAGGTGATATCTCATTGTGGTTTTGATTTGCATTTCTCTGATGATTAGTGATGTTGAGCATTTTTTCATGTTTTTTGGCCACTTGTATATCTTTTGAGAAGTGGCTGTTGATGTCTTTTGCCCACTTTTTTTTAAAATTTGTTTATTTGTTTTGTTTTTTCGAGACGGAGTCTCACTCTGTTACCTAGGCTGGAGTGCAGTGGCGCCATCTTGGCTCACTGCAACCTCCGCCTCCTGGGTTCAAGCGATTCTCCTTCCTCAGCCTCTCGAGTAGCTGGGACTACAGGCGCCCGCCACCACACCCGGCTAATTTTTGCATCTTTAGTAGAGATGGGGTTTCACCATATTGGCCAGGCTGGTCTCGAACTCCTGACCTTGTGATCTGCCTGCCTTGGCCTCCCAAAGCGCTGGGATTACAGGTGTGAGCTACCGTGCCCAGCCTTTTGCCCACTTTTTAATGGGATTATTTATTTTTTACTTGTTGAATTAATTTCTTTATAGATTCTGGATATTAGACCTTTGTTGGATGCATAGTTTGTGAATATTTTGTCCTATTCTGTAGGTTGTCTTTATTCTATTCATAGTTTCTTTTGCTGTTTTGAGATCTTTAATTAGGTTTCAGTTTTTGTTGTAATTGTGTTTGAGTACTTAGTCCTAATTCTCTTCCGAAGGTGAATGTCCAGAATGGTGTTTCCTGGGTTTTCTTCTAGGATTCTTATAGTTTGAGGCATTCTGTGTAAATCTGTAATCTATCTAGAGTTAATTTTTGTATATGATGAAAGGTAGGGGTCCACTTTTATTCTTCTGCATATAGCTAGCCAACTATCCCAGCACCATTTATTGAATGGGAAGTCCTTTTGCCATTGCTTATTTTTGTTGACTTTGTCAAAGATCAAAAGTGTGTGGCTTTATTTCTGGGCTGTTATGTTCCATTGGTCCATGTGTGTGTTTTTGTAGGAGAAGCTTGCTGATTTGGTTATTGTAGCCTTATAGTCTGAAGTAGGGTAATGTGATACGTTTGGTTTTTGTTCTTTTTGCTTAGGATTCTTTTGGCTATTTGAGCCCCTTTTTGGTTCCATATGAATTTTTGGATAGTTTTTTCTAATTGTGTGAAAAAATGCCATTGGTAGTTTGATAGGAGTAGTGTTGAATATGTAGATTGCTTTGGGCAATATGGCCATTTCAGTGATATTGATTCTCCCAATCCATGAGCACGGAATGTTTTTCTATTTGTTTGTGTCATCTGTGATTTCTTTCAGCAGTGTTTTGTAGTTCTTCCTGTAGAGATCTTTTACCTCCTTGGTTGGATGTATTCCTGGGTATTTTATTTTTTTGGTGGCAATTGAAAATGGGATTGTATTCTTGATTTGGCTTTCAGGTTGAACCTTATAGTGTATAGACGTGCTACTGATTTTTCTATGTTGATCTTGTATCCTGAAACTACTCAAGTCATTTGGCAGAGTCTTTAGGGTTTTCTGGGTATAGAATCATATCGTCAGTGAAGAGAGACAGTTTGACTTCTTTTCTTATTCGGATGCCTTTTATTTCTCTTGACTGATTGCTTTGGCTAGGAAATAAGTACTGTGTTGAATAGGAGTGGTGAGAGCGGGCATCCTGTTCCCTTGTTCCGGTCCTCAAGGGAAATGCTTCCATCTTTTGCCTGTTCAGTATGATGTTGGCTGTGAGTTTGTCATAGATGGCTCTTATTTTGAGGTATGTTCTTCAGTGCCTAGTTTGTTGAGGGTTTTTATCATGAAGGGATGTTGGATTTTATCAAAGGCTTTTTCGCATCTATTGAGATAATCACATGGTTTTTGTGTTTAATTCTGTTTGTGTGGAGAATCACATTTATTGATTTGCGTATGTTGAACCCTATATATATGTTTTTTGACTGGCTTATTTCATTCAGAATGTCCTCACATTTCATCCATGTTGTAGCATATGCCAGAATTTCCTTCCATTTTAAGGCTGAATAGTATTCCATTGTATGTATATACCACATTGTGCTGATCCATTGTCTGTTGGACTCTTGGGTTGCTTCCATGTTTTAATTATTGTGAATAATATGCCGTGAACATGGGTGTTCAAATATCTCTTCAAAACCCTGCATTTAATTCTTATGAAAATATAGCCGGAAGTGGAATTGTTGGATCATATGGTAATTTCATTTTTAATTTTTTGAGGAACTGCTATACCAGTTTCCACAGTGGCTATCCCAGTTTACATGCCCGCCCACAGTGCGCAGGAGTTTCAGTTTCTCCACATCCTCTTTAGCGTTTGTTATTTTCTGTTTTTTTTTCAGCAGTAGCCATCCTAATGGATATGGGTTGGTTCCTGTTTTCTATTTGGAACTTTAAAAAAAATTAAAGCAGGTAATCGGTTCTTTCTTTTGGTAATCATTTCTGAGTTAGAGTAGGTTAAGCCCAGGTGGGGCACGGTAGCTCATGCCTGTCCCAACACTTTGGGAGGCTGAGGATCACTTGAGGACAGGAGTTTGAAACCAGCCTGGGCAACATAGCAAGACCCCTGACTACAAAAAAAAAAAAAAAAAAAGAACAGCTGCCCATGATGTTTTTCCTTTGACCTTGGCTGCTAATTTTCCACCTTGTGGATGATCCAATTAAACTTAAGTTCAGGGATTTCAGCTTCATGTTTTCAGTGTAATAATTAGTTTTATGGCTATATCTGTTAAATTTGAAATTTTTTTTCACAACTTCTGGTTTCATTTCATTGTTTAGTTTTTTTTTCAGCCAGCTATTAAGAAAAAAGCAATCTATATTCACACTAATATGAGACTAATGACCCTTTAACCCTCAGAATAATATACATTTTAAAATAATAAGCCAATTCTCTTAATTGGTAGAATTTCATCTGAACAAAATGAGTTGTTAATTTCGAGAATGTGGCGAAAATATTTGAAGTCAGGCTTATTAATATAAGCAAGCTGTTTCTGCTTTAGTGCTTATTTCCGGGATTGGGTCTCTTGAGGCTTCCTGCTTTTCTCCTGAACCTGTAGGTTCTCTAAATACTACTGATAACTTGCTGAATATCTTAAATCATTGAATTAGAAAGCTTTGTCTCAAGTTTAATAATTTGCCTGAGGTCACACAGCTGGTTAATGGTTAACATACTTCTCTGATAAAGGTCACTAGAGGTTCTTATGAAGATACTTTTAGGTGGCGTAACAAATGTGTTTATGCATATTCAAGACACTCTTGTATCCACAGGTTGCACTGCTGTGATCCATCCTCATCTCCTAAAGATGCATCCTGACTTATCTCCACACTTGCACACTGAAGAATGCAACGTCTTGATTAACTTGCTTAAGGAATGTCACAAAAATGTAAGAGTTCAGAAAAACGACTGTACAGCCAAAATGAAACTTAGTTATAACCCACTGATGTAAAATGTTATCTCCGTTGATAGAAGGAAACGATAATGTCTTAGTAAGGAGTCTGAGTTTAGTCAAGATTAGCAGTTGATATGTGCGATTTTTTTCTTTTTTTTACACAAACTACCTCCTTTTATGATTAGTAAAAATCAGACATGGTAGTTTGTTAGGGAACGTCTGAACTGGTATGTAACAGTTGGAATCCATGTTCTTACAATAAAATGCTTTCTCTTTCCTAATTATAGGGCACTAGAACAGTTATATTCAGCGCTGACACTTCTGATTATAATGGAATTATTCTAAAAGTATCTGCTCTTTGATGGCTACCATTCTGTGTTTAATGGTAATAGAAACGTGTTATATAATTAGACATTAACTAGATTTATGATTGGCTTAATCTGATGTGTTTAGTTGTTAGTGGAATGGAAGTAAAATTACATGGTTAAAACCAAAATAGAAAAGGAGCCCATCCATATTTGGAATACATTAAATCAAGCTGACATTTTTATAGCTGTTGAATATTTAGCTTTTCCTTATATGTTTGATATATGACACCGTTGTTACAAGAAGCATTTGTTTTTTCTTTAGCTTTGCATAGTTTTTCTCATGATGTCTACAAACTGTAGATATATCAAATTATAATAATATAAAGTATCACTTAAATGAGTAAAATTTATAGACCAAAAGTAAGGTGGTAAGTAGTGCTTATAAAATGTGAAGTCAGATATTTTTACTGGTTCAAAGAATGTTGTTGATGACAATATTTTTTGGGCTATTTCACTATACATATAGATCAAATGAGCCAGACTACATCAATAAAACATAACGTTTTGATTTTTAAAGTAAAAACTATATAAAATATTCACTGTTTAAAGAACAAGAACTAATTATTTGTGTTAAAGTAGAATATTTCAATTTGTATATGGTCAGTTATAGTCAGAGACAGAAAAGGGGAGAGGGTCTGGCAACAGAGAGGCACAGCGGAGAGAAAGAGACTCTGTGGAATAACATTTCAGTCTTGTTATTGAGGATTTTGCCAGTATAGCCCTTTAGATTTATGTTGTGCTTTTTGTAATACTAGACATAAATAAGGATATTATCGCATCATATTTATTTCCATGGTTAATCAAATTAAGGGGCAGAGTTTTTCAACCCTTGCTTTTAAGTAATCTTTGTTTTATGTTTATATTTGTATATTGCTTTTTGGTCCATGACTGTTTTTAAATTGAAATCTATTTAAACGTTGTTGTTTTTTTTTTCTTTCAAATGGATTTCTTATAATAAAGGTGGCTTCTTGAATCACTGGAACTAAAGATGGATTTTAAAAAATTAACTTTATTGAGGTGTAATTTACATGTAAGGAAATGCATCTATTTTAAGTATACAGTTTGATGAGTTTTGTCATATATAGATACCCATGCAACCACCATCACAGTCAAGATCTAAAACATTTCTATCAGTTTCCTGTGCCCCTTTGCAGTGAGTCCCCAACCCTTAACTTACGTCTTGCCCAGGTAACCACTGCACTACTTTTTGTTGATATAGATGAATTTTGCAGTTCTAGAATTTGTTAGAAATTTACACTACATCGTATATTCTTTTTGTTTTTGAGATGGAGTCTCACTCTGTCACCCAACCTAGAGTGTAGTGGCGCGATCTTGGCTCACTGCAACCTCCGCCTCCCAGGTTCAAGTGTTTCTCCTGTCTCAGTTTGCCTAGTAGCTGGGATTACAGGCGTGCGCCACCAGGCCTGGCTAATTTTTTTTATCTTTAGTAGAGACGGAGTTTCACCATGTTGGGCAGGCTGGTCTCGAACTCCTGACCTCAGGTGATCCTCCCGCCTCGGCCTCCCAAAGTGCTGGGATTACAGGCATGAGCCACTGCACCTGGCCTACATTGTATATTCCTATATTTTGCACCATGATATGTTTTTGAGGGTCATAACATGCTGTTGCACATGTCATTAGTTCATTTATTTTTATTTCTGAGTAGTAGTTCATTGTATGGATATGCCACAGTTTATTTACCTATTAATGGACATTTAGGCAAATAAACAGTTTGCAGCTGTGCTATTTTGGATAAAGCTGCTATGAACATTCATGCACAAGTCATTTGTTTTTGAGACAGAGTCTCGCTCTGTCACCCAGGCTGGAGTGCAGGGGCCCAATCTTGGCTCACTGCAACCTCTGCCTCCCAGGTTCAAGCAATTCTCCTGCCTCAGCCTCTTGAGGAGCTGGGATTACAGGTGTGTGTCACCACACCTGGCTCATTTTTGTATATTTAGTAGAGACGGGGTTTCATTATGTTGGTCAGGCTGGTCTCGAACTCCTGATCTCAGGTGATCCACCTGCCATGGCCCCCCAAAGTGCTGGGATTACAGGCATGAGCCACCGCACCCAGCCATCATGTGCAAGTCTTTGTGTAAACATCATTTTATTTCTCTTGGGTAAATACCTAGGAATGGAATGACTAGGTCATGTGTTAAGTGTATATGTACCTTCATAAAAGGCCACCAAACTGTTTTCCATTTTATACTACTCTACATTCCTACCACTGTCCATCACCACTGCCTAATATTATAAACTTTTTAAGTTCAGCCATTGTGTGGATATGTAGTAGTATCTCCTTTTGGTTTTAAATTGTATTTCCCTGATGACTAATGATTTTGACATGCTTTTCATGTGCTTCTTTGGCCATTCATATAAAATTTTTTGCCTGTATTTTAAAATTGGATTGTTTTATGACTGAGTTATAAGCATTCTTTTTATCATTTGGGATACAAATCCTTTGATAAGTGTATTGTGAATATTTTCTCTGTGGCTTTTTTTTTTTTACTTCCTTTAGGATGTGTTTCAAAGAGTAGCTTGTACATTTGATGAAGTCTTTTTTTTTTCTTTCATGGTTTGTGCTTTTTGTGTCTTAAGGATCTTTGTGTATTCTGTGGTCACAAAGATACTCCTGTATTTTCTTTTAGTTCTATCGTATTAGCTTTACATTGGTCTATGATTCGTTTCAAGTTAATTTCATTTTTTTCTTTTGATATTTGTGTATTCTTATCTGAGATTTCAAGTTAATTTTTGTGTATAGTATGAGGTGTGAGTTGAAGTTGATTTTCTTTGCCTGTGGGTAGCCAGTTGTCTCAACACCATATGTTGAAGAGACTGTTCTATCCCTGCTGATTTACCATGGTCCCTTTGTCAAAAATCAATTTACCATATGTGAGTGGGTCTATTTCTGGGCTCTCTAGTCTGTTTCACTGATTTATATGTCTCTTCTTAACACCAGTACCATGCTGTCTTAATTACTGTTGCCTTGTAGTAAGTCTCAGTCATATAGTATAAATCCTCCAATTTTGTTCTTTTTTCAAAGTTGTTTTGGCTATTCTAAGTACTTTCATTTCCATATTAATTTTAGAATCAGCTTGTCATTTTCTACAAAAAACTTGTTTACTGGTTTTTTGTTTTTTGAGGCTGAACATTGTTGATGACTTGGATTTTATCTTTTGTATCAGCAGGCAGTTCGTGTTTTTACATATTTTTAGGGCATAGCTGGCATAGTCTTTACTCTAGAGTTAGCTTAGCCCAATTACTAAATTAGGATTCTTTACTGATTGACTTGCATATTCAATGAGATCTCTACTTTGGCTTATAAGGACTCCATTGACTCCCAGCCCTGTGTGAGCTCTGCGTTTTTCAGCTTGTAGCTGCTGTAATTGTTCTTCGTAGTGACTATGGCATTGTGAAAGTCACCCAATACATGTGTAGTGAATACTCAGTCAGTGACTCAAGGCAGCTCCATGTAGATTTCTGGAGTTCTTTTGCTGCTTATCTCTACCTCACAAATTCCGGCTGCCCCAGCCTGCCCGAATTCCTCTGACGTTTGCCTCCTCTGCTCGGTGAAACTACCATTCTCCTCTTGAGTTCTGTTCTCTGCTACATGGTTTGGAAATTGTCTGTGGGTAGAAAGCTAGGTGAATGTAGGGTTCACTTTGTTTTGTTTTTTTCTTTCAGTTATCACAGTCCTGTAGTCTGTTGTCCCAATATCTGAAAATAGTTGTTTTATATATTCAGTTTGTTCTTTCATGGCTAGAAGCAGAAGTCTGGAAAATAGATTTTTAAGTAAATAGCATGGGGACAATTACATAGCTGTTTGGAAAAAGTTAGAATACCATACATATGAATCAACTAATGGGGCAGACATCTAAATGTCAAAAATGAAACGATACAAACACTAAGAAACCTGGATAAATTCTTATATAACCTAGGTGTGGGGAAAGTGTGCCTAAGTAAGGACCCTGAATTCCAGAGACAATAAAATCAAAGATTGATAAAGGATCGTTTGAGGCCTGGAGTTCCAGACCAGCTTGGGCAACATAGCAAGATCCTGTCTCTACAAAAAATAAAAATAAAAGTGGCCGGGCATGGCACATGCCTGTAGTCCTAGCTACTTGGAAGGTTGAGGTAGTAGGATCACTTACCCAGTTGTTTGAGGCTGCAGTACAACACATCAGCCTGTGTGACAAAGTGAGACCCTGTCTTTACACAAAAAAAAAAAAAAAAAGGAGGGGGAATAAGAGGCCAAAAATCAGAGAGAAAAATGAGCAAAAGCATGAGAGACAATTTAAAAAAAAAAGAAAAGATGGCCTTTAAACATGAGAAGATGTTCAACCTCAATAATTAGAGAAATACAAATTAAATATACTGAACATACCATTACTTATCTGCAGGGGGGCCAAATTAAACAGTGTGACAGCGCATTCTGTTGGCAACACTGTATACCCTCATACATTTCTGATGGGACTGCAAATTGTTATAATCTTTATAGAGAGGAATTTGCTGCCTTGTAGCAAAACTGCCGTATATTTGCTTTTTAATCCATCAGTCCCACTTATAGGAATTTATCTTAAAAGTATAACTCTAACAGTATGAAAAAATGTATGCATAGAGTTATTTACTGCAGTGTTGTTTGCACTTGGAAAATGTTGGGAACACACTTTCCCAACGTAAAGTAGTTGAACGACCTATGGTGCATCCACACAATGGAGCACTATACAGCTGTTTTGTAATTTTTATTTTTAAATAGACTTTGTTTTTTTAGAACAGTTTTAGATTTACAGAGAAATTGTGAATGCAGTACAGGGAGTTCCCATATACCTCACATCTAGTGTCCCTTATTATTAACATCTTACATTGATAAGGTGTTTGTTACAGTTAATAAACCAATATTGATACATGATCGTTATTTAAAGTCCATGCTTACTCAGATTGCTTCAGGTTAGTGTTTACCTAATGTCTTTTCTCTGTTACAGGATTCCGTCCAGGATACACATTACACTTAGTTCTTGTCACTCTTTAGGCTCCTGTTATCTGTGACATTTTCTTTGTTTTTGATGACCCGAAAAGGTTTGAGGCATAATGGCCAGGTATTTGGTAGAATGCTCCTCTGTTTGAATTTGTCTTGTTTTCCTCATAATTGGATTGGGATCATGTGTTTTCGGATGAAGACCACAGAGGTAAAGTACATTTTCATCAAGGCTGCATACTACAACATAATTTATCACTGTTAATGTTGACGTTGATCACCTGGCTGAGATACGTGTTAGGTTTCTGTACCTTTTTTTTTTTTGGAGACAGGGTCCACTATGTCTTCCAGGCTGGAGTGCAGTAGTGTCATTTTGGCTTACTGCAGCTTCAACCTCCTGGGCCTGGGTGATCCTCTCATCTCACCCTCCCGAGTAGCTGGGACTACAGGCCACGTCACCATGCTCGAATAATTTTTTGTATTTGTATATTTGTAGAGAACGGGTTTTCGCCATGTTGCTCAGGCTGGTCTTGAACTCCTGGGCTCAAGCAATCTGTCTGCCTTAGCCTACCAAAGTGCTGGTATTACAGATGTGAGCTATTGCACGTGGCTAGGTTTCTCTGCTTTGAAGTTACTCTTTTTCTCCCTTTTCATAACTCTTTGGAAGGAAGTCACTGTGTGCAGCCTACACGTAAGGACTGGGAAGTTACCCTGTTCCTCCAAGGTGGTGGAGTATCTACATAATCTTGTGGAATTCTGTTCTGGAGAGTTGCCTGTTCTCCCCCATTTATTTACTTATGTCAGTATGGACTCATGTATATTTACTTTATACCTTGGGTTATAATCCAATACTACTTTGTTTTGTTGCTCAAATTGTTCCAGCTTTGGCCACTGAGAGTCTTTCAGTTGGCAGTGCAGCTGTTAAAAAAAAAAAAAAAAGCCAGGCTTGGTGGCTCAGTCCTGTAATCCCAGCACTTTGGGAGTCTGAGGCGGGAGGATTGCTTGAGCCCAGGAGTTCAAGACCTACATGGGCAACATAGTGAGACACCTGTTTCTAGAAAAAATTAAAAAAAATTATGTCACTAGATGACACATGCCTGTAGTCCCAGCTCCTCAGGAGGCTGAGGTTGAGGTGGGAGGATCACTTGAGCCTGGGAGGTCAAGGCTGCAGTAAGTCATGATTGTGCCACTGCATTCCAGCCTGGGTGACAGAGTAAGACCCTGCCTCTGAAAAGAAGAAAAAAAAATTTCTTTGAACCAACATGTAATGACTTCCAGGATATATTTCGTGAAGAAGTCAAAGGACAAAACAGTATTTATAGTATCCTAGCGTTTGTATAAAAAAGGAGGAGAAGATAGCAAAACATATTTGTATCTCTTCATTTGTGCAAAAAGAAACAAGATAACCAGAAGCTAATGAGATTGATTACGTTCTGAGAGGTTGGTAGGAGCAAAGCAGAGAGAGTGGAGGAGTGACACTTTTACAAAATCTTTTGGCCGGTGGCGGTGGCTCATGCCTGTAATCCCAGCACTTTGGGAGGCCATGGCGGGCAGATCACTTGAGTCCAGGAGTTTGAGACCAGCCTGGCCAACATCACAAAACTTCATCTCTACCAAAAATAAAAAATTAGCTGTGCGTGGTGGCGGACCCCTGTAATCCCAGCTACTCAGGAGGCTGAGGCAGGAGAATCACTTGAACCTGGGAGACAGAGGTTGCAGTGAGCTGAGACTGTGTCACTGGACGCTAGCCTGGGTGACAGAGTGAGACTGTGTCTCAAAAAACAACAGAAAAAAATTATATGTTTTGTATAATTCATGCTGTTTGAACTTTGTTAATGTTTCATATACTCAAAAAAAGGGGAGGGAATGAAAAAAAGGATGAGCAGAGTTGGGAAGAAAACTCAAAAATGGAATACAAGCAAAACCAAACAAACTTACTTGAAATGAGTCATCTAATTACACTAAAGAAAAAAATGAACTAACCCAAGTAATTTGAACGTAGGCTAAAGACAAAGTAGAGCTGTTGTTAGTAGTATGGATTTTGCAGCAGTGTGGATTGGCAGTTCTGACACTGGCTTCTATGTATTCTGTGTATTCCAAGACTGAGCAAATAAGTAAACATATTGTAGACGAAAAGAGACAGGTTTCTTACTGTCATAAATATAGAAGTGGAAAGACTAGGATGTATCCTGTGATGTTGGATTGGAATTAGAGGTATCAGTGTGAACTCATGGTTTTCAATATATATAAGATGTAGAATAGATAATGTGTGTCTATGTTTGTTTCATGTATATATTCAATATATGTTTTCCTGTAGCAATGAGCATACGTAACGCCCAGATTTTGTTTTTTAAATACCGCTCTTCCGTAAACAGAAACAGGGATCCTTGGAGAAATGACTGATTGTAGGGCTAGGGCTGGGAAAGAACAAGAAGAACCTGCAACATCTTGTACCAGAAAGTATGACATTTATCAAAGAATGATAGGGACTGTTAAAAGGACAGGGGCTAGCTTGAAGGGATTCCCACTGGCCAAAAATGGGGCAGAGCATCAAAGTAATGAAAATAATATAATCAATTGAATAAGGATCCATGAGTCCAAACTCATATAAATATATAAATGGATGAGAAGGGAAAGTTTCCCTTACAGTAGAATGCCAACTAAAATATAAGAGGAGTGCTAGAATTAGAAAATCACTTTTTGTTAACTGTTGTAGTAGTAATTGATTTAGTCAGTAATCATTAATAGATCCTCATACTAGTGGGTGAAAAGTTTGAGGAAATAATTGGATAGTTAAATGGTCTCAAAGTGTGTCCCCATAATAATTAGAGAGGAAAAACGAATACGGTGTAGAAACTTGGCAGGTAGCTTCTTACCTAGGTAATAAAAGTTAACATCAATAATGGGACAAATTGCCATGTGCCTCTTGATGTGATACACTGAAGACACAACATCACTTCTAGGGTATTCCTGCCAAAAAGTCACGACCTGAATCGAGTTGTGAAGAAACACCAGACAAACCCACGTGGGGGAGCATTTTGCAAAATAACTGGCCTGTACTCTTTAAAATGTTAAGGTAATGAAAGAAAAAAGAGACAAGCTGTTTCAAATAAAGATTAAAGATAAGAAAAATATTGTTTAGAGTTGGAAAAAAAAAAGACTAAAAAGACGTGACAACTAAATGCAATGGCAATCCTGGATCGGGAAAAAAAACCCACCCAACTTTTTTTGCCTTTTGCATGAATGATATTATTAGGCAAATTGGTGAAATTTGAATAAGGTCTATAAATTAGATACTAGTGTTAATGTTAATTTCCTAATTTTGGTAATCGTATGGAGACTTAAATTTAAGTCCTTGTTTTTTTTAGGAAACGTGCATCATATCTGCAACTTACTCGGTTCAGAAGAAAAGCTCGGGTGTATATGTAAGAGCTAGAAGGATAAAGCAAATTTGGTGAAATGTTACTATTTGGAAATTCTTTGTACTGTTCTTGGAACTTTTCTTCAAGTTTGAAATTGACAAATGTTTTTAAAGACATCTGCTGTCATCAAGAAATACTTTACCTAACTGATCTTTCTGAAGACTTGCACTTTTTAAGTGTTAAATTGAGCCCAGGAGTTTGAGTGTATAGTGAGCTATGATGTCACTCCGGCACTTCAGCCTGGGCAACGGAGTGAGACCATGTCTCTCAACAGCAACACCACCACCACTTAGTGACTTAAAACAACCATAATTCTGCAGGTCTATATCTGGGGGGGAAAAGTTAATTAAAAGTTTATCGGGAGGATGTCTCACTCTGTCACCCAGGCTCGAGTGCGGTGGCACAATCAAAGTTCACAGCAGCCTTGAACTCCTGGGCTCAAGTGATCCTTCTGCCTCATCCTCCTGAGCAGATGGGAGTACAGGTGTGTGCCATCATGCCTGGCTAATTCAATTTTTTTTTTTTTTCCTCCTAGAGACAGGCTCTCCTGTGTTGCCCAGGCTCATCTCAAACTCCTGGCTTCAAGCTGTCCTCCTACCTTGGCCTCCCAAAGTGCTGGGATTACAGGCATGAGCCACTGTGCCTGGCCTGATCCCAGTTATTTAATTAATAAATCGAGTGAATTATATTACCTAAGATGTCTTCTAGCCCTGAGTTTGTGTAATTCTGTTTTAGTCTTTTTTGTTGATTAGTCTTCCTGAATACCCCTGTCTGTGCTGGAATGCTGCAGTGCTCTCCAACCTGCTTGAAGTGCATGAGTGTTTTATCTCCAAATAGCCTACCTTGCTGTGCTTTTATCATTCTTTCCGTGCTTTTATAGTTCTGCTGTGATCTTTGCAGGCAAGTGTTATTTCCACAGCTTTCAGGTGTCTGTGGGTGGCTTCTGATCTACTGGCCTATTTTGCCTAAATTTGTCAGCAAGACTTAGATATTCTTTGCATCTGAAGGTAAAATACAGAATTTAGAACAGCTTATTTCGTCAAAGCTACTTGGAAATCCTTGTGTATTTTTTCTGATTTATAAAAGTAATATGTAAATAATACATATCATTTTAGATAGTGTTAAAAAAGTAGGAAAGTATAAAGCAAACAAAAATTACCTTTTGTTCAACCATCCAGAGATAAACTCACTAAGTACTGGGTTTTTCCACCATTTAAAAATTTTTGTATTTTCCCTTTTTCTCTTCTTCTTATTAGCATTTTGAAATGCCCACTTTTTTTCCATCGTGAGAAAATAAATACATAAGATTCCTTCCCATAATCCCAGCCTTCTGGTATCTTGTGTTAGCGTCCCTTTCAGAGCTATTGAAAGAATACTGCTTTCTTCTTTCAGGTTGGCTTCTACCCTCACTAGGGTCCCAAAACTTTCAAGATCACTAATGACTGCACTACTGGCAAATTTGGTGGATGTTTTCAGTAGTTACCTCACTTTTCTCCCAGCAGCAATTGATTCCCTCTCAAAACACTCTTCCACAGGCTTCTACCATAACTTTCTCTTCCCTGGTTTTCCTTAAGTTTTTTTGGCCACTCTTCAGGATACCCTAGGCTACACCTTCCTGCAAAAAATCATTCGCTTTCCTGGTTTCAGTAACTCCCAAATCTGTATCTCTGGCTCAGATTTTCTCTGAGTTCCAGGTTTATCTCAGCTAGATAGTGGACTTAACTGTTCCACCAATAAACTCAACATGTCCAGATACAAATTTATCTTATCTCTTTTTAAAACTTCCACTGTCATTCTTGGCTGAAAGCCAGTGTCATCTTTAATTCCTCCATCTGCCTCACCTCTTCCTGTGAGTCCTTACCAGGGCTGTGTGTTCTCTGCCGAATCTCTCTTGAACCATTGTTCTCCTTTGCCAGTGCCACTGCCATAGTCCATGGCAACACTTTTATTGGGGCCACCTGTAAAGGACTTCTATCTGGTCTCCTGGCGGTTTTGTTTTCTTTTTTGTTTAAATCAATTTTCCACCCTGGATTTAGAGTGATCTTTCAAAAATAAGTTTAATCATTGTTACCTTTTTTTTTTTCTTTTGAGACGGAGTTTCACTCTGTCGCCCAGGCTGGAGTGCAGTGGTACAATCTCAGCTCACTGTAGCTGTTAGGAATCTGCATTTTATTTATTTATTTAGTTAGTTTTGAGGCAGAGTTTCTCTCTGTCGCCCAGGCTGGAGTGTAGTGGCATGATCTTGGCTCACTACAACTTCCGTCTCTCCGGTTCAAGCGATTCTCCTGCCTCAGCCTCACGAGTAGCTGGGATTACAGGTACCAGGCCATTATGCCTGGCTAATTTTTGTATTTTTAGTAGAGATGGGGTTTCACCATGTTAGCCCAGGCTGGCCTCAAACTCCTGACCTCAGGTGATCCGCCCGCCTGGGCCTCCCAAAGTGCTGGAATTACAGGCATGAGCCACCGCACCTGGCTCATTGTCACCTTTTTAATAGATCCTTTTGCCTATACAATGCGTTATAAATGTCTTGCCTTGTGTTTCAAGTCCTTAATGAAACTCATCCTTGAGTAGCTGTTAGTCTTCACCACTCTCCCACAGCTCCTTCCCCTTCATTCCTGTGGTTTTTTTTTTTTTTTTTGCAGGTATATGGGAGAATGATATTTCTGTCTTCCAAGCCTTGATTTTTCCTTTGCTGAGCTTAGTGCATTCCTCCTGGCTCCACTTACTGTTTGCTAAACCAGGTCTTATCATCCTTCAGGTTTTCTTCAGCTTAGTTGGTCGTTTCCTTTTCCCTTTCCTGGCCTAGATTCTCCTGGTGCAGTCACTCTGTTTGAGTAGCATCATACATAACAGCTTTTCTCCTTCGTGGCAGTTCTCACACTTTTTGGTCTCAGGACTCTTTTGCACTCTTTTAACATTATTTAGGATTCTAGGGAGCTATTGTTTATGTGGGTGATATCTACAATATTTATTGGATTAGAAATGAAGGCTGAGAAATGAAGAAAAAATTATTTTAAAATTACAATGATAAATTATAATTTTACATGTTAAGATGACATGTTAGCATAGTTATTTTTCACGAAAATCTTATTTTTCAAACCAGAAAAAAGCGAAAAGAATTGCATTGCTTTTCATTTTTTAAATGTCTGAATTAATAAAATATACCTGAATTCTCATGTCTGCCTCTACATTCAATCTGTTGTGATGTTAGACTTCATGTAGCCCCGGGAAAACTCCGCTATACCCTTGTGGGAGGATGAAAATGAACAAAACAAATGTTTTTGTATTATTGAGAAGATAGTTTTGACCTTGTACCTTCCCTGAAAAGGTCTCAGGAACCCCTCGGTGTCTCTGGACTGCACTTTGAGAACCACTGCTTTATGGCAGTGACTTCTTATTTGCCTCTTTCCCTCTGACTATGTACTGTGAGAGTAGGACCCAGATCCACCTTGCTCACTTCTGTGTCCCTGGTACCTGGGACATTGTTCTTTATGTAAAAGGTTCGCAGATATCTGTTGATTCACTTATTCAATCAGTTACTCGGTTGGTTTGGTTCTCAAGAAATTGACACCAGGCACTAGAGACTCAGTCCATGTAAGTATAAGAAAATTGTAGCCTGTGGGCATTTCTTCTACCAATTTCTCTGGGGCACTTGGGTCTAATATTTTTCATGTAACATCACAAGAGTATAATTCTCATTTTACCTTAGTTAATATTGAGGTAAAAGGAAGCATATAAATTAGTTTTTGTCATGGATTTTTGAATTAAGATGTACATATGTGGAATGATATGAATAAATGTCAACTATGTAATATTGCCTCACATTTGAAAAGTCTACTTGACTTGAAGGCATGAAAATGCATTGTCATGTTTATTTGTTGTCAAGGAAGTAGTAGTATAGTAAAATACACAGGAAATATTTATTCTTTGGGAATGATAGAGGAAAGAAAAAAGTAAAATAAAAATTAAGTACAAAAAGTTTTTTTAATTAAAAAATTTATTCTGGAAAGGTCATTAGGTAACAAATAGGAGACTTTAGTCTATGTTAAATGCTTTCTGGAAAAACTGACCACTTATTCAGTGTGGAATTGAAACGTACGTTTAAAATGGTGGTGAAGCAGGAAAAAAAGAAATAGCATGAGGCATAGCTTATTAATTATGTGTTGTCTGGTTTCCATGAAAGCCTTAATTAGAACGAAAAGGAAAAGATGTGCTTATTATTACAACTACCAAGTTCAGCATTTATGACCTGTCATTATAAAACAGATCACCATGCTGTCTGACCCACCCTTGAAAATCGTGAAGTGCAAACACACTAATTATGTTCCTACTGAAATTCAGGTTCTTAACTTCAGGCTTCAGCTTAACCTGCTTTAGAGCACGCATACTTTTTGCCACGATAATACTCATAGGACTAGAAACAACTAGGAGATGTTATTTTATTTTTTAAATCAGACTGAACTTCAGGCAGATTTCCTTATATTGTAAATTAGTGGCTTATTTATATGACCTTTATAGGGCATCTAATGATAGTGGGTTTTTTTTTCTTTTTTTTTTTGAGATGGAGTTTCGCTCTTGTTGCCCAGGCTGGAGTGCAATGGTGCGATCTCAGCTCACCGCAACCTCCACCTCCCAGGTTCAAGCAGTTCTCCTGCCTCAGCCTCCAGAGTAGTTGGGATTACAGGCATATGCCACCATGCCTGGCTAATTTTGTATTTTTAGTAGAGATGGGATTTCTCCATGTCGGTCAGGCTGGTCTCAAGCTCCTGACCTGAGGTGATCCGCCCACCTTGGCCTCCCAAAGTGCTGAGATTATAGGCGTGAGCCACTGCGCGCATCTGTGTTACTTATTTGATGTATTTTGGTGACATTTTGAATGGGGGCAAATGAGAAAAGGGCTCTGGCACTAAGCATTTATTAGATAACTCTTTTACAGGACAGTGTTTGGTAGTGAAGTTACTCTGCCCATGGCAGTGTGGCCATGCTGCAGCTTGACACCACTCCCTGTAATAGAGAATGGATTGTGCTGTGATTTTAACATTTCCCTTAAGAAAAGGGTGTTAGGTTATGATAAAACTTTTATACTGTCTTTGTGAGGTTTTGGTGAGTTAGTAAGTAGGCTTCCCTATCATTAAGAAAAAGTCTTTAAATCTTTGTTTCTACTTGCAGAACATTTATTCCTTCTTTGTAAGAAGAACCAGGATAATTTGTTCATTTGTATAGTTGATCCTTGAACAGCTTGGAAGTTCGGGGCACTGACCCCCATGCAGTTGAAAGTCCACATATAACTTTTTGACTCCCCAAAAACTTGTCTGAGAGTTTCCTGTTGTCTGAAAGCCTTACTGATAGCATAAATAGGTGATTAACACATGTTTTGTATGTTATATGTATTATATATTGTATTCATGCAATAAAGTAGGCTAGAGAAAAAATAAGGAAGAGAAAATACATTTATGGTATGGTATTGTATTTATTGATATTGTAAGTTTACATCATCTGTTTACAAGATGATGTATGTCAGTCCGAAATGGTAGGTAACCACAGCTGCAGACCTCAATCTACAGTACATTTCAAGTAGTTCAACTTTTTCCTGTAATGTCATTACTTTTCTCTGCTTCTTGGGAGCACTTCCAGCATTACTAGTGGCACTTCGTATGGGTCCCATGGTGTTATTCAAGTTTTATGGTTATTACAGTAAACATGACTTGCTTACTGTGTATGTTATTGGTATCACAGGGTGTTATAAGTGGATAATTGTAGTGTCTGAGCCCAGTGTAATAGCAATAGGAGGTGACTTCAGAATTATTACGGCAGTACAGTATATACCGCAGTTAATTTTATGTAGTTGTGATTTGATATATCTTTATGTTTGCTTACAATTCTCTCAAATTTGAATGATGCTATTTATGTTCTGTGTGTGTGTTAGTTTTGATAAATTTTATCTTTTTAAAATTTGTATATGTTTTATGGTAGTAAATGACAAAATAGACTAGTATTCACTTTTTTTTTTTTTTTTTTTTTTTTTCCTGAGACGGAGTTTCACTCCGTCGCCCAGGCTGGAGTAGTGCAGGGGCGCGATCTCGACTCACTACATCCTCCGCCTCCTGGGTTTAAGCAGTTCTCCTGCCTCAGCCTCCCAAGTAGCTGAGATTACAGGCGCCCACCACCACGCCTGGCTAATTTTTTGTGTACTTTTAGTAGAGATGAGGTTTCACCATTTTGGCCAGGCCGATCTTGACGCCTGACCTCGTGATCCACCCACCCGTCTTGGCCTCCCAAAGTGCTGGAATTTACAGTTGTGAGCTACCGTGCCCGGCCAGTATTTACATGTTTTACACATTTATGCCGTATCTTTCTCTTAAATTTTTTTGATATTTCTAGGCTATGGTAGTTCATCTGTGAGGTTTTTTTTAATTGTTCCAAATGTTCAAAAATGTTTTCAATATATTTATTGAAAGAAAATCCAGGTATAAGTGGACTCATGCAGTTCAAATCCATGTTGTTCAAGGGCCAACTGTGTTTTATACATGTGATTTAACTATTACTTGTTTATTAACAAAGTGACACTGTAAACTCATGTCTGTGGCAGTATTTAAATTTTATGTGCCCCAAACCTTGGCATATTATGGGATGAAATATTTTACTCCTTTTCTTCCTTTTAGCACAACATTCTGAAATTTTTTGGTTATTGTAATGATGTTGATCGGGAGTTGAGAAAATGCCTGAAGAATGAGGTAAGAAAAGTGTCAAAGGATGGATATGGTTGAACAATAGAACAGAACATTTTTGAATATTGTGTATTACTGCCATTATTGAATTTTTCCCACATTTTAGTGTAACAGAAAATTGACTTTACATGTATGAACTTCCTCTGTTTAGGGGAAGAAATGAAAGCTTTTCTGGGGACAGTTTTAGAACATGGCTTTTTGGCCATGAACACAAATGAGGAAAACAACTTCCTTATGATGATTACTGTAGGTCATCTGGATGAATTTAATGGTTTAGGAAGTTGTATCTCTGGCCGGCAGAAAGACTTATATCAGTCACCTATTAGCTGATTGGTAGGTAACTAAAACTCTCAGGGCCTCAATTTCTATATATAAATTGAGGAGGCTAGAATTAGGCTGTTTTCAGCTTTAACATTTTGAATTTCTTTGTAGTTATGGTTTGTGTAAGCCACAGGGATCTAATTTGACTTGTTTTGGAACACTGTCATCTCCTGAACTTGATTTTAGGGCACAACTTGGACTTGGGCAAATAGCCACAGTACACAGTTCATTGTCTTTTTCCAGGCACTGCCAAATAAGCAGAGTGCATTTTAAACCTTTGAAAAGAAATTTGATTCAATTTCTGTTTCATACATCAGATTTTTTGTGTCCAGAACTTTTAAAAATATATGATGGCTAAAATTTTGCCTTTCAGATATCATTTTTGTTATTTTTGAACTTTTTTTTTTTTTTGCCTCATATTGAAAGATTTAAATATAATATTTGAAGTTGTCCAACATCTTTCTTTTGATTTTGTTTTCTGCTTAGGCTGTTTTTCCCTTCCTGGATTCCCTTTAAATTGTGACATTCACCTTTACTGTTTGAAGAACTTTTTGGAGTACTCAGTGAAGAGTAATAGTTTGTTTCTTTTTTTCTTTTTTCTTTTGAGACAGGTTCTTGCTCTGTCACCTAAGCTGGAGTGCAGTAGGGTGATCGTAACTCACGGAAGCCTCAAACTCAAGTGATCCTCCCACCTCAGCCTCCTGAGTAGCTAGGACGACAGGTGCGTACCACCATGCCTGGTTAAGGTTTTACACATTTTTTTGTAGAGATGAGAGTCTCACTGTTTTGGCCAGGCTGGTCTCAAACTGCTAACCTCAAGCAGTCCTCCCACCTTGGCCTCCCAAAGTGCTGGGACTACAGACATGAGTCACCATTCCCAGCCTTATTAGTGTTTTTAAATTATTTACTAAAAATGTTTGTCCTTTATATGAAAAAGCCAGTTTACATGAAAAATACACCTAGGGTGAGTCCTCCCACCTTGGCCTCCCAAAGTGCTGGGACTACAGACATGAGTCACCATTCCCAGCCTTATTAGTGTTTTTAAATTATTTACTAAAAATGTTTGTCCTTTATATGAAAAAGCCAGTTTACATGAAAAATACACCTAGGGTGAGTCCTCCCACCTTGGCCTCCCAAAGTGCTGGGACTACAGACATGAGTCACCATTCCCAGCCTTATTAGTGTTTTTAAATTATTTACTAAAAATGTTTGTCCTTTATATGAAAAAGCCAGTTTACATGAAAAATACACCTAGGGTGATGTTTCTTTAATAGTAAACTTGTGAGCTGGCATCTGTAATCCCAGCTATTCGGGAGGCTGAGGCAGGAGGATCCTTTGAGGTGAAAGCTTTGAGGCCAACTTGGGCAACATAGTGAGACCCTGTCTCAAAGAAATCTCTTAAAATTTAGCCAAGTGTGGTGGCACAGACCTGTGGTCCCAGCTACTTGGGAGGCTGAGGCGGGAGGATCGCTTGAGCCCAGGAGTTCATGGCTGCAGTGAGCTATCTAGGTCGCCACAGTGCTTCAGTCTGGGTGACAGAGTGAGACCCTATCTCTAAAAAATAATATTGGCCGGGTGTGGTGGCCCACGCCTATAATCCCAGCATTCTGAGAGGCCAAGACAGGCGGATCACCTGAGGTCAGGAGTTTGAGACCAGCCTAGCCAACATGGTGAAACCCAGCTCTACTGAAAGTACAAAAAAATTAGCCAGGCATGGTGGCGGGCGCCTGTAGTTCCAGCTACTCGGGAGGCTGAGGCAGGAGAATAACTTGAGCCTGGGAGACGGAGGTTGCGGTGAGCCCAGATCACATTACTGCATTCTAGCCTGGGTGACAGAGTGAGAGACTCTGTCTCTAAATAAATTAAAAAAAAATAAAATAAAAAATAAATAAAATAAATAGCTTATGGAAAAATATAGCTCATATTATTTTATTCAGTATGGCTATTTGTTTTTTACATACTTTCAGCTGTATAACATAGGTTTTTTTCATGTTTTTAAATTTTTTTCCTGTATAGTTCAGAAATTTTGCCACTGCTTTGTCAATTAGATCTTCATATGAAATTGTCTTCTCAGCTGGCCTGAGATCTGTTAGTGACTTTTTGGTAGACCGTTGGAGATATTTTTCTTATTTTGTCTGAGTTTGTTTTCCTATACATCTCATGTTTTCTCTTTGAATTCTTTTCTAAGTCCTCTGTGTAGTTATGTTACTTTATTCTCTAATTTGTAGATGTTTATTCTCTAATTTGTAGATGTTTTTCTGTCTGCTTGCCCATCACTAATCTCTGAGTCTGCACTCATGTATTTCTTCTCTACTCTTAATGCTTGCTTCAGATGCTTTCCTGCTACTGTTTGCTTCATATGTCATCTGATTACTTCATTCCATGAAGCTTTTTTATTTTTTTATTTTTTTTGCCAGAGTCTCACTCTGTCACCCAGGCTGGAGTGCAGTGGCGCAATCTCAGCCCACTGCAAGCTCCTCCTCCCGGGTTCACGCCATTCTCCTGCCTCAGCCTCCTGAGTAACTGGGACTACAGGTGCCCACCACCACGCCCAGCTAATTTTTTGTATTTTTAGTAGAGACGGGGCTTCACCGTGTTAGCTAGGATGGTCTTGATCTTCTGAGCTTGTTATCCGCCCGCCTTGGCCTCCTAAAGTGCTGGGGTTACAGGCGTGAGCCACTGCGCCCAGCCTCCATGAAGCTTTTAAGTAGAAAAAGGGTATGGCCATTTCTTGTTGGGACTCCGCTGTGTCACTCCTTTTATTCTTTTTTTTTTTCTTTTTTTTAGAGAGATGGAGTCTTGTTGTGTTGCCCAGGGTGGTCTCAGACTCCTGGGCTCAAGGAGTTCTCCCATCTTGGCCTCCCAAAGTTTTGGATTACAGGTGTGAGCCACTGCACCTGGCCTTTTGTTCTTCTTCTTGAAAAGAAACACTAATAGTACTTTTGTGGCATTCTCTTTTGTCCCTCTTAATTGTTTTGTTTGGTTTGGGGTTAATTGGCCTTTCATTCTGTCTGTATTGTTTGATTGAGTTTTGTGAGTAACTTCATATTCATCCTTTTCTCCCCTTTTATTCAGGGACCATCTGGACTTCCTTTGGAGATGTCTTAGCATATTTTAATGTAGACTATATTTTAATTTGCTTTGTAACTTATTTTATTGGCCTGCTACAAAGTATTATCTTCTGAAGAGTTTCCCTTAAGACCCTTCTCAACCTGATTGCTGGGGGCAATCCAGTAGACGTGATTAAAGGTAGATATGAAAGCTTTTTCTCAGAGCAGGTATCCTTCCTTGTTCTAGAATACGTTTTATTGATTTTTTCCCCAACAATTTTATGAGTAAATTTAATGTATGATAGATAAAATGAATGACTTTGAAGGGACCTGGTGCTTCATGTGTAATTTAAAGTAGCTTTTTTTTTGAGACGAAGTCTCACTCTTGTCACCCAGGCTGGAGTGCTGTGGTGCGATCTCGGCTCACTGCAACCTCCTCCTTCTGGATTCAAGTGATTCTCCTGCCTCAGCCTCCTGAATAGCTGGAATTACAGGTGCATGCCACCATGCCCTGCTAATTTTTGTATTTTCAGTAGAGACGGGGTTTCACCATGTTGGCCAGGCTGGTCCCTAACTCCTGACCTCAGGTGATCTGCTCGCCTCAGCCTCCCAAAGTGCTGGGATTATAAGCATGAGTCACCGCACCCGGCCTGAAGTAGCCTTTTGACAAGGAAGTAATAAAAAGTTTGAAAACTACCATTCCAGAAGATATGTTAGAATCCTTCAGTCAAAACTTTTGACCTAGAAAACTTCTTAAAGATTATCTAGCCCACCTCCTTATATTTGAAGTTACTGGTCCAGAAGAGTGAAGTAACTCAAAGTCATGAATCCCCTCATTACTCTCTCTTGGGTGGCGGGGTTTGTCCCTGATGAGCTCGGTATCACTAATCTTTAATTTCTGTGGCCTCGCTCTCCAGATCTGTGGCTCCTAAAAGATTCTGATGTTTAACTGTTCACATGTTTTCAGTTTTTTCTGTTTGAATTTACTTTTACCCTTTTCCCCTTCTGCCCAGGGGAAAACACACTCATCCACCTTTAAAGTGTGTTGGATTGGTGTATGTATTATAAGCATGTACATATATACATATAAAAACACTTTTAAGGTCCTCTGCTTTAAATGTAGGTTAACTATTTAAGAAAATCTAAGTGCCAGGCTTTGTGTCTCCTGTTGTAACCTGCTGGCCAGATCAGAATACTAGGCTGAAAACCTCTTGAGGTGAAAACTGTGTTTATATGTAGCTGATTAAGAAACATAGGATTTGAGGAGTATCAGGTTTGTTAACTGTTCGTGATGAAGAAACCTTGGGAAGTTGAGCTATGTATTTCCATATGAGTCAATAGGATAATATGGTTGCTAAGAGCTAGTTACTCTTGATAATGTCTAAAGAAATACAATGTGAGCTGGTCTAAGATGTAGGCCCACTGTAGTCTATGTCTGTCATTGTGACTGGAGCACTGTATTCAATTTTGGTTGTGATTTTTTTTTTTGGTAAGGGGCATTAATGTTAAAGTGCTTTATGAAATAAAAGTCATTTTATAGGTTAGATATTAAAAGATGGAGGCTGTGTTCTGTGCAGCAGTTGTGGAAACTAGCAATGTTCAGCGCAAAAGGTAGTAAGTGGGTTATCTGTAATTAAATGTTTGAAAATTATAGCAGACAAGAAGAAATAAAAGGTGGTAGTTGACAAGGCAGCACTTTTGGTTTAAAATGAAAAACTTTGGAACGAGTAGAATTGTCCAACAGTTAGACAGGCTACCTCTCAAGGAGTTTACAGGGAAGCACTTTTGGTTTAAAATGAAAAACTTGGGAATGAGTAGAATTGTCCCAACAGTTAGACAGGCTACCTCTCAAGGAAGTGAGCCTCTCCACTAGAGGTACTCAGCAGAAGTTAGAGGACTAGTTAGACTGCAAGCCCCTGGAGAACATGGACAGAATTTGCCCATCTTCAGTACTTATTTAATTCAAATTTTGGGAGGAAATTGATTGAGCAAACATTTGTGCATCTATTAGCATGTAGATGCTGTACTGTATTGAATGAAATTGTGCTAGATATGAGATACTCTCTAAGGTAACTATTTCCAATCTCAGATTTGGTTAAATAAAAGATAAGAATTTTGTCAGTAAGAACATGTTTAAAAAATTTAAACCCTGTTAACCTCAAAGGACATTTATATTTTGCAAATATTTCTAAATAGTAAACTGCTATAAATAGTGACATAATCTGCTGTTTCTTTTCTCCCCCCCTTCTTTTATTTTTCAGTACGTAGAAAACAGGACCAAGAGCAGGGAGCATGGCATTGCAATGCGAAAGAAACTTTTTAATCCTCCAGAGGAATCCGAAAAATAAATTGTATTTTCACTCGATGCCTTGGCTGAGAGAAGACCTAAAGACTCTGGGTTGATACCTGAAAGAATCCTGTCTTATTTGGTCTCCATAATCCTTTGAATGGAAAGTGACCTGTGAGAGATTGAACCATGGAGAAATATGAAAACCCTGGATTCTGAGTATTTGTTGGGCAGGGCGTTTAGTACTGTCTCCCCTTTACCAGCAAACCTGACTTCACCATGTTTATTCCCTTTGCCTACAACCAGTTAATATCTGAGTAACTTATCTCCTTCAATAAAATAATTTAAATAATTTTTTTCTCCTTTCTCTTAGATTCTTTTGGCATTAGAGGAAAATGTTGCCATTAGGCTTTTTCTTTTTGACAACATGATGTTGAAGAATTCTGGGGAAATCCCAGCAGTGTTAACTATTTGAAAATGTTGCAACTTTATTGTTTTTAAAGAGTGATTTTCTAAATGATTAAAAAAAATTTTTTTTTTGAGACATAGTGTTACTTTGCTGCCCAGGCTGGAGTGCAGTGGTGCGATCTCAGCTTACTGTAACCTCCACCTCCCGGATTCAAGTGATTCTCCAGCCTCAGCCTCTCTAGTAGCTGGGGCTACAGGCGCAGGCTACCATGCCTGGCTGGTTTTTGTATTTTTGGTAGAGACAGAGTTTTGCCATGTTGGCCAGGCTGATCTCAAATTCCTGAGCTTAGGTGATCCGCCCACTTCAGCCTCCCAAAGTGTTGGGATTACAAGCGTGAGCCACTGTGCCCAGACTAAAAGATTAAATATTTACACTTAACATTGATAAAATTTCATCTGGTTAGGAATTGAGTCTTAGCAGACTTTGCTTTCCCATTTGGTTGAATGTGTCCACTCGAGGTGCCAGTTAACTCCTGGACATTAACCTTAGGCCAGTGTGTCTCCTCTCTGCTGAGTATAGGACTGTTCTTCCCGTGCCCAATTCTAGCAGTCATTTCACCAGTGTTCCTTCTGCCAAGTGTTTCTGAGACCTGTGACAATCTGGAAGTCAGCAGCTTCCAGCTGCAGTCACAGCAGGGGCTTGATCTTGTCAGGTGTCAGGGAACAGACTCAGCTGTGAGCTCCTTCTAGTGGAGTTCTGTGTATAATATCCAGCATGAGGCCTTGTTGGTGTTGGTGTTTAATAAGTGACTTCCCCATCACAGGAGGTATTCAAGAAGCTGGACTTTCGCTCAGTACGTCGATTACAGAGCATAACAGACATTCAGTGAAAGGATGGGGAAAGAACCAGAATTAATTCTGAAGTACCTTCCAAGACAAAGTGTATGAATATTTATTCAGTCCCCCTAGTGTCAGGCAGTAGAAATACAGAAATGAGACATTTTGCCTTTAGAATCTTGTAGTTAACTGAAAAGTTGACTTTTAGTCACCTGTAATCATCAAAGTGCCATGATTAGGTAGATGTCATAGAAGACAGAGGACTTTCATGTTCAGTCTTCATGAAGAAGGAGCTATTCCAAGAAAGCTATTTAGCAAAGATGACCTTTGACAAATGAGTGAAAATGGGATACATTCTGAGGCGCACTTTAAGGCATTTAGCATGACTAGAATATGGGAGCTTAGAGTGGAGGAAGATCATAGACAGCTTTGAAATCTGTTGGAATTTTATTTTCAGTGCTGTGATGACCAGTTGCAGGTTTTAATATGGTGATTAGGGATTTGGGTAGAGGAGTTAGTTGGAAGGCTGATATATTTCAATTTGTATTTTAGTAAGTTTTTTTGGTTATAGTTTGGGGGATAAATTGGAGGGGAAGGAAGATAACGCCCAAGGAGAGCAATTAGGTTTTTGTGCTAACTTGAGTGAGAAATGAGGGCCTGGATGAAAGATGTGGCTTTGGGGATTAGGAGGAGTGACGATTCAAGCATTGAGTCAGCATGACTGACTAGGTGTAGGGTTTAAGGAAGTGTCTAGGATGTCTCAGGCATTTGATTTGTGCCTGCTTGGGAGGGAGTACTGGGGAGGTGAAGTGTGTGTGGAGGATCCAGCGGGAGAGGGCTTCCGGGTTGCTGCTGGGTATTTAGGTCTGCAGCTTGTTAGAGTCACCTGGATTAGAACAAAATTGGGAGATGTCAGCATGCAGATGCCAGCTAAGGCCCTGTAGGCCAATGTCAGTAGCTGACCATAAGAGCAGGATGAAACTTTGGAAGTTCATTCTTAAAAATTTTATAAGTAATATATGAGTACGTTTTTATGGGATATTCAAACCACCTACTGTTTTTAGGTCTTACTCTCTTGTGTTGCAGCTGTTGCTGATCCCTGTAGAGTAAAGTACACACTGAAGGCTATGGCAATGATCTACCTTTCCAGCTTCCTCTAGGAAGGGAGTTTGACAAATAAAATGCTAGTGAACTGGAGCACAGTGAGCAAGGGGGAGGGTGGCATGAGCTGAGGACACAGGTGGGCAGGGCCAGAACACACAGGCCTTGGACATCACCTCAGGGAACTTGCATGTTATTTGGAGCATAATGGAAAACCATTAGAAAGTTTTAGGGAGTGGTTATGATTTCATTTATTTATATTTTATAAAGATCTTTCTGGTTATTCGGTGAATAGTTATGGTTAAACCAGTTCAACCCAGTGACAGTACCTGTCACATAGAGTTATTGTGAGGATTGGTTGAGATGTATGTGATAGATTATCTGGCACAAAGTAAGGGCCCCCTCAATATTGTTTTTCTCTCAAGTGCACCCAAATTGGGGTATTGGAAACACTTCCTCCGTAGTTTGGTAGAAGGCACCAAATCACTAGGGCTGATACCGTTTGAGTGGGGCCCCAGCTGATGGGGCAGGGGGTAAAGGGGTGAGGGGCTTAATATGAGGCAGAAGGAAGGGCCAGGCCTCTAGAACTCATCCCAAGCCGGCCCCATTCTCTGGCTCCCTGTACATCCTGCCTTTCCATAGAGGAAGCCAGTCCCAGGGGTGGCTGCATCTTATTCCATGCTTTACATCTCATCAGCCTTGCTGACTTTCCCCAGCCTGCTGTAGATCAGAGTGAAATCTGTTTCTCCTGTCTAGAGCAAGCGCACTTTTTCCTGAGGATTTCCAAATATTTTGAATTCCCATATGCAGTGGAAGCCGAAGAAGCTGGAGGGAGAGTGGGGTTGGGAGGTGCAGAGGTTCCATGTCTTCTTGCCTTTATGAAGCTTCTGGCATTGTGCTGGGTGCAGGTGATACCATGGAATAAGATGGATGTGGTTCTAGTGACGGTTCACATCACGAAGGACCATCTGTGTCCTCTTAGGGAGTCTGGCTTTCCTGCTAAGGGCAACAGGAAGGCATTGTAGGGTCTGTGCAGGATACCAAGTGAAGGAAGAGATTTCCTTACTGTGGACTTGCAGACGATAAGTAAACTTTTGGGTCATAAGAGACCATCTCTTGGAAGCTGAAGAACTTAGGCCAAGGTTTTCCTGAGAAATCTAGTTTTGCAGAATGTTGTGAACCTTGATGCTCTGGTGACAGTGAATTAATGGTTTATTTTAGGAAGCACTACACAATTTTACTTAAGAGTGAGGCTAGAAAGTTGAGCTGTTTCTCACCTTTTATAAATGAAGTTTAAGATCAGATTAATCTCCATGGAGTTTTTAGCTCAAAGCACAATTAGTTTTCTATAGAAAGGGCTTGGGCTGAACCAAATTATGCCATTGATCTGCCTGGTAGACATACAAATCATTCTGTTCTTAGAAAAAAACAAAAAAAACGAAAAACAAAAAATCCTCACTGTCCCAAGGGAGTTGCTCCTTTCACTACACCCTGATATTGAAACCCTGATATTGAAATTTGTGCCCCTTAAATGATATCATATTCAGGGAACCAGCTATACCAGAATCTACCTTAATCCATAGACATCCCTGCCTCCTCTAGAGAGGTCACTGAAGGAGATAAGTACATAGCAGAAAGTGGTGAAGGGAAAGCAAAGGGATGCTTTATTGTTACCAGTCTCCTGCCTCTGGTATCAGATGGAGCAGGTGGCCTGGGCTAGAGGCCTGTGGGGCCATTTCTGTCCTCTAAGCTCTAGTCTGATCTCACCGGCAGCTGGTCACATGGGAGGACAGGAGATGGAGAACAAGACTGACAGTAGGGAGGGGAGAGCAGAGACAGGTGGCTGAGTTTCTCTCACTTAGAGAAAAGAAACTGGCTGAGTGTATACCACGTCTGAAGTGAGCAAAAGGGAAGATTGCCCAAATCCTGTAAAGGACCTTTTTTGTGGTATTAATGCTATTCTTTTTTATGACAAAATGTTTCAGGTTTACAGAAAACTATACAGACTAATACGAACACTCACATAGCTGCTATCTAAGTCATACTTTTAAAAAATACAGGTTTAAAAAAATAATAATACAAAAGTGGGTAAAGCCTCCTGTGTTTGTCACCCCAAGCCCGTTCCACTTATTTCTTTATTGGTGGTAACTACTACCCTGACTTTGATATATTTCATTCTCATGCATGATTTCATACATATATATATATGCATGATTTCATACATATATATATATATATATATAAAATGTATGTATGTCAGTATCCATAGCCATATTTTATTTTGCATGTTTAGTCATTTTACTTAGGAGGCGTCATGATGTGTGTAGCCTTTGGTAGCGTACCTTTTTTTTTTAAAAAAAAAATACTATGTTGATAAATGAGGTTCTTGTTTATTTGTTTTGCCTGCTATATAGCATTTTGTTGTAGGCCTATACCACGGTTTATGTATTTCCCCGTAGATGGTCACTTAGATATCCAGTCTTTGCTATTGTAAACTTCAATGAACGTTCTTACTTACCTTCTTGTCCAATCTGGGAGAGTGTTTTTAGGTATAAACCTAGGATTTTAATTATTGGGCTGTAAGGTATGCATTTTCAAACTTACTAGAAGTTGCTAAATTACACCCCAAATGTTTTTAAGATTTTATGATTTGTATTTTTGTTGTTGTTTTTTGAGACAGAGTCTCACCCTGTCACCCAGGCTGGAGTGCAGTGGTATGATCTCAGCTCGCTGCAACTTCCACCTCCTGGCTTCAAGCAATTCTCGTGCCTTAGCCTCCTGAGTGGCTGGGACTACAGGCATGTGCCACCATGCCCTGCTAATTTTTGTATTTTTTAGTAGAGATAGGGTTTCACCATGTCCAGGCTGGAAAATTTTATGATTTTTAAAATAGTGTTCTTATACATCTTTTGCTAGATTTGTGTCTAAGGGGTATTTTTAAAATTACTTATTCTAATATCTCTTAAAATTTTTTTATAAAGCAGGGATTATAGGCATGAGCCCCTGCATCCAATTTATTCTAATTTCCTATTACTGATACATTGGAGTGTAATTGACTTCTGTATATTTATCTTACATTCAGAAGGCTTGCCAAACTTTCTTAATAATTCTGGGGCCTATAGATTATTTTAGATTTTTCTATGTAGACAGTCACATCACTTTTGAATAGTAACAGTAATGAATCATTTGTTTCTTTCCAATGTTTATACTTCCTTATTTTATTGTACTTAGAACATTCAGTATAATGTTTAATAGATACATCAGACTTCTCTTGTGACTGATGTTAAATCCTTACATTTCACTGACAAGTAGCAAATTTGTAGTAGGTTTTTGGAAGATGTCTGTTCCTCCCTAAGGAAGTTCCTTTTGGTAATTGTAGATAGACTTGCTCAACCTCTACTGCACCTCCTTCTAGTGTGCCTTCCCATATTTGTGAAACTCAAAAGCTAAATACTGCATTTTCTCCAATTCCTTTACAGTTAGGATTCCAGATAGGAATTAATGTCCATTAATCGGTGAGATTTGGATTTGGAATTGACTTAAATTGAGAGAGAGACGGTCCATGAAGCATCCATTTTCTGGTATGGATCAGAGCAGAAATGGTGGGGTTATAGAGCCTGCAACTGTAGCCGCAGTTTTCTCTTTTTTGCTAGACAGCTTTTTAATTGCAATGTGGCTCTGAAGTTTCTTCATCCCTCCCAATGGTCAGGTAAGTTATTTAAATACCTGTCTGTCATTGCTTACTACACTGTCCTTTTAATCTTCATTATATAAACAATAAAGACATACTTAATGCTCACCGCTAGTCTTGTGTTAATATCTCCCTAGTCATTTTGGTTGTCTGAGCCTCATTTTCCAGCAGATTCCTAAGGAAGTTCTCATGGGAACAATATTCCATGGGTTTTTTTCTTTTCTAATTGAGACGGAGTCTTGCTGTGTCACCCAGGCTGGGGTGCAGTGGTGTGATCTTGGCTCCCTGCAACCTTGCTGCCTGGGTTCAAGTGATTCTTGTGCCTCAGCCTCCCAAGTAGCTGGGATTACAGGCATGCACCATGATGCCCGGCTAATTTTTTTGTCCTTTTAGTAGAGACGGGGTTTCACCATGTTGCCCAGGCTGGTCTTGAACTCCCGACCTCAAGTGATCCACCTGCCTCGGCCTCCTGAAGTGCTGGGATTACAGGCCTGAACCACCGTGCCTGGCTCTCTTCATCACTTCTGTTGTCCCTATCCTGTTCAATTTTTTTTCTGCTCCCTGCAGTTCCTCCTCACTTTGGAGTCTTGTCCTGGGAGGGAACCCTACGGGATCAGTTTTGAGAGTTCATTAATGCTAAATTGTTCCAGCCCCTTCAGACCTTCCTGTGGGCCCCATTTACTGAAGTGGGCAAGAACCTTCCCAGTACCAATTGCTGTTCTCAAATTGGCCCTCCGGGCTTTGCAGTGAATATCTGTTGTTTTGGGTTCTTCGGTCCTTAGTTGGTTCAGGTACCTTGTGCCTCCCTGTGCTGCTTTCCACATCGATGCTGAGACCTCCCAGGACTCCTCTGGCTCTTGATGCTCTGTCCTCACCTCACTCATTTGTATTTTGGGATATGAGGGTTACATTTTAACCTAATTTTGTTGTAAATACTGTCTCTCCTCCTGCCCTTTTTATATCATAAAAAAGATAGTTGCTTCCACAGTCACAACTATCTTTCCAGAATTTCCCACCAGTAACTTTCTGACACACACACTTAACTTACCAATGGGAAACATATTTTTTCTGCTCAGAGCCCAAGGTGAGTCACACTGGCCTTACTCTTACCTCCCTATGCTGGCAAGTGTTATGTTTTCTAGTTAATGTTTTCTTAGAGGATTACCATCTCCTGGCTTTATGTGATATTCTTGTTTCTCACACCATTCCTCGTAGAGACTCAGTATCTTCCATCTTTTTCCATTGTGTTTATGAAAACCTCACTTCCTGGTACCTGGAACTGGTCTAGGCTGCATAGCATGTGCTGATGCACTTACTTTCTGGTTTACAGTTCTCTCTGATTTCAACCCCCAAGGATTTTCTTTCCTTTCTTGTGAGCTCAACTACACCTTTAAAAACTATATTTGATATATGCTATCTAGTATTTGTAGATAGCTTTTTAGCAGGAGTGTTTTCAGATTACCTAATGAGCTATTTTACCAGAAACAGATATCCTGTACATAAAATTTTACCTTGGAAAGACTGCCCCCTAGGAATGATTATATTTTCAACAGTTAGAGAACTAACTCATTCCTAGAAGATGGGGGGAGGATGGGAGTTGGGGAGGGCATGGCAAAGAGAGGAGTTATAAGAGCATCTTCTGTTCAGAGACCTTCATCTTCATCTGCATTTGGGCCATTAGACTGTGGTCCGTGGGCCAGCAGCTTTAGCGTAACCCGGGAAAGTTTGTTAGCAACGCAGAATCTCAGCCGTGTGGGGTGGCTTGCGCCTGTAATCCCAGTACTTTCGAAGGCCGAGGTGGGAGAATTGCTTGAGGCCAGGGAGTTCAAGACCAGCTTGGGCAACATAGTAAGACCCTGTCTCTACAAAAATAAAAATAAAAAAAAGAAATGGAGAGTTTTAGACCCCACCCTGACCTACTAACTGAGAATCTGCATTTTAATGAAATCCCCAGATGATTTGCATGCATATAAAAATTGGAGAAGCATTGACTTAGACTCTTTCTGATGTAACTGCCTTCCATAAAATGCCTACTTCTTTAGGGTTAATGACCTTCATCCACTCTTGTCATCACTTCTAGCTTACTCTTTTTTCTGCATTTAATTTTTAAGCAGTTTCCTCAAATAACTTTTGTATTTAAGTTTTTGAGAAAAGTTCTTATTGGTGATATATTATGTTGAGAATGTGATTTGAAAAAAAAATAGGAAGCGTTAATATGGTATGTTGTCATTGAATATGACAGCAAAATCTTAAGGGCAAAGCTGTTACGAAATTCTCAGGGCATTTACTTTTTCCTCAACTCTGGCGAGTAGAGGGCTAAGAAAGTAAAGCATTCTGCAATTCTGCATACAGAAATTTAGACCTGGCTATTTTTCACTGGAGTATTTGCTTACAGAGCATCCATATTTCCTAAAATGCTATGATTGGATTATTGAGCTAATGATTGGACTTGCTACAAATATTGAAAAGTACGAGGAAGGCTGGGCGAGGTGGCTCACGCCTGTAAACCCAGCACTTTGGGAGGCCGAGGCGGGCGGATCACGAGGTCAGGAGATCGAGACCATCCTGGCTAACACGGTGAAACCCCGTCTCTACTAAAAATACAAAAAATTATCCGGGCGTGGTAGTGGGCGCCTGTAGTCCCAGCTACTTGGGAGGCTGAGGCGGGAGAATGGCGTGAACCCGGGAGGCGGAGCTTGCAGTGAGCCGAGATCGTGCCACTGCACTCCAGCCTGGGCGACACGGCGAGCTCCGTCTCAAAAAACAAAACAAAACAAAACAAAAAACGAGGATATCTTTTCAAAGCAGATACAATTAAAGGAAAATTCTCTAGGGATAGTTCAAGTTGCTGTGATGGCTTTATCTGCTAAAATTTTAGTTAAGCTAGCAGATAATTTATGAGCAAGTTCATGATACATGGAATTCAGGTTATGTGTAGACTGAAAGCTCTCTGGGCTGACACCTCTCTGGGCAGACACCACATTATTCCTGTATCTGCAGCTCTTAGGACAGTGGTTAACACATAATTGGTATTCAATAAATGCTTTTTCACTGAATGAATGAATTTTTAGTGAATAAAGAATAAATAAAGTGTTGAAGTAGCCCAAAGGACTTTAAAATTTACATTTTCTTTTTCTGTAGATCACTTGATAGGTACATTGTTGGATGTAATTAAAATAAGACGGGCTCTATATGTCTACGAATAGGACAGTAGTTAAATAAACAATGATGCATTTACACAAAGGTATACCATGAATCTATACAAAGGAATGAAGATTTCGTGTGTCTGTATGTATGACTATATGGTGATTATATAAAGAAAAGAAGAAATTCCTAAAACTTGAAAACAAGCTGAAACAAATAACTCGAGTACATGTCAAGTTGATTTTATAACCACAGAAAGGAAATGATTATAAGTGTTGTTCAAATACAATATTTTGACTTTACATCTCCAGAAGGTGATACATCCTGAAGATAAGGAGAACTGCAAAAAAAGTAAAACTTTATAATAAAAATAATATTGTTTTGAAATTGGTATTATAAAATATCACGTTTTAAAGTTATGATGTTAGTGTCAGTAGAAACCAAGATTTTCAACCTAAGACCAAAACAAGATACAAGTGTAAAATTCAAGTCAAAACATGCATTAAATTTGAATTGGAAATAGTACTTTGAATTCATTATTTTTTTTAAGAAGTATTTCCTAATTCTGTCCACTGAAAAGGTCTTTGAAGCAATGACACCTCAGTAGCAATTAGCATCCTTAGCACTCAGATTATGCTTCCTAATACCATTGCCCACTAAAAACCAGGTCTCTTTGGAGAAGTGGCTGATTCCAGCTCTTGGGCAGTAAATGTCATGTTGAACCTGAGCTATCTTATGCCAGAAAGCAGGGGAAGCATCAAAGACTGCTGGGGTCCTGTCAATAAGACCCAGGAGCTACCTTGAAGGAGTGCCCAGTGGCCACAGGTGAAACAATGCTTACATCGAAAAGAATAGTGAATGCAATAGATTTATACGCATTGAATACGTAAATATCCATGAGTTCATAAAAATGCTTTGAAAGGCGTTAACATCACTGAAGGTTGTTAGGGTATCCAACTCATTACTGTGAAAGGAAAACAAAATATTTGTCCAAACTTTCTGGCATAAACTATTGAAAATAACCATAACCAAATGGATGACTGAGAGAAAGTTATTTATTTATTTATTTATTTTGAGACAGGGTCTCTGTTGCCCGGACTGGAGTGCCGTGGCATGATCTTGGCTCACTGCAACCTCCACTTCCCAAGCTCAAGCGATTCTCCTGCTTCAGCCCCACCAAGTAGCTGGGATTACAGGTGCATGCCACTACTGCCCAGATAATTTTTTTGTATTTTTAGTAGAGACGGTTTTCACCATGTTGGCCAGGCTGGTCTCGAACTCCTGACCTCAAATGATCCACCCACCTCGGCCTCCCAAAGCGCTGGGATTACAGGCGCGAGCCACTGCGCCCAGCCCATAAAGTTCTTTTTAACATATTTCTTGAGATATAATTCATATACCATGAAACTCAATCATTGAATAAATGGTTTTTATTATATTCACAAAATTGTCCAAACATCACCACAACCCAAGTTTAAAATATACAAGGTCAGGAGATCAAGATCATCCTGGCTAACACGGTGAAACCCCGTCTCTACTAAAAATACAAAAAAATTAGCCAGGCATGGTGGCAGGCGCCTGTAGTCCCAGCTACTCAGGAGGCTGAGGCAGGAGAATCGTGTGAACCCGGGAGGCAGAGCTTGCAGTGAGCAGAAATCGCGCCACTGCACTCCAGCCTGGCCGACAGAGCGAGACTCCGTCTCAAAAAAAAAAAAAAAAAAAAAAAACATATATATATATATATATATATATATATATATATATATATATGTTTTTTTTTTTTTTTTTTTTCATTCACGCCAAAAGAAGCCCTGTACTCCTTAGCAATCACACCCCATTCTCTTTCGCCTTCACAGCCCTAGGCAAATACTAATATGTTTTCTGTCTCTATGGATTTGCCTATCTTCCAGACATATTATATAAACGGAAGCTTTAGTTAAATATGTGCTCTTTTGTGATTGGCTTCTTTCACCAAGCATAATATTTTCAAGGTTCATCCAGATCGCGACATGATCAGTACTTTATACCTTCTTATGCTGAATAATAAAAATAAAGTTCTCAGCCTGGCCAACATGGTGAAACCCCGTCTCTACTAAAAATACAAAAATTAGCTGAGTGTGGTGGTGAGCACCTGTAGTCCTAGCTACTAGGTAGGCTGAGGTGTGAGAATCACTTGAACCTGGGAGGCGGAGGTTGCAGTGAGCCAAGATCGCACTACTGCACTCCAATCTGGGTGACAGAGTGAGACCCTGGCTAAAAAAAAAACAAAAAACAAGTTACAAAGCATCATTTTCAGCTCCTAATACAATAATGGGTGAGTGATGTTTAAAATTATCAGTGGGTGTTTGAAACCATTAGGTGGAAGAGAAAGTGGATAGTAGGAAGGTATAAAATTGGATGAATCACACCAGTGAACCCTGAACTCAGTGATAAATCTTAAAATTATTAAATCATTCAAAGACTGCTACATATTGCATGCCTCCTCTTATTTTTTTAAATGAAATGACTACCATATTATTTTTGAAACTAATCAAACTTCTAGAATTAACTTTCACTTTCTGAAGGCTAGAGAAACACGTTACCACAGAAATCCAAAACGTGTGTGATATTCTATAGGACAAATGACTCAATTGTCTTAGCAAATAAGTAGCATAAAAAAGAAGAGGGAGAGGGATTCAATGTATGCTTTAGATTAAGAGATTTAAGAACATAACCAAATGCAATGTGTGAATCTTGTGTGGATTCTGATGGGAACGAACCAACTGAAAAAAGACATCTTTGAGACAGTTGGAGAAATTTGAGTATGATTGGGTTTCAGATGATGTTAAGAAATTGCTGTCATTTTGTTAAGCATAGTAATGGCATTGTGATTATGTTTTAAAAAAATCCTTACTAGTTAAAGATGCCTTGAAGTATTTACAGGGAAAATGATAGATGTGTGGGATTTACTTTAAATTACCAGCAAACAGAGTGGGTGCAGGGGGATTAATGAAACAAGATTGGCTATGTGTTGGTAACTGTTGAAACTGGATGATAGATTCATAAAGTTTTTTTTTTACATTTGTCTCTAATGAATGCTTGAACATTTTTATAATAATTTTTTTAAAGAGTCCTAGATGCTTAGAGTCAAGAAGCAATTTCATCTAGAATATAACTTGTCAGAATATGTGCTTCTCTGAGAAAAGGACTCAGAACGTCAGTTTTTTTTAAATGCTTAACATTTATTTTGGTCTTTTTTTTTTTTTTTTTTGAGACGGAGTCTCGCTCTGTCGCCCAGGGTGGAGTGCAGTGGCGGGATCTCGGCTCACTGCAAGCTCCGGCTCCCGGGTTCACGCCATTCTCCTGCCTCAGCCTCCCAAGTAGCTGGGACTACAGGCGCCCGCCACTACGCCCGGCTGATTTTTTGTATTTTTAGTAGAGACGGGGTTTCACCGTTTTAGCCGGGATGGTCTCGATCTCCTGACCTCGTGATCCGCCCGCCTCGGCCTCCCAAAGTGCTGGGATTACAGGCGTGAGCCACCGCGCCCGGCCTATTTTGGCCTTTTTGATTCTGAAGAGTTCTGGGTTTTTCTGTTAAATAAAGGGCATCCTTTCAAAAGAAAGACAAATGTTGGCAGTGGAGATGCCAAGAGTGGAATAGGAATATGGTCAAAATAAGAAATATAGGCCCACAGAGAAACTTAGCACTATTTTGAAGGCTTCTCCCCAGGGCTGCATTTTCTATGAGAAGTTTCTATGAATCTAAACTATTTTAATCTTTCTTGAGAGGCAGAATACTGCCATGGTTAGAAGTTTGAAATCAGACAGACCTATATTCAAATTCCAACTCTTGTCACCTATGAGTTGTGATGGAGGGCAAATTTACTTAAACTCCTCAAACCTCAGTTTCTTCATCTGTGAAATGGGAATCATGATAGTATTTACTTCATAGAGTTGAAATGATGATTAAATTAAGCCTTTTGACATATGATGTGGTTTAAGTTATCATACGTTTGGAATACCATGAGTGTCCATGGAGTCCTAGCTGGTGTCTGTGTGTGAGAAAAGTAGAAGCTAAAGCACATGGCCGTATGGACACAAATGCCTTTTGTCTGCCTTTACAGCCTTTTCTCAATAGAGATAACACAGCCTTGTGTTTCAGTATAAGGAATCAATGAAGTAAATTCGCACAAAATTCCTGCATTTCTGGAGTTAAGAACTCAGAAGTGCAATTCCAAATATTTGTCTCATTTCTGTTTGGACTCCATTGATCTTCTCAGCCTCTCCCAAGGAAAGAGTGTGAGATTTGAAAACCTGGCTATGGACTGGTTGAGACAGGCACTGCTAGATGCCACCTGACTACAAAGATGAGGAAGCCCCAGCTATACCTGCAAGAAGACTTGGGGCATGTCTGTATATCTTAAAGGAAGATGGAAGAACAAGTGGTGGTGTAGAACGCAAATTTTACTTTTTAATTTCTTTAAGTTTTATTTTTGACAATTATATATATTTATGGGGTATATAATGTTTTGACACATGTATACATTATGGAATGATCACATTAAGGTAATTAGCCTATGTCACCTCAAATATTTACCATATCTTTGTGGTGACAACATTTATTTTTTATTTATTTTTTTTTATTTTACTTTTTTGGAGACAGAGTTTGGCTCTGTTGCCCAGGTTGGAGTACAGTGGCACAATCTTGGCTCATTGTGACCTCTGCCTCCCAGGCTCAAGCGATCTTCCTGCCTCAGCGTCCTGAGTAGCTGGGATTATGGACACATGCCACCACACTTGGTTAATTTTTGTGTTTTTTTGGAGAGGCAGGGTTTCACTATCTTGCCCGGGCCAGTCTTGAACTCCTGAGCTCAAGTGATCTGCCTGTCTTTGCCTCCCAAAATGCTGGGATTACAGGCATGAGCCACTGCACCTGGCCCTGGGTGAGAACATTTAAAATCCTCTTTTTTAGCTATTTTGAAATATCCGTTATTAACTGTAGTTCCCTTGCTGTGCAGTAGAACACCAAAACGTATTCCTTCTATGCAACTGTAACCTTGTATCCATTTGCCCAACATTGTCCTTTTCACTTTCCACCTACTCCCACCCTCAGCCTCTGGTAACCACTATTCTACTCTCTACTTCTGTGAGTTCAACTTTTTTAGATTTTACGTGTAGGTGAGATAATATGGTATTTGTCTCCCTGGGCCTGACTTATTTCACTTAACATAATGCCCTGTAGGATCACTGATACTTCACAAATGACAGAATTTTCTGTTTCTTTTTCTAAGGCTGAATAGTATTCCATTGTTTGTATTTACCACACTTAAAGTCAATGTATCCATTGATAGACACTTAGGTTGTTTCTGTATCTTGGCTCTTGTGAATAATGCTGCAGTGAGCATGACAGTGCAGACATCTCTTTGACATATTGATTTCAATTCCTTTAGATATATACCAATAGTGGGATTGCTGTAATGTATGGTAATTCTATTTTTAATTTTTGAGGAACCTCCGTACTGTTTTCCAAAATGGTTATACAAATTTCCAACACCACCAAGAGTGTATAAGGATTCCCCTTCCTCCACATTCTCACCAACACTTGGTATTGTTCATCTTTTTGATAACAGGCATTCTAACAGTTGTAAGGTGATTTCTCATTGTGGTTTTAATTCACATTTCTCTGATGATCAGAAATGTTTAGCATTTAAAAAATGTATCTGTTGAACATTTGTATGTCTTCTTCTGAGAAATGTCTATTCAAGTCCTTTGCCCATGTAAAATTTTTCATTTTACTTTTTTTTAGAGATGGGGTCTTGGTATGTTGCCCAGGATGGAGTGCAATGGCTATTCACAGGCATGATTATAGCACACTACAGCCTTGAACTTCTATTGTCAAGTGATCCTCTTGCCTCAGTCTCCTGAGTAGCTGGAACTACAGATGTGTACCACTGCGTCCAGTCTGCCTATTTTTTAAGAGAGTTATTTGTTTTGTTGTTATTGAGTAGTGTGAATTCCTTGTACATTTTGGATACTAGTTTCTGATTCAATGTATGATTTGCAAGTATTTTATCCCAATTTGTAGGTTGCCTCTTCATTCTATTGTTCTCTTTGCTGTGCAGAAGTTTTCTAGTTTGATGCAATCTCATTTATCTATTTTTGATTTTGTTCCTTGTGTTTTTAAGGTCGTATCTAAGAAATCTTTGCCTAGATCAATGTCCTGGAACTCTCTCCCTGTTTTTTCTTAGTAGTTTTACAGTTTCAGGTCTTACATTCAAGTATTTAATCCATTTTGAGTTGGTTCTTGTATAAGGGGTGAAACATGGGTTCATTTTCATTCTTCTGTATGTGGATATGCAATTTTCCCAACACCGTTTATTGATGAGACTGTCTTTTTCTCATTGTGTATTCTTGACACGTTTGTCAAAAATTAATTGGCTTTTGGTGTTTGGGTTTATTTCTCATCTCTCTGTCCTATTCCATTGGTTGATGTGTCTGTTTTTATGTCTGTACCATGCTGTTTTGATTGCTGTAGCTTTGTGATATCTTTTGAAATCCAGTAGTGTGATACCTCCAGTTTCATTCTTTTTGGTTGATAATGCTTTGGCTATTCAGGGTCTTCTGTGGTTCTTTATGAATTTTAGGATGGTTTTTTCTATTCCTGTTGAGAATGGCTTTGAAAGTTTGATAGAGATTGCACTGAATCCGTAGATCACTGTGGGTAATATGGACATCTTAACAATATTAATTTATTCCAATCCATGAATAGGGGTATCTTTTCATTTATTTGTGTTATTTTCAATTTCTTTCATCAATGTTTTATAGTTTTCAGTACACAGATCTTTCACTTCCTTGGTTAAATGTATTCCTGTGTTTATGCTATTGTAAATGGGATTGTTTTCAGACGATTTGTTGTTGGTGTATAGAAACACGACTGATTTTTGTTAAGTTGATTTTGTATCCTGCAACTTTACTGAATTTATCTGTTCTAGCGGTTTTTTCAGGGAGTCTTTAGGATATTCCATATATAACAGCATGTTGTCCACAGAGACCATCTCTTGTCATCCTTTCCTATTTGTATGCTTTATTTCTTTCGCTTGTGTAATTGCTGTGGCTAGGGCTTCCAGTACTGTGTTGAACAGAAGTTTTGAGAGTGAACCTCCTTGTCTTGTTCTTGATTCTAGAGGAAAAGTCTTCAGCTTTTCACTTTTGACCATGATGTTTGCTGTGGGCTTATCATATATGGCTTTTATTGTGTTGAGGAACATTGTTTCCGCATTTCTCTCATGTTTTATTCTTCTTGTGTTTTTTAAGTTCAGGGGTACATGTGCATGTATTTATATAGGTAAATTTGTGTTACGGGGGTTTGTTATACAGATTATTTCAATACTCAGGTATTAAGCCTAGTACCTATTCCTTATTTTTCCTGATCTTCTCCCTCCTCCCATCCTCCATCCCTTGATAGGCCCCAGTGTCTGATAGCTGTAGTTGTGCAGGCTTATTTCTGTGTTCTTTATTCTTTTCCATTGGTCTATGTGTCTATTTTTGAACCATGCTGTTTTGGTTACTGTAGCCCTGTAGTATAGCTTGAAGTCAGGTAGCATGATGCCTCCAGCTTTGTTCTTTTTGCTTAGGATTGCCTTGGCTATTTGGGTCCTCTTTTGGTTCCATATGAATTTTAAAATACCTTTTTCTAGTTCTCTAAAGAATGTCACTGGTAGTTGAATAAGAATAGCATTGAATCTATAAATTACTTTGAGTGATATGGCCATTTTAATGATATTGATTATTCCTAGCCATGAGCATGGAATGTTTTCCCATTTGTTTGTGTCATCTCTGATTTCTTTGAGCAGTGTTTTGTAGCTCTCCTTTTAGAGATCTTTCACCTGCCTGGTTAGCTGTATTCCTAGGTATTTTATACTTTTTGTGGCAGTTGTGAATGGGATTGTATTCCTGATTTATCTCTTGACTTGACTGTTGTTGGTGTATAGGAAATGCCATACACCAACAACATCCCTTTTGTACATTGATTTTATATCCTGAGAGTTTAATGAAGTTGTTTATCAGCTTACGGAGCTTTTGGGCCAAGACTATGGGGTTTTCTAGATACAGAATCTTGTCATCTGTAAACAGCGATAATTTGACTTCCTTTCTTCCTATTTAGATGCCCTTTCTTTCTTTCTCTTGCCTGATTGCTCTGGCCAGGACTTCCAATCTATGTTGAATAGGAGTGGTAAGAGAGGGCATCCTTGTCTTGTACTGGTTTTTAAGGGGAATGCTTCCAGCTTTTGCCTGTTCAGTATGATGTCAGCTGTGGATTTGTTGTAGATGGCTCTTACTGTTTTGAGGTATGTTCCTTCATTACCTAGTTTATTGAGAGTTTTTAACATGAAGGGATGTTGAATTTCATTGAAAACCTTTTCTACATCTGTTGAAGTAATCATGTGGTTTTTGTCTTTAGTTCTGTTTATGCAATGAATCACACTTATTGATTTGTGTATGTTGAACCAACCTTGCATTCCAGGGGTAAAGCATACTTGATTGTGGCAGATAGCTTTTTGATGTGCTGCTGAATTTGGTTTGCCACTATTTTCTTGAAGATTTTTGCATCAGTCTTCATCAAGGATATTGGCTTGAAGTTTTCTTTTTTTTGTTATGTCTTTGCCAGGTTTTGATATCAGGGTGATGGTGGCCTCATAGAATGAGTTAGGGAGGAGTCCCTTTTCCTCAATTTTTAAGAATAGTTTCAGCAGAAATGGTACTAGCTCTGCTTTGTACATCTGGTAGAATTCAGATGTGAATCCATCTGGTCCTGAGCTTTTTTTGGTTGGTAGGCTATTTATTACTGATTCAATTTCAGAGCTTGTTATTGGTCTGTTCAGGGATTCAGTTTCTTTCTGGCTCAGTCTTGGGTGGGTGTATGTTTTCAGGAATTTATCCATTTCTTCTAGATTTTTCTAGTTTGTATGCATAGAGATGTTCATAATATTCTTTGATGGTTTTTTGTATTTCTGTGGAGTCAGGGGTAATTTTCCTTTGTTGTTTCTAATTGTGTTTATTTGGACCTTCTCTCTTTTCTTCCTTATTAATCTCATAGTGGTCTATTTTATTTTTTTTCAAAAAAAAAAACCACCCTAACTCTCGGACTTGTTGATCTTTTGAATGCTTTTTTGTGTCTCAGGCTCCTTCATTTCAGCTCTGATTTTGGTTATTTCTTGTCTAGCAGCTTTGGGGTTGGTTTTCTCTTGGTTCTCTAGTTCTTTTAGTTGTAATGTTTGGTTAAACTGAGATCTTTCTAACTTTTTGATGTGGGCATTTAGTGCTATACATTTCCCTCTTAACACTGCCTTGGCTGTGTCCCAATGATTCTAGTATGTTGTATCTTTGTTCTCATTAGTTTCAAAGAACTTCTTGATTTCTGGCTTGGTTTCATTATTTATCCAAAAGTGATTCAGGAGCAGGTTATTAAATTTTCATGTAATTTTATGTTTTTGGGTGAATTTCTTAATCTTGATTTCTAATTTGATTAGAAATTAGAAATCTGTGGTCCAAGAGACTGGTTGTTATGACTTCAGTTCTTTTGCATTTCCTGAAGAGTGTTTTATGGGAAATTATGTAATTGATTTTAAAGTATGTACCATATGGCAATGAGAAGAATGTATATTCTATTGTTTTTGGATGGAGAGTTGTGTAGATGTCTGTTAGGTCCATTTGATCCAGTACTGAGTTCAGGTCCTGAATATTTTTGTTAATTTTATGCCTTGATGATCTGTCTAATATTGTCAATGGGATGTTAAAGTCTCCCACTATTACTGTGTAGGAGCCTAAGTCTTTTTGAAGGTCTCTAAGAACTTGCTTTATGAATCTGGGTGCTCCTGTCCTGGGTGCATATATATTTTGGATAGTTAGGTCCTCTTGTTGAATTGAACCCTTTTCATTATGTAATGCCCTTGTCTTCTTTGATCTTTGTTAGTTTAAAGTCTGTTTTGTCTGAAATTCAGATTGCAACCCCTGCTTTTTTCTGTTTTCCAGTTACTTGGGTAGATTTTTCTTCATCCCTTTATTTTGAGCCTATGCGTGTCATTGCCTATGAGATAAGTCTCCTGAAGACAGCATACCAATGGCTCTTTGTTCTTTATCCACTCTGTGCCTTTTAAATGAGACATTTATATTCAAGGTTAATGCTGATATGTGTGGATTTGATCCTGTCATCATGATGTTAGCTGGTTTTTGTGCAGACTTGTTTATGTGGTTGGTTTATAGTGTCACTGGTCTGTGTACTTAAGTGTGTTTTTGTAGTAGCTGGTAATGTTCTCTCCTTTTCATATTTAGTGCTTCCTTTCAGAGCTCTTGTAAGGCAGGTCTGGTGGTAATGAATTCCCTCAGCATTTGCTTGTCTGAAAAGAAACTTATTTCTCCTTCGCTTATGATGCTTAGTTTGGCCAGATATGAAATTCTGGGTTAGAATTTCTTTTCTTTAAGATTGTTGAATATTGGCCTCCAATCTCGTCTGACTTGTGGGGTTTCTGCTGAGAGGTCTGCTGTTAGTCTGATGGGCTTCCCTTCATAGGTGACCTGACCTTTCTCTCTATCTGTCTTAACATTTTTTCTTTCATTTTGGCCAAGGAGAATCTGATGATTATGTGATGATCTTCTTGTGAAGTATCTTACTGGGGTTTTCTACATTTCCTGAATTTAAATGTTGGCCTCTCTAGTTGGATTGGAGAAGTTCTCATGGATGATATCCTGAAATATGTTTTCCAAGTTGCCTACACTCTCCCCATCTCTTTCAGGGACACCAATGAGTTATAGATTTGGTCTCTTTATATAATCCCACATTTCTTGGAGGTTTTGTTTGTTCCTTTTCATTCTTTTTTCTTTAATCTTATCTGACTGCCTTGTTTCACAAATCTAGTCTTCAAGCTCTGAGATTCTTCCTTCCACTTGGTCTATTCTGCTATTATACTTGTGATTGTATTATGAATTTATTGTAGTGTGTTTTTCAGCTCTGTCAGGTCAGTTACATTCTTTCCTAAGCTGGTTGTTTTGTCTGTCAGCTCCTACATTGTTTTATTGTGATTCTTAGCTTCTTTGAATTGAGTTTCAATGTACTCCTGTATCTCAGTGATCTTTGTTTCTATCCATATTCTGAATTATATTTCTATCATTTCAGCCATCTCAGCCTGGTTCACAACCCTTGTTGGAGAGGTGATGTGGTTGTTTGGAGGAAGGAAGGCACTCTGGCTTTTTGAGTTGTCAGGGTTCTTGTGCTGGTTCTTTCTCATCATTTTATGTTCCTTCAATCTTTGAACTTGCTGATGGTTTTTTTTTTCCTCTTTTATCCTATCTGATGACCTTGAGGGTTTGTGGTGTAACGTGGATTCAGCAGACTGGCTTTATTTTAGAAGATTTTAGGGAATTAGGGCTCAGCTCCCAACTCCTAGACTGTGTGTTCTAATTCTGGGGAACTTGTATTGGCCTTGACTTTGTTCTCTGTCTCTTCACGGTTAGAAATCCACTGCACTGGCGGGGCTGAGGTGCTCGCAGACCACTGGTCACTACACTTTGATAGTTGGTGTCAGCCAAAGTGTTTCATAATACAGTGACAGGGGGATCTGTCCTTGCTTGTACGTGCCAACAGCAGCAGCAGCAGCAGCAGCAGCGTAGTGGGGTGCTCTCTAGTTGGCTGTGGCAGGGTGATAGCGGGTACCAGCATGCCTGCCCCTGTGCAGGCGTTCACCACAGTGGCAGAGGCAACATGGCTGGGGGTGTCAAGAGGTCCCTGCTGGTGACTATGCTTGTGGTCATGCTGGTGGTGATGTTTGCACAGGTGCTAGCAGGCACAGGCCTTTGTGTGTTCTCCATAGGCAGGAATGGTTGCTCAGAGTGGGGGAGGTTCTGCTGTTCTTCATGCCTAGTTTGACTCCCGTGACAGTGTTGGATCCAGAGCAGGGTGCTGGTGAGGACAGGCCTGGCTGTCTCTGTGCCCACTAAGGCTTCAATTGCAATGGCAGTTGGTAGGGGGAAGGGGCGGGTGGACTGCACTCGCAGTGTAGCAGTGGCAGGGCAAAGAACATATATACATCTACATTGGCAGGGCAAGAAAAGCAAAACCGTTCACACACATGCACCAGTAAAGCAATGTGAGGGGTTGCCGTGGTCCAGGGGGAAGCTGCCATGTGGGGAGGGAGTGTCAGGCTGGTGTGTGGCTGTGGGGGCCCTCCCACTGGAGCTCTCTACAGGTCAGGCATGGTTTGCCAGCGCTAAAGCTATGATACAGGCCCCAGGGCACCTGAGGCTGCCCTGCAAGCAGGCACGGTCAGGCTGGATTTCTGGGAGAGACCAGCAGACCAAGGGGTGCTCAGGTCAGACCAGTCCCATCTGATGGAGAAGACTACCCTGTAGAGTTCAGGTCTGACAGTATCCCTGGGGCTAAAGTCTCCAATGGGAGCAAGTCAGCCAGGGATGGCCATCCCTGGCTGTGCTGTGCTACACACGCTCCTTTACCAAGCGCTCTGGGCTCCATGTCAGCTGGCTTGCTGCCCCTGCCACTTCTCTAAGCAGCTCTCCTTGCCAACTACAGTGTCTGTGGTGGTCTAGGGGTCACCTCTTGCTGGGATTCCAGAGGGCCGTGGTAAGAATGGGGTTGCTCCTGGCCAAGTGAACTAACCTGTTCCCCTAGAGTCATTGGGGGCCAGGAATGAGTCCTGGTGCACGGTAGTCCTGTGCAGCGTTCCCAGTTTCCTTCCCCATCAGCCCAGCCTTCCTCTGTCCACTCTTGGTGCCTTCCCTTTGAAGGTCTGTTAGGAGTGCGCCCATCGTCTTGGTCCCTTGGTGACAGCTGTTCCACCTGACTGTGTCTAGTCAGCCATATTCTCTTTTTTTTTTTTTAGTCTAGCTAAGTTTTGTTGATCTTTTCTATTGTTTTTCTAGTTTCTATTTAATTTATTTCTGCTCTGGTCTTTATTATTTCCTTTTTTTTTTTTTTTTTTTTTTTGCTAACTTTGAGCTTAGTTCTTCTTTTTCTAGTGCCTTGAGGTATAACATTAGGTTGTTTATTTGAGATCTTTCCTTTTTTTTGATACAGGTATTTATTGGTATACAGTCTCTCTTAGTACTGCTTTTGCTGCATCTCATAAGTTTGGATATGTTGTGTTTCCATTTTCCTTTGTCTCAATATATTTTTATATTTTCTTCTTTAATTTTTTCTTGGACCCAATAGTCATGCAGGAACATATTATTTAGCTTTCATATACTTGTAAATTGTCTGTGATTTTTCCTGTTACTGCTTTTAGTTTCATCTCATTGTGATCAGAAAAGATACTTGATATGATTTCAGTGTTCCTTGATTAAGACTTGTTTTGTGGCCTAACATGTGATCTATCCTGGATAATGTTCCATAGACACTTGAGAAAAATGTATATAAAAGTAAATTTTAGAGTTGGAATTTTTCACTGGATCTTGGCTTCCCCATATACCTTTGGTAACTCACCTCACCTCACCTCTTTAAACCTCCATTTTCTCATCTGTAAAATGGAGATCTGTGCTTCACCAGTTATATGCATCAAAGGAGACCATAGTATTGGTTTTGGAGTATAAAAGGCCATACAAATATTAACCGATATTTTCTAGAGAGTGTGTAATAGAGCGTATCAGACTTCTCTTGGGATCCCACGAGGACATCCCATCAGAACAGGCCAGGAGTGGCCTCTGATGGGTGCTCTGAATGCTAGGTGGCTTTGGGAGCTCCTTGGACTCTCCTGAGGCATGAGTTGGGTCTAGGGAGGGTCTAAGAAGAGTGTTAGTCTCCTCTATCTTGTTCTCAGCCTCCCTGTGCTGCTCCTGGGCTCAGCCAAGGAAGTTTCACTGGCTATGGTCCTTGGCCCATATTGCAGTGACCTTCATGGCATGAGGAAAGCCGTACACAGTCCCTGGTGCCTTCATATGTCTTTACTGGATTCCCAAGGCATCCTGACCAGTGTACTAGGTGTTGGTATATATTATGAAGAAAGCAGACATGGAGTTGATAAGTCTGGGGAGAAATCTGCTGGGTTTTCCAGGTGTCTGGTCCAGCATTGTCCAGTAGCAGCACTTCCTACAATGATGTTAATGTTTATAGATCTGTGCTGTGCAATGTTGTGGTCATATGCCATGCATGGGGGTTGGGCTCTTAAAATGTGGTTTGTGCAAATGAGGGACTAAATTTCTAATTTAACTCAATTAATTTAAAGGTCACATGTGGCTAGTGGCCATTATGTTGGACAGTATTGGTCAGTGCTAGAAACTTCCCGAGATGGTTAGAAGGGCACCCAATCTGGCCAAAGGCTTGACTTCTCTTCCTAAGAAAGGGCTGTGAGACCCAGAAGTGTCCTGAGTCCAGGCCTTTGCTCTGTCTCCTGCTGTGTGTATGGATTTTTCATTCCATTTGGCCTCTTCTCTGTTTAGTTTTTTCATCTGTAAAATTGGATTAATTTTTTAATTGCTAAACCCTTGACTCCATTGTGATTTGTCTTTTAATCCATCTGCAACAGATTACTACAAATGTGATTGGCTTAAAACAACAGAATTTTATTCTCTTTCAATTCTGGAGGCCAGAAGTCTGAAACCAGTTTCGTTAGGCTGAAACCAGGGTTTTAGCAGAGCCACCCTCCACTGGAGGCTCTAGGGAAGAATCCATTCCTTCACTCTTCCAGCTGCTGGTGGCTGCTGGCATTCTTTGGCTTGTAGCTGCATCACTGTGATCTCTCCTTCAGTGGTCATGTGACATTCTCCTCTTCTGTGTTTAGTCTCCCTCTGCCTCTTTCTGATAAGGACATTTGTGATTGCATTTAGGGCCCCTGCTAGATAATTAAAGGTTATCTCTTCATCTCAAGATCCTTATTTAGGCTGGGCACGGTAGCCAATTCCTCTAATCCCAGCTACTTGGGAGGCTGAGGTGGGAAGATTGCCTGAAGCTAGGAGTTTGAGACCAGCCTGGGCAACATAGTAAGACCCCATCTCTAAAAAAAATGCAAAAATCAGCCAGGTGTGGTGGCATGTACCTGTAGTCCCAGCTACTCAGGAGGCTGAGGCGGGAGGATCGCTTTATCCCAGGAGTTCAAGGCTGCAGTGAGCTATAATTGCCACTGCACTCCAGCCTGGGCAACAGTGTGAAACCCCACCTCAAAGAAAAGAAGATCCTTAATTTAATTACATCTGCTAAGATCCATTTTTCACATAAGGTAGCATGTAT